>NC_000010.11:95749155-96052186 GCF_000001405.40 Homo sapiens | reverse complement strand
GATTACTTATGAGCATGAAACTTTAATTAGAGGCTAAATTAAAGGTTAATTATAAATGTACAAGCATTACCTCTCTGGCTCCTGGGTAGGGGGATGAGGGATGAGTGAAGTGTCTGAATTTTAGAGAACAGTAGATTAAGGGGAAATGTAGATATTCAGGAAGTAAATGGTATTCTAAGAATTTTGCTCAACGTACATGGGGATGAGACTGGAAAGGTGGCTGGGTCCAGATGAAAGATTCTAAACACTACATTAAGCAGTTTCCACCTTAATATATAGGCAGTGGGAAGTCATGCTGCAGCTGTGTTTTATTTACATTCAGCCTGGTTCTACAATGGATCTGAAATAACTTACAAAGGGACATTCTGGGGACAAAATAAGTAGTTGAGGTCATCAGATCAAAGGAAGAATAAAGGTCAGAAAATAAAATCTGAGAAGAGATTAGTACCAGAAATGATACTACATAGGACTACATTTGGTTTTAGATTTATAAGCAGCCAGGCACAGAAGTGCTAAAGAACTCTGGTGGCATGGATATAGGGGGAATGTTCCTTATTTCATCCCAGCCATATTTGACCCCAAAACCTCAAGGGAGAGTTAGAGGTGAAGGTTATCAGTATATCTACATACTCCTTTAAGATTCTATTATAATGACATGGATAATACAGAAACTACATTACTGATTTAACTTCAATATCAAATACAATCTTTATCCCTCAAGTGAGAGTTAAAAGTGAAGGTTATCAATACATCTACATACTATAAATTTCATTGTAATAACATGAATATAGAAACTATATTACTGATTCAACTTCCATATCAAATACAATCTTCCACATTATTAAAAGAAAAAAAAACACAATTTCAATTCCTTTACGTGCCCTATCTTCAGTGAGAGTACCAACGAGCAATGAAATGAGGTATAGGAAGATGTAAAGAGAAAGAGGGGCCAAAAGATCCACCAGTATATTCTGTACTAAGTAACAAATATGGTTGTATCAGATTGTATCTTGGAGCCTACTACACAGTTGGTCTAATGCATAAGCAAAAGTTTTCACATTTATAGTAGTTGCACATTAACTTTTAGTTCATTAAGCCAACTCATTATTTAGTCAGTAGAAAGTATTCTAATATAAGAATATGGTACTTTTAAGACAGTTTCTCAACTTTAGCTCCATTGATGTTTTGGGACAGAGAATTTTGTTATGGGAAACTGTCCTGTACACTACCGGATGTTTAGCAGCATCCCAGGCCTCTATGTACTAGATGCTAAAAAAGCATCTCCCACTTTATCACCAGATGTGACAACCAAAACGTCTGTACACGTTGCCAAGTGTTCCCTGTGGGACAAAACTGCTCCTGGTTTAGAACCACTGCTTTAAGACAATGGTTCTCAATTGGAAAGGTAAATCAAAATCACCTTTGGAACTTTTTCAAAAAGTTAAAAAATACCCAGTACCCATTATGTAGATTTTGTCTTAGTAGATCTGGAGTGGCCGAGAATGTACGGCTTAGGCACATGTTTTTAACAGGCTCCAAAGCCATTTTTCAATGTCTGGTTAAGAATTATTACACTGAGAAGCACTTTTAACATAAGCTTCTTGATACTAGTGAACTGGAATGAATGGGATTTGATGATATTTCACTGAGTTCTACATAAATTTATTTTATTATATAAACATCAGAAATTTCCAGTCATGTAAATCAGATTCATACTTACTTGCTAGAAGCAGGCAGGAAAGCGCAACTAAATGCAGCTGCTGGATAGAGATGTCATAGCGGTCCATAAACAGGTCCAGTAAATAGACAGCAAGATGGCGGGCAGAAGGGCAGAGTGTGAAGCGATTGCTCACAATGGCAATCAAGTCAGCAAAATACCGTCTGAGACTTAACTGAGGGGACTGGCCTTTATAGGAGGGCAACTTCAGCTCCTAAGTCAAAAGGAACAACATTTAGTCTGACCTATCTGTAGGCGTATCCCCACAAGGCAATGACTTAACATTGTTTTTCCAATATATTAGTATTACAAGTGCCTAAAACATACTTTTCTTGACTGGAATACAAAAATGAAAAAGTTAAGTGGAGGGATAATGAATGACATTTAAAACCAAATTTTTCTCCTTACTCTTAACCACTTCTGATGTGAACAATTATAGATGTTCTTGTTTCTTGCTTTCTAGAATGGATACATCCTACAAAGATTTTTAATAAGAGAATCCTGTTTTCCCTACCAGGTGTTTTCAGAAAAACATCCCTGACAAACCAACCACATACCACACACACGCCCCTACACCTCTCCAAGATGCTCAGAACTTTTGGTTAGAAGGTAATAGATAAGTGGATATGCTGCATACAGTATTATACTTGCAACAGTGTAGAAAGCAGTACCTTTCCTCTAGTATCTTCTAATTTTGTTTCCCTTTTAACAGTTTTATGATCTGCCCTTTCCCATCATCCTCTCATACACCTAAAATCACTTCAATCTCAGGACTATATTATATCAACTTGTTTTTTAAAAACTGGAAAAATTCTATACTATTAAAATATTTCCAGAGCATAGAGAAAGATGGAAAGCTTCCAAATTCATTTTATAAGATCAGCATAATACTGATACTAAACCCAACAGGTATCACAATAGAAGAAGTAACAGGGATACGATACCAAAAGCAGAACTTCCCCTACCCTGCAAAAAAAAAAAAAAAAAAGAAAAAGAAAAAGAAAAGAGAAATGGGACTTTAACAAAATTAAAAACTTTTGTTTAACAAAAGATGCTATCAACAGAGTAAAAGGGCAACCCGCAGAATGGATGAAAGTATTTATAATCATATCTGATAAGGGGTAAATAGCTAGATTATATAAATAACTTATACAACTGGATAACAACCAAAAAACCTAATTATAAAAATGGGCAAAGGATTTGAATAGACATTTCTCCAAAGAAGATACACACAAATGCCCAAAAAATATCATAAAACATGAAAAAGATGTTTGTTCAGCATCACTAATTATTAGGAAATGCAAATCAAAACCACTAACAGCACTTCACACCTAGTTGGATTGCTATTATCAAAAAACAAAACAAAACAAAACAAAACCAGATAATCATAAGTGTTAGCTTGAATGTGGAGAAACTGGAATCCTTGTGCATTCCTGGTGGGAATGTAAAATGATGTAGTTGTTACAGATAACAGTATGGCAATCCCTCAATAAATTAAACAGAGTTACCACATGATCCAGCAATTCCACGTTTAGGTACATACTCAAAAGAACTGAAAGCAGGGACTTGAAGAGAGATTTGTACACACATGTTCAAAACAGGATTACTCACAATAACCAAAAGGTGGAAACAATGCAAATGCCCACCAGCAGATGAATGGATAAACAAAATGTGGTATATACATGGAGTATTATTCAGCCTTAGAAAATTCTTATAATATACTACATGGTTGAACCTTGGAGACAGTATGCTAAATGAAAAAAGTCATGAAAGAACATTTATTGTATGATTCCACTTAATGAGTTACCTAGAATAGTCCTATTTACAGGGACAAAGTAGAATAGTGGTTATCAGAAGCTAGAGGGTGGGAAATTGGGGAGTAATCGTTCAATGGGTATGGAGTTTCAGTTTGGGAAGATGAAAAAGTTCTAAAGATAGATAGTGGTGACAACAATGCAAATGTACCTAATGTCACTGAACTGTACAGTTAAAAATGGTTAGAATGGTAAGTTTTATGTTATGACAGCTGCTGGCAAGGTTGTGGAGAAAAAGGAACGCTTTTACACTGTTGGTGGGAGTGTAAATTAGTTCAACCATTGTGGAAGACAGTGTGGTGATTCCTCAAAGACCTAGAGGCAGAAATACCCTTTTACCTAGCAATCTCATTACTGGGTATATAACCAAAGGAATATAAATCATTCTACTATAAAGACACATGCATGTGTATGTTCACTGAAGCACTATTCACAAGAGCAAAGACATGGAATCAACCTAAATGCCCATCAATGATAGACTGGATAAAATGTGGTACATACAGACCATGGAATACTGTGCAGCCATGAAAAGGAACAAGATCACGTCCTTTGCAGAGAGATGGATGGAGCTGGAGGCCATTATCCTTAGCAAACTAATGCAGGAAAAGAAAACCAAATACCACATGTTCTCACTTATAAGTGGGAGCTAAATGATGAGAACACATGGACACATGTTGCGGGGAACAACACACACTGGGGCCTGTCGGAGGGTGGGGGTGGGAGGAGGAAGAGGATCAGGAAGAATAGCTAGTGGATGCTGGGATTAATACCTAGGTGATGGGATGATCTGTGCAGTAAGCCACCATGGCAAACGTTTACCTATGTAACAAACCTGCACATCCTGCACACGTACCCCTGAACTTAAAAGTTGGGGAAAAAAAGTTTTATGTTGATACATTTTACGATAAACAAAAAAGGGAAGTTATATATTCACCTAACTTAATATTACCTAAGATAAATGGATAAAATAGTCAATGTAATTTAGTAGTGTAGCCAAAGAATACATCAATTGTTGTTTTTTGAGACAGGGTTTCCTGTAGCCCAGGCTGGAGTACAGTGGTGCCATCTTGGCTCACTGCACCCTCCACCTCCCAGGCTCAAGCAATCCAACCACCTCAACCTCTGGAGTAGCTGGGACTACAAGCGCTCACTGCCACGCCCAGTTAGTTTCTGTACAACAGGGTCTCGCTATGTTGCCCAGGCTGGTCTCCAGCTCATGGACTCAAGTGATCCACCTGCTTTCAGCCTCCCAAAGTGTTGAGATTACAGGTGTGAGCCACCATGCCTGGCCAAAAAAATTTTTTTTTTCCACATAAAGGGAAGATGCCGATTTCTCATGTAGTTCCTAGGATTTTTCTTTTCTCCTTAACTCTTTCTTTGGATCTTTACAATGGTGTAAGTGAGTTGCAACTTTACCTTTGCTGCCACCATGTGACATTTATTGAGCATCTCCCATGCAGCAGACACTATACTAACCCAGGCATAAAAGCTGGAAAAACAGTCTCAAGCCTATCTCTAGCAGGTGAATCAAATACAGAGCTTATCACACAATATAGTCACCACAGGTTATTATGGCAACACCTAGGAAGAAAATCTAACTTAGCTCAGGGATTAGGGAGTTGGGGAAAAAAGGCAAAACCAGAGCAGGTTTTCCCAAAAAGTGGCCTGAACATGGTCTTAAAGACTCCCTGGAAACACCTGGAAAACACTGATGGACTTCACTTTCTTAATGTTTCTCACAAAGCTAGAATTGTTCCCATTTGTCATTAAGGCTCCTAAAAACACTTTCCCAAACAGCCTATGACACTAACTATACACAGCAAAATAATGAGAAGAAAGGAGACAAAAGGGTGTAAGGTGACAGCTGCTTTGTAGGGGTTTTTTGAGGGAGTGGATAGTTGGCATGATTTCCATTCATTGTCATTTTCACTCTTCCCTAGTAAACACAATGCTAGTCACACCAAATATTTCTCCACAAACCTAGGGCCTAAACATAGAATACCTTCTGCAGTATCTCAATGGCAACTGCCCAAAGGAAGACCTAAATGTGGATGCTCTAAATTATAGATAAGGTTAGACTATGAAGGCAAGGATCATGTCTCGTTCACTGTTATTGCTCTAACACCTGGCATGATATCATGTATGTCATAAATGATCAACATGTTGAAGAAAAACAGATGACTATCCGACTGAATCACCAATTAATAGCCTGGAATTACCACGTCTTTTCTAGGAGAAAAGTCCATTTTAAGTTTCCTTCAGTGTATTACAAACAGTGGTCTCTCCAGTTCCACAAGTTTAAGTTTTACAGATTAATGTAAATTCTTGTATAAAGTGTTGCCAGTAAGAACCATGGTTTGCATAATGCTTAAACATAAAGACAACCCAGGGCAGTAGGCCATAGGTGGCCCAATAAAACTTTCAGTGGCATTCCTTCACACCCTGTGCTACCTTGTCCTCTGATAGTTCATAAGCAACTTGAGTGAGTATAAGGTTGGGTCTTATGCCTTGGATGCTCCAGAAACTAATCCACAAAAGCCTTCAACAAATCTAAATCTAGGAGAAAAAACAAAAAAACAAAGAACCCATGTCCAAACTCAATTGACAAAATGCAGATAATCACTCACGAATTAAAATGATCTACACATAAAATGATTGAAAAGTATGGAAATCACCAAGAAAAACCTTTTAAGTTTCATGCCAATTAAAAAATATACTCTTGGCTGGGCGCAGTGGCTCATGCCTGTAATCCCAGCACTTTAGGAGGCCGAGGCAGGTGGATCACCTGAGGTCAGGTGAAACTCCAACTCAAAAAAAAAGTACTCTTAATATCAACTAATTAATTTCACTACATACCAGAGGGATAAAAAGGCTGACACTTAAAACACTTTTCAAAATATGTGCAACTATATTAATTTTTTTAAAAAAGAAAACATTTCACATTGAAAGATGACATCTGCCAAAAAAAAAAAAGATCAAAAGTGTATCTGGACAATTTTCCAAGAAACTGCAACTCTTTCCTAACTAACACTCCAGAGATCCCATTAGTTAGAATTTTTATGTGGTATAAACCATCTCCTAGGGGGCTGAACTGTATTTTAGTGAATCTAAGAGACTGAATGTCAGAATTAGTTAAGTAGCATTTAGAAATCTCAGGCCTAGAAAAGGGTAACAATTTAAGTCAGAATTAGGTTTTCCAATCTACTTGACCTGGTCAGAAACTCAAGATAAAAGTTCATTATCATTCCAGGATCTCAACCCCAAGAGTCAGAATCCTTTTTATTGAAAGTCAGCTGTTTTGCTTCTTTCTCAATTTTCTACATTTAACAAATGGCTTTCTTTATCCAAGGTGAAACTGAGTTAAGCTAGAGATCATTTTGGATCTGGTCTCTCTTTTGGTTATCGAAGAGGCAGAAATGTCTCATTAATCTGCCTTGCCACATGCAGAGTAAAACCGTTACTTAATAGCAACAATACACAGACTTTGCTTTGTGTTGGAAAAGTATTTTTTTCCAATATCTATTAAGTCTACTTTCTGCCTTTGATATCAGCAGGAAGGGGCAGCCAACTCCCTCCACTTTAGGGCTTTTGAACAGCCCAAATCCTGAGGGGTAAGTGATAAGAAGTTATCACTTAGTGCTTACTATATACCAAGAGCAGTTTCTAAGCACATGTACGGTACTAACTTAAGTTTCACAATCGCCAGAATCATAAGGCACACTCATTATTCCTCATTTTACAGATGAGGAAATCAAGAAACAGAAATTTCACTTGTCCACGTCTCACGGCAAGTTAGCGGAAAGGCTGAGGAATTTATGTACAAAAGCGACTTAAACTGGCTGCATGCAACGGCAACTCTCGAACAAAGAGGGCTGTTCTGCCCAACAAAAATTCAGTGTATATATCTTTTAAAATACAAGATCAAATTCATGACCCACCTGGAAGCCAGAACGCCCCTTTCCACCTTCCCTGGCCCAACTACCATCTCCCTACTCATTCAGGTTGCAGGTTCTTTTGATACATCCCAGAGAAGGAGCCAAGAAGTTAATTAACCTTGAGCAAATGAGCAAACTCGCCTTTTCTGGCCCGGAAGATAGTGAGTAAAGAACCTGACTAGACCTTCTAGAGAGCCGAGATTCAGAACAACTGGCGCGACACACAGAAGGAGAAGGCAGGCCGGGCCTCGGAGTTACCTTGTAGCGAAGCGCTTGGTGAATATCGGCGGCCAGCTGTCCTCGCCACCACTGCCCCTCCAGCTCCATGGGACCCGGCGGCGCGCCCAGCCCGACGCGGCAACTCGAGTCTGTAAGACACACCCCAGGCGCGGTCACTGCCGGCTCCCCCGCGACCCTCTGCGCCCCCTCCCCGGGGGGTGTGACCTCAGGCCACCCGGTGTGGCTGCTCATCTTCACTTGACTCTTCCTCAACCCAGCCCGACCCGAGTCGTTTCCCCCAACGCCACACGCGAAGCCGGGTCTGCCCCCGCAGGAAGAGCCGAAGGACTCTGAGACTCACTGCTCGACTATGTGTCGGGCAAAAGGGGATCCACTCGGGCCCTGAGTTGCCAAAGCGCGGAGCCAGGTGCGAGCTCGGGAAGAGCTGGGGGAGGCCCGGCTGGGGCTCCCTGCGTCCGGGGCTGGAGTTCTCCCGCCCTCCCTGAGGAGCGGGGAGAGGTGACACGCTCATAGCCCCGCTGAGGGGAAACGCTCCCATGGCAAAGCCCGGGGGTGAGCGTCTGCCTGGCCGCGGGTCTCCGCATGGACGTCGGGAGCCTGCTCCTCCCCGGGAGCCCCGAGAAACGCACGTTCCGCGCGGCCTCAGAAAGGGGAACAAAAGGCCGGGCCAGCCAGGCTCTGCGCCTCACCCCGGGAGGGTCCGCTGCCCCACGCCTACCCCAGGCCTGCCGGGCCGCCCGGCCCCACGCTGGCTCCCTTACCCGGAACCGCGGCCCTCACAGCCCCAGCCCCGCCGTCGTGCGGCGGACGCCGGCCCCGCTCATGCTGCGGACAGTGGGCCGCTAAGCGCCGGCCTCAGCTAGAGCCCAGCGCCTGGACGCTCGCGCCGCCCATTGTTAAAGGACCGGCAGGCGGCTCCGCATACAAAGCCAGCGCGGGGGCACTTGAGGCCCCGCCGCTGCCAATCTCGTCTCGCGATACAGCGGGGTCGCCCCGAGCCGTCCAATTGGCGGCCGGGCCGGGCCCAGGTGCAGCGCCAGGCGGCGGCGCGGCGGCTCCCGCCTGGGTACGGTCAGCATCCCGCACGGCGCGGCGTGGCCTGGGCTGGCCTGGCGCTTCGGTTGCCGGGGCGCTCAGCCGCCACCTACTGCGAAGCCGGCCTGATCGCCGGCTGAGGTCGGCAGAGAGCGCCGGAGAAATTGTAAGGTGGATCACTGCAGTGACCAATCCAGTTAGGCCACTCACCTGCTGAGAACCTTCGATGGCTCCTCGATGCCCGCGGAGCAAAGTTCCGACGCCTCAGTTTGGCGTTTAAAAGTCTTCACGGCATGGATTCGGTTTACCTTACTTCACGTTGCACCAACCGCTTCCATCCCAGGGGCTGCTCCGTGGATCATCAGGCCCTCCAAATGTGCTTTAGCTGTTTCTGCAGCCCCTGAAGCGTTTTTTTTTTCCTGTGAAATTATGCTCTTTTTTTAAGTTCCACCTCAAACTCCACCTTTCTTCTAGAAACCTAATTAATCTCTTCCCCCTCCTTATTTTCGTTGCTGTAGGGATTCCCAAGAGCTTTGAATGAAGACATTTAAGATTACTTCTAGTAACCTTGCTTGTCAAACCCATGGTGGATGTAATTAACCATCTGTGCTCGTAAATCAGGAAACTGCAAAACTGTGAGAACACTCCGACGTCAATTGAGGTGATATGGGGGCTGAAATGTGATTAGAGGAAACCTAATCAATTGTATTTTAACCTCTTTGGTGGATTATCACAAAAGAGGTGGATGGTAACCCTAGGACAGTGAGACTGTCCACTTTTCTGAGACTGGAGATCAATCTCTTAATAGTAAAACGTAAATATTTTTAAAACTTCACCCCTTTTACTTTGAATCCTTTGTCCAAAAAGATACATGATGATAAAGAACTACTACAAAGTGATAAATACATTTTATGTGATTCTGGGTGGCATCTTCATTTGAAGATCATCAGCAGACATGTATATGAGCCGTACCCTATCCATAGACGATGCTTATACCCAGGAGAGCAGGCCCGCAGGAACCAAAGGCAAGAAAAGGGAAACTCAGAAGCTGAAGTTGGCAGATCCCGGCCTAACCCGACATAGTCCAGGGAGAAGGCTGCCCTGGCCTGTCTCTCAGTTGCAGGGTCCTCTAGAGTGAAGGTAGACACATCAGGCTAAAAGCTTCATGCCATTTTTAATGGCATTTAAATAGTGTCTACATCCTTGGGTTCCATTTCATGACTATTAAACAACTTTATAATAATTTGGCTTCTAAATAACTGTCCAGGGCCTATTTAAGAACACTTTCAGAAAAATGGGGCACAGACTATAATCATTAGTATAAGAAGTAGACTGTATTTATCGCTTCTACTTTGAAAATATTGTTCACTGGGATATATTTGTTCAGAAATCATTATTGTTTTCTGGACTTGCCTTGTGATGAGAAGACTTCAATGTCCATTTCCTTTTATGGATTAATGTTCATTTTACACATATATTTTGCCATAGTGTGTCTTAGATAGTAAATCCTTAAAATGCAAAGTTCAAACTTACTATGATTTATTTAATTCCTTTAGAGCAAGGTGGACACAGTTAAGGTATTTACTTAACTCCTAAAGTCTCTGCTCTCATAGAGTTTTTATTCCACTAGAAATAGAGATACAATGAACAACAACAAAAAAACATATCACATGGTGACAAGTGATGTGAAGAAAAATAAACAGAAAAAAAGGCTAGAAAGTGACCATGGGTGGGCTGGGTGTGGTGGCTCATGCCTGTAATCCCATCACTTTGGGAGGCTGAGGCCAGCAGATTACCTAAGGTCGAGAGTTCGAGAACAGCCTGGCCAACATGGTGAAACCCCGTATCTACTAAAAATACAAAAATTAGCCAGGTGTGGTGGTGGGCGCCTATAATCCCAGCTACTCGGTAGGCTGAGGCAGAAGAATTGCTTGAGCCCGGGAGGCGGTGGTTGCAGTGAGCCGAGATCGCGCCACTATACTCCAGCCTGGGTGACAGAGCCAGACTGTGTCTCGGAAAAAAAAAAAAAAAAAAGAAATGGGTGGACTTTGTTTCATGATAAGGTAAGGCATGCAAAGGCCTGAGGGAAGTGAGAGAGTAGGTACGTATCAGGTGGCTGAGCATTCCAGGCCGAGGGAATTGGTACACGCAAAGACTCTAAAGTGAAGGCATGTTTGGAATGAAAATAGAGGCCACTGTATGTCTGGAGTGAAGAGGAGATAGGAAAGACGTTCTAAGTCAAGGAAGCACTGATCACCAATGGTATGAAAGAATGGAAGTAAAAAAGGCAGAACATCTATATAAAGGGCAGAATAGGGAAACTGCAGAGTCCTTTGTGACTGCAGCATAAGGCACAGGTAGATTTGACAAGAGATGAGGTGGGACCAGATTCTCTGGAAATCTTCTGTAACTCACAGAACTTTACGCCGTGGAAAAGCACTGATTTTTTAATTGTTTAAGTTTTTTAAATGAATGCATGAAAAAGCTAGAAGATTTCAAGCCATAGAAGACTATACAGTGACTAGCAAGTTTCTTTCCCTCCCTGGTCCCAGTTTTTTCCAGAGGTGACACCATTACTCTTTTCTTTTGTAGCCTTCCAGGGATATCCAGGTATTTATAACCATGTATATATATATATATATATATATATATATATATGAAACTCCCTTGCCTCATTTTATGTACAAATGGTAGTATGTTACATGCTCTGTTGTGTACCTAGATTTTGTCATACAGAATATTCCGGCGAACATTCCATAACAGGACATCCAGGATTCCTTTTAATGGCAGCAGCATATTCTACTGGATGCAAAGGCCTGGAAGCCAACAGCCCTGGGCTCTGGTTCTCTGTTCTTGATTTGTTGCTATTTGTAGTATTCAACTCATTGCAACTACTATTCATATCCACCATCTCTCAGTTACACTTGTACAGTAGTCTCTTAACTGGTCTTATTGCAACTGCTCCTGTCCTTCTTGAAAATATTCATCACCTAGTAGTTGGAGTGGTCATAAAAAGGTAAATCACATCTGAGCTTGATAGTCAAGAGTTCCTAGATCACATTTCCAAACTGTTTTAGCATATTGAACAATGTTAAGGATAGTTTTTAAGTCTACTTTATAAAAAATTAGTTCCAGGTATTTGTAATCACAGATATTTGTAATCTGTAATTTATGAAAAATATTCCAAATTTTAAAATGCTATATAAGATTCTATTTCTGGATAAGATGAATGTGACAGTTAATTTTATGTGTCAACTTGACTGGGCCAAGATTGGGTGCCAGATATTTGGTCAAATATTATTCTGGGTGTGTCTGTGAGAGTGTTTTTGGATGTGATAAACATTTGAATCATGGAGTAAGTAAAGTGGATTGCCCTCCCTAATGTGAGTGGTCCTCATCCAATCAGTTTAAGGCCTGAATAGAATAAAAAGATTGACCCTTTGTCGAGGAAGAGAGAATTCCTGCTGCCCAACTTATTTGAGCTGGGACATAGGTCTTTCCTGGCCTTCAGACTCAAACTGAAACATCAGCTCTTCTTGCATCTTGAGCCTGCCGGTTTTCAGACTGGAATTACCTGTCAACTCTCCTGGTCTCCAGCTCCTGACAGCAGATCTTGGGACTCCTCAGCCTTTATGATCATGTAAGATATAGATATATAACTATAGATATAGATATAATTCCTTAGTTTATATATCTGTATCTCTGTGTATATGCATATACACACATATATATGCAGATAGATAGGTAAATACACACATATGCACATGCACATTCTGTTGGTTCTGTTTCTCTGGAGAACCCTAACACAATGGATTAAGCCAGCTTCACCCTGTCTCTCCCACCGAATGTAACTATAAAATCTGGACAGACTGCATGAGCAGCTATTTGAAGACAATGTAAAGTAAATAGTAGCAGGCAAGTGGGGAGGAAGACCTTAATTTGAAATATCACCAAACTGGTGGTGAGTTACCCCTTCTTCCTCCAGGATTCCCCAGCTTGGATTCAGGAAGCCTGAAATCTAGAAATGGGCACCAGGGCACAGAAAGGGAGAGCCCTAGGAGAATCCCTTTTGTTATAAGGAACAGCAAAGGAGTCTCCTAATGATCAGAGTGAGGCAATTCCCATTTATTTATTTTTTCTTTCTTTTCTCTCTCTCCTGCTGTAGCCCCCAGGCATTCTTCAGCAGATTGGTGGTAGCCACAACAGTGGTAATAGGGGCCAACAGGTGCCGAAAACTTAGGAAAGGAAAGCCTCTTATCTGATCAGAACAGCTGTGGTTGTTTGTTTTCCTTTGTCTTCCCACTGCCTTACTCTGGATGGAGGTACAATAATGGGAAGTGTGGGCAAAGAGGTGTAACTAAAAACCACAGCTTTATGGCTGGAGAACTGAAAAAGGGAGGCCCAGGGAACTGAAAAGTACTGGGGAGACTGTGGAGAGGGAGGAGCAGCTTTGGAAAATGATCCCACAAAGTGCTTATGAACAACTGGGCTTACCTCTGAGTTGTGCATACATAGATCCACTCTGAAAAGACTAAAAACTCAGAACTGCCCAGAGCAGTGGCTGGCCACTAAGCAGCACACATATGTGACAGATCTGAGTAGCACAGAAAGACTTTGAAAATGGACCTGACATCGAAACCACAACCCACAAAAGGCTAGCCAGAACTTGCAGCCTGAACTCAACCAGATTGGTTCCCGGCTACAACAAAAAACATCAACATTCTCCAAAAGATTTAAGTAAGACGTAGATCTCCTAACATACAGCATATTCAAATTGCCCTGGATACAACCCAAATTACTCAGCCTATGAAGAACAAAAACAAATCTCAATTCTCATGGGAAAGACAATCAACAAACACTAACACTAAGATGACAGAGAATTATTTGACAAGACTTTAAAATAGCTATTATAGTAATGCTCCAAGAAGAGAAAACTTTCTTGAAATGAATGGAAAGATAAGAAGTTTCAGCAAATAAATAGAATACATAAAGAAGAAATTAGATGGAAAATTTATAACTAAAAAGATAGAAAAAAACAAAACTTAAAAACACTCATGGGATGGGCTCATTAGGAGAATGGAGATGTCAGAGTAGTCAGTGAACTTCAAGGTAGATCAATAGAAATAGTACAACCTGAAAAAAAGTTGGAAACAAATGAACAGAGACTTGGAGACCTGTGGGATAATACCCAGTGGTCTAATGCTTATGTCATTGGAGTCTCTGAAGGAAAGGAGAAAGAATATGGTACAGAAATATTTGGGAGAATAATGGCTGAAAATTCCTCTAATTTGAGAAAAGACAAAAACAGATTCAGAAACTCAGGTGATGCTAACAAGGATAAACCCAAAGAAATCTATACCCACACACATAATAAAACTGCTAAAAACTAGGCTGGGCACAGTCGCTCAAACCTGTAATACCAGCACTTTGGGAGACCAAGGTGAGTGGATCACTTGAGGCCAGGAGTTTGAGACCAGCCTGGACAACATGGTGAAACCCCATCTCTACTAAAAATACAAAAATTAGCTGGGCGTGGTGAGGTGCACCTGTTATCCCAGCTACTTGGGAGGCTGAGGCAGAAGAACTGCTGGAACGTAGGAGGTGGAGGTTGCAGTGAGCCAAGATTAAGCCATTGCACTCCATCCTGGGTGACAGAGCAAGACTCTGTCTCAAAAACAAACACACACACAAAAAACCCTTCTAAAAAACTAGAGAAAAAAATTGAAAACAACCAGAGAGAAACAAAACATTACTTATAGGGGAAGAATGAAAAATTCAACGTATGGTGGGTCTCTCACCAGAAACCAAGAAGACCAGAGAGAAATAGAACAAAATTTTTTAAATGCTGAGGTGCCACAGAAAAGAATGAAATCATGTCCTCTGCAGCAACATGGTTGTAGCTGGAGACCATTATCCTAAGTGAATTAATGCAGGAACAGAAAATCAAATATCACATTCTCACAAGTGGGAGCAAAACATTGGGTACTCATGGACATAAAGATGGCAACAATAGACACTGGGTACTACTAGAGCAGGGAGGGAGAGAAGGGGGGAAGGACTGAAAAACTAACTGTTGGTTACTATCCTCACTACCTGAGTGATGGGCTCATTCATATCTGCAACCTCAGCATCATTCAATATATCCATGTAACAAACCTACACATATGCCCCCTTAATCTAAAATAAAGGTTGAAATTTGTTTTTAAGTCCTGAGAGAAAAGAACTGTCAGGCCCAGAATTCTAATCCTGCAAAAATATCATTCAGAAATGAAATTAAAGACATTTGAAGATGAAAGAAAACAAAGACTTGTTGTCAGTAAACCTGCTCTAAAAGAATTGCTAAAGGACATTTTTTAAACAGAAGGGAAATAATACCAGAAGGAAACTTAGCACATCAGGAATGAAGGAAGAACAACAGAGTGATAAATGTTTGGGTAAACATTCTTTTCCACTTGAGTTCTTTAAAATACATTTGATGGTTAAAAGCAAAAATGTGAACATTGTCTTCTAGTGTTTTCAGCATATACTTCAACAGATACAATATATTAGACAATTATACCATAAAGGCAGAAGTACAAAAGAATATGTGGTAAGATTTCTACATTCCACTTAAAAGTGGTAAAAAGTAGATTCTGTGTAGGCTGTGAAAAGTTAAATGTGTATTAGGATAATCCCTAGAAAAACTTAAAAAATATATACAAAAACATATAGTCAAAAATATAATAGATACATTAAAATGAAATACTAAGAAATGTTCAAATAACCTGAGAAAGCAGGAAAGAGGAAACAGTGGAACTGAAACAGAGCAAATGAAATGCAAATAATGAAATGATAGACCTAAGTCCAAACATACCAACAATTACATTAAGTGTAAATTGTCTAAACACACCAATTAAAAAAGATTATCAGAGGGTATAAAAAATATCATAGGCCAGGCATGGTGGCTCACGCCTGTAATCCCAGCACTTTGGGAGCCTGAGGTGGGCAGATCATGAGGTCAGGAGATCAAGACCATCCTGGTCAACATGGTGAAACCCCAGCTCTACTAAAAATACAAAAAATCAGCTGGGCATGGTGGTGCACACCTGTAATCCCAGGTACTTGGGAGGCTGAGGCAGGAGAATTGCTTGAACCCAGGAGTCGGAGGTTGCAGTGAGCCGAAATTGCACCACTGCACTCCAGCCTGGCGACAGAGCGAGACTTCATCTCAAAACAAAACAAAAACCGTAACTCAGGTATATGCTGTCTACAAGAAACTCATTTCAACTATAATTATATAGGTATGTTAAAAATAAAAAAATGAAAATATGTATACCACACAAACCCTAATCAAAAGAAAGCTGGAGTAGCTACATTAACATCAGACAAAACAGACTTCAGAGCAAAGAAAATTACTGAGACTAAAGAGGGACATTGTATAATGATAAAAGAGTTAATTCATTAAGGAGACATAAATCCTAAATGTGTGTCCATCTAACAATAGAACTTAAAATACATTAAACAAAAACTAACAAAACTGAAAGAAGAAATAAACTCCCTGGCCAACATGGTGAAACCTCATCTCTACTAAAAGTACAAAAATCAGCCAGGCATTGTGGCAGGCGCCTGTAATCCCAGCTACTCAGGAGGCTGAGGCAGGAGAATCGCTTAAACCTTGGAGGTGGAGGTTGCAGTGAGTTGAGATTGTGCCACTGAACTCCAACCTGAGTGGCAGAATGAGACTCCTTCTCAAAAAAAAAGACATAGAGAAACTTATAATTACAGTTGGTAACTTCAACACTCCTCTTTCAGTAATAGAACTCATAGACACAAAAGTAGCAAGGATATAGGAAAAATAAACAACATGTCAACCAAATGGACTAAAAGAAATTCCCATCAGTAGGGGAATGGTTTGAATAAGCTGTAATAAATAACATTTACAACCAAGGTTTCTACATACTACACAACTCTAGGGGTCCTTGCACATAAACTTTCGAGTCATGTGGTGCATAACCTCCTTAAGTGTATGCAGTGGTCCTGCCCACACTGTAGAATGTTATGCATCCTTTAGGAAACATGAATAGTTCACTTGGAGGTGTTTTACTATTTTTGAAGGAAAAAAACAATATGCAGAAAAACATATGTCATCTCATTTTTCTAAGACAGTAACAGATGCATATATGTGCATGTGTGTGTGTGTTGGCATATGAATATTTGAGAATGTTGGTGAAGTGAAAGGATACATGCAACATGGTTGGTAAGAAGGTAGAAGAAGTGAACAATGTGGGTGGGGAGAGGAGAGCAGTGGACAGAGACTCAAGCGAAAAAAAGAAAAAACCTGCATTTCAAAAAACATGATGACATTTATGCACTTATATAAAATAATGAGTATCTGTAAAAAATAGTTTTTAAAGTAATTTCAAATATAAAAAAGAAAAATATTATTTTATTCAGTTGCTTAAAACTTTTCAATGATTTCCTGTTGCACTGTAAATAAAATCCAAACTCTTTACCAAGACCTACGTGATCTGGTCCTATCTACCTCTCCAGACTTATGTGCTACTACTCTCCCTTCCCCAGGCAAGTCTCTTTTTGGACAGAAGGACTTCACAGTTGCAGTTCCCTCTACCTCAAATGCTTTTTGCCACTGGTCTTTGCATGACTGGCTTCCTCTCATCTGTGGCAGACTCTGATTTGCCTACCCAACAGCCACCCTCTCCTCCTTCCTTACCAATAGGATACTGACTTTAGTTGGGAGAGCAATATGTCCATTTAAAATACTTGATCTCCCAGGCTCCCTTATGGCTAGGAGTGATACAGTTCTGGCCAAAGGGATATAAGTAGAAGTTACTGGCATGGCTTCTTGGCAAGCTTTCTTAAAAGAATGGAACCAGTTGGCATCGTCTGTCTTCCCCTTCCTTTTCTACATTTTTAAGCCATGAAAATGGTTGTGAAGCTAGAACTGAGGTTCTCAAAGTGTGGTCCCCAGATCAGCCGTCTCAGCATCACCAGGGAACTTACATGTGCAAATTATCAGGCATCACCCTGATAATTTCTGAATCAGAAACCCTGGGGGTGGGGCCCAGCAATCTGTGTTTCAACAAGCCCTTCAGGTGATTTTTATACCTGCTGAAATTTGAAAGCCACTGGGCTAGAAAATAGAAGTCTCTTTAGAGATCGCAAAGAAATTGGATGAAGTTAGTAGGCCTCTTGCACCAAACTTGGACTGCCTCCTCTGGACTTGGAGACATGTGAAAAATAATCCCTATTTGGTTAAGCTACTGTGGTTAGGTTTCTGTTACACGCAACTGAATGCAATTCTAATGTTAAATCATTTTTAAAATATCAGCTTAAATGTTATCTCCTTAGGCCTTCCCTGACTGCTCTGCTTATACCCTTCATCCCCACCAAAGTCCTTCTCTATCATCCCATCCTATTTGTTTCCTTTAGAGCACTCATCACACCCTGAAATCTTCTCACTTACTTGCTGTGGTTTGTTTCCCCTTTAAAAATGTAAGACTCACACTGGTAGAGTCTTTGTCTTTTCACCACTGTGCTCCAGCACATTATTAAATAGATAATACACAGTATCTGGCATGTAATGGATGCCCTGTAATTATTTATGGAATGATATAAAGAACTTTGCAATTATACATTCCACTTAAAATCATGTATTTTTCAAATGTTTTCATGAAAAAAAGATTCATTACAGATAATTTCATGATTTTCAGGAAAAAATTTAATTGAAAAAGTAACACTCATGTAAAAAGGATACAATATAAAAAGGTCCTCCATGCTTTCCTATGAACACTTGCTACCCTACTCTTAAGCAGTCTATCAATTCTAAAAACCCTGAACAACAAATAAAATAGCTATGTAAATATTCAAAGCTGTACAGAAATGAGTTGCATGAATTCAGTCTGTCTTTGGCATCCTCATCTTTCCATCAGCATCATTTTGTGCTAAATCAATCAAAGTGGGGGACTTGTTTAATAATAAAACTTCACATTAAATTTAAACAAAAACATTCAAATAAAAGTAAAAATTCTGATCAGTTTTCTTATGCATGCCACAAGACACATACAGTTAGGTTTTAACCTGGGAGAAAAAAACATTCCTTCACCCATGTCCCTACTTTGCCTCTTCTAGTAATCTCAAGCTTGGTCCAAGACTAACATCACCACAAATAAGTGAGGCCTTTTCTGGCACCAGCCCATGCACATTTAGGAAACAGATACAGATTGGGTATTCCCTGCAGATACATTTGGGGTCTCTGCTCTCTGCTTGTGGGAGTGAACCAAGAAACCTCAGTGGTTCTTCAATGGGAGAGGTGAATGTTCTTTTATCTTTACCTCATACAAAACTGCTCTGGTCAACCTTTGGAAATCCATACTCCTTGATTATTTCTTTTTGATAAGTTATTTTGTCATATGTAAGTAAATTATATAAACACATTTCTTTTAATGAAGGACAAAACAATAAACTAGAAGAAAGTATAGTGCTTCCTACTTAGACCCCTGTCCAGTCTTTCTTGAGGGGCTCTTAGGATCTAGATAAGCCACTACTAAGAAAGAAAAGCAGCAAAAAGTGCCAGAGGCAGAGTTGGGGGCTGCTCACTAAGGAAAAAAAGAGTCCTGAGATTTGTCAAGACCATTTCCTCCCTCACAGAATTGGGAGAAATTAGAGTTTCCTGGGAGTTCCTTCCAAATACATGGAGCTGTAAGAATTTCATGTCAGTAGCATCCAAAGTGCAAACTTTTGAGAAGCTTCCAGAAGCCAACATCAGCCCAACATGGTAGATTTTATTTTATTTTTCTTTACCAGTGAAATAACATTTTATCCATGAGAGGCAATGACCTTAGTTTTCCACTCGAGCAGCTTCCATCTGAAATTGTATCAGACCCAGCATCAAACGTACCAGCCTTAGTTTAGTAGTGACAACATTCTATAAGGCTGGGCTCTCCCTCATAACAGTGCATCAGAATTATCTGGGGAGCTTGTTGAAAATAATGCAGAGTCTGTAGCTTCACTCCCAGAGGTGCTGATTCAGTGGGTCTTGAGGAGGATCTAGTAATCTGCATTTTCAACAAGGCTCTCCAGATGATTCAAATGGAGGTGGTGTGAATTCTACAATTTGAGAAACATTGGTCTTAGGAGAAGAGGCCAAAATTGCTTCTTTCCCAGAATAAGACCTACTGCAGACAGTGACCCAAGAAAGCCAGACTATCCAAAGGTCCTTCCTGGAGAGGTCTCTGGTGAGAAGCTCATCTAGACTCCTCCTCAAAGACTCACTCAGGGGTGCGAGTCTCCATAGTGCCCAGCTCTGTAAGTGAATCAAAAATTGGGCCCAGCACTTAGCTGGACTTGAGAATAAACAGCAAAATCTCAAGGTACCAGAAAAGTTTTTGTTGGTACTAGAGGACTATAGTACAATCTTTTACTTTGCTCTGCTTCCTTTTCATTGATGTTGAACTAAGGAAGCCAAATAGACCCACACAGATAATATGTTGTTTGGGTATGGGTGAATGTATACAGCTAAAGCAAATTCTGTCTGGGGAAATTCAGCAGAGTGAATTCCAGTTTGATAAACAGCATCAATAATTGACTGTACATCAATGTATGGCATCTGGATGGGAAATCCCGTGACCTGGATCAAAGACAGAACAGCACATAAACCCACATTACAACTGGGTAATCTGGAATTACTGTATGCAAAAAGATCACAAAAGCCTCAAAGAAATAGTACTCATAAAATACTATAATAGTTGTCTGTGGGTGCCAAATTATGTTCTAGGTACAGCTAAATGCTTCACATACATATTTAATCCTCAAACAACCCTATGAGGTAGGTATTACTATAATCCTTACTTTACAGATAGGAGCACAACCAGGTCTGAGTCCAAAGCCTGCACATGTAACATTCCACAAACTTTCTAGAGAGCAAACTGCTGGTGAGAAAATTACTTGATTCTACATATGGGGGATTTAAGTGAGAATTTCAGAACAATTTATTCAACATCGATTCAGTTTATGTTTATTAAGTGACTACTATGTGATGGGATTAAAGGATTGTGGAACATGGTCCCATGGAAAATTACCTGTTTAATAATACATAGATGACAACCATTCTTTCACACTGTAATTGCTTAGCTCAGGAGGATTTTCCTGATCCTTAAATCTGTTCACACGCTCTTCCCATGTAGTTGTGTAGCACACTGTCCTTCCTTGAGCTTACTTAATAAAATATGTTGCAATTACCTGTTTTCTGGTCTCTCTCTAACTAACCCATAATCTCTGCAGATGTACAAGACTGTATCTGTCCTGTGTACTACTATAACTCCAGTGTCCAGCATAATGCCTGGCACATAGAAGAAAAAAAATAGATAGCATTTACTAAATACTTACTAGGTGTTGGGTGCCATGGTAATTATTAACTCACATAATCCTCAAGACAATGATAAAATGATAACTTTTTTAAAAAAATTCCTGTTTTCTAATGGAGTAGAGGGTATAGAGAGATTCGGTCACTTGCCCTAGGTCAAAGCTACTGAGTAGTTAAACTAGGATTTGAGCATGGGCTGCAGGGTTTAGTCCAGTTTTATTGTAGACTATGTATTACTAAATTGATTATTTTACATAGGTACTCCACATTTTAAACCTTGGCTTATATTTAACTATGCTTTATTATCTGTTTATCTCCTAATTCTACTAAAAACAAAGCAAAACCTACCTTACTTCTTTTACCATATGAGGAAACAGCAAGAAGGTGTATTATATATACAAGAACCCCTTTTCTGCCAGCACTTTGATCTTGGAATTCCCAGCTTCCAGAACCATGAGAAATAAATTTCTATTGTTTATAAGCTTTAAAATAAAGCAAAGCAAAGCAAAAACAACTTCCTCCCTATTCAT
This sequence comes from Homo sapiens, assembly GCF_000001405.40. Taxonomy (NCBI): domain Eukaryota; kingdom Metazoa; phylum Chordata; class Mammalia; order Primates; family Hominidae; genus Homo; species Homo sapiens. The sequence goes on along the minus strand of NC_000010.11, from coordinate 96,030,554 downwards.
GAGTGAATAGTGCCTGTAGATCCCTCCCTCCCCACCTAAGTACTCAACTCCCAATAGATTCCTTACTTCATCTCAGAGAGTTCCCTAGCAGACACCCTCTAGTCTATTGCATGGTAAGGGGAAGGAGTCTCACTCTTGGGAGGCTGAGGTTTTCAAAAACCCACTGGGCCAGTTTATAGGGAAGAAGAGGTGAAAGGATGCCCAGAGCTTGGGGTAGAGTAGGAGAAGGAAAGGAGCACCCTAACAATATACTAGATGCCCACCATGTTTGTTTATGGACTTGCTGAGTTTGAGATGTCTTTTTACCATCCAAAAAGATGTCAGTGGCCTGGCTGAATGTATAAATTTGGAAGTACGGTTGGTCCTTCATATCCATGGGTTTCGCATTTGAGGATTCAACCAACCACAAATTGAAAATATCCAGAAAAAAATAAAAAATAGCAGGCTGGGCACAGTGGCTCATTCTGTAATCCCAGCACTTTGGGAGGCTAAGGCTGGAGGATCATTTGAGCCCAGCAGTTCAAGACCAGTCTGGGCAATATAGTGAAACCCCATCTTTACAAAAATATTTTAAAAATTAGCCAGGCATGGTGGCAAGTACCTGTAGCCCCAGCTACTCAGAAGGCTGAAGCAGGAGGATTGCTTGAGCACAGGAGTTTGAGGCTACAGTGAACTATGATCACACCACTATACTCCAGCCTGGGTGACAAAGTGAGACCTCGTCGCAAAAAAAAAAACAAAACAACAATAAAAAATAATACAAATAGAAAACAATATAATGTAACTATTTATAATTATTACTTATAATACCTAACTATTGTGTGAGGTTGTACATAGATTATATGCAAAGACTATGGTATTTTATATAAGGGACTTGAGCATCTCTGGACTGTGGTATTTGTGGGGGTCCTGAGATAAATCTAATGATACCAAGGGACCACTGTAATTTGCATGTAGAAGATATTGAAGCTTGCCTGGAGTCCTCTTGCCCAGAACAAATAACAGGGAATTGATCTACTACTAGAGGTTTTTCTTAGTTTTTTAGTTGCAGAGTGGTTTCCTTTTGGACATCTCTTTGCAAAACCTGTAATTTATACATCATAAAACATATAACTGGTTCCAAGTTAATGCCATGCAACATGGTCCTAGTAATAATTCTTCAACACATTTGAAGTTTCTTGGTTTATAAGTAAATGCATTTTTAAAAATTTTTAATTTTTGTGGGCACATAGTACATATATAGATATACATATATATATATATATATACATATATATATATATATATATATATATATATATATATATATATATGGTACATGAAAAGATATTTTGATATGGGCATGCAATGATGCAATGCATAGTAGTCACATAATGGAAAATGGGCTATTCATCCCCCCAAGCATTTATCCTTTGTGTTATAAACAATTCAATTATACACTTTTAGTTATTTTTAAATGTACAATTAAATTATGATTGACTATAGTTACCCTGTTGTGCTATCAAATACTAGGTCTTATTCATTCTATTTTTTGTATCCATTACCCATTCCCCACCTCCCTCTGAACTCCCACTCCCCTTCCCAGCCTCTGGTAAGCTTCTACTCTCTATCTCCATGAGTTTGATTGTTTTGCTTTTTAGATCCCACAAATAAGTGAGAACATGTGATGTTTGTCTTTCTGTGCCTATCTAATTTCACTTAACATAATGACCTCCAGTTCCATCCATGTTGATGCAAATGACAGGATCTCATCCTTTCTATGGCTGAACTGTACTACATTGTGTATATCCACCACATTTTCCTTATCCGTTCATCTATTGATGGACACTTAGGTTGCTTGCAAATCTTGGCTCTTGTGAACAGTGCTGCAACAAACATGGGAGTGCAGGCATGTCTTCAATATACTGATGTCCTTTCTTTTGGGTATATACCCAGCAGTGGGATTGCTGGATCCTATGGTAGCTCTATTTTTAGTTTTTTGAGGAACCTCTAAACTATTCTCGATAGTGGTTGTACTAATTTACATTCCCACTAACGGTGTACAAAGGTTTCCTTTTCTCCACATCCTCTCCAGCATTTGTTATTGTCTGTCTTTTGAATAAAAGTCATTTTAATTGGGGTGAGATGATACCTTATTTAGTTTTGATTTGCATTTCTCTGATGATCAATGATGTTGAGCACCTTTTCATATGCCTGTTTGTCAATTGTATGTCTTCTTTTGAAAAATGTCTATTCAAGTCTTTTGCCCATTTAAAAAATCAGATTATTGTATTTTTTTCTTATAGTTGTTTGGGCCCCTTATATATTCTGGTTATTAATCCCTTGTCAGATTGGTAGTTTCCGAATATTTTCTCTCAGTCTTTTCACTTTGTTGATTGCTTCCTTTGCTGTGCCGAAGGTTTTTAACTTGATGTGATCCCATTTGTCCATTTTTTCTTTGGTTGCCTGTGCTTGTGGGGTATTACTCAAGAAATTTTTGCTCAGACCAATGTCCTGGAGGCATTCCCCAATGTTTTCTTGTAGCAATTTCATAGTTTGAGGCCTTAAACTAACTCTTTAGTCCAGCTTGATTTGATTTTGCATAAAGTGACATATGGGGGCCTAGTTTCCTTCTTCTGCATATGAATATCCAGTTTTCCCAGCATCATTTATTGAAGAGACTGTATTTTCCCCAGTGTATGTTCTTGGGGCCTTTGCTGAAAATGAGTTCACTTAGGTGTGTGGATTTGTTTCCGGGTTCTCTATTCTGTTCCATTGGTCTATGTTTTAATGCCAGTACCATACTATTTTAGTTACTAAAGCTCTATAGTATAATTTGAAGTCAGGTAATGTGATTCATGCAGTTTTGTGGGTTTTTTTGCTTAGGATAGCTTTGACTATTCTGAGTCTTTTGTGGTTCCACATAAATTTTAGGATTGTTTTTTCTATTTCTGTGAAGAATGTCATTAGTATTTTAATAGGGATTGCATTGAATCTGTAGATTGCTTTGGGTAGTATGGACATTTTAACAATATTGATTCTTCAGTAAGTGTATTTTAATGCTATAGCATCTATCTTTAAGGATCAAGATAAAAGGCCTTTCAGAAATATTTAAGACTGCTATTATTTAGCAATTAACAACATATATAAAACAAATGTCATTAATGCATTAAATCATATACAAACCCAATAAAATTGTAGTATTCTTTCAAATTCATTATCTCCTTCAGATGAAACAAAGCTTCCTATGCCAAATTCCAGCTTAGGAAGGATTTGTCGCAAAATAAAAGTACACTGTCGATTCCAATGTGTTGGGTGTTTAGGTCGCCATTCCATCACTTTACTCTTCAGAGTCCTTTCGATCCTAAGGTAAGAATCCAAAGGTAATTTTATGACAAGTTATAACTCATTTGGTAAATATAATAAGAGTTTTGTGACTTTTTTTTTTTTTTGAGACGAAGTCTCGCTCTTGTCCCCCAGGCTGGAGTGCAATGGTGAGATCTTGGCTCACTGAAACCTCTGCCTCCCGGGTTCAAGTGATTCTCCTGCCTCAGCCTCCCGATTAGCTGGGATTACAGGCACCTGCCACCACACGTGGCTAATTTTTGTATTTTCAGTAGAGACGGGGTTTCACCATGTTGACCAGGCTGGTCTCAAACTCCTGACCTCAGGTGATCCGCCCTCCTCGGTCTCCCAAAGTGCTGGGATTACAGGTGTAAGCCACCGTGCCCAGCCTGTGATTTTTATTCAAGTATGAGAATGATACTTTTTGGACTTAGGAGGAAACCAGAGCTCTATAGCTAGAGGTGTCTGCCACCATTCACATTAATGAAGCTGGGGAGAGGCAGGCTCTTACTTGGCTTGGGAAGACAAGAAGCCTCTTGGGGATAGCCAGCAATTAACTCTCCAAGGCACATCTCTTTTCCAGTTACCCGTATGTAGGCAGCTGCCTACTGGGTGTGATTTGACAACACCTACCATCCGATTACTGGGTTGACATTCCTACTCTTCAAGACCCTCCCTTGACTTGGACATTTTGTTTCCAAGAAACTGCCCTTATGAAAATCCACGCATCTGGTCTGGGATGATGTTAGCAGGGATGGGATTATTACATGAGTTAATTTAGCAAGCAGAGTTGGGAGGAAACAAGGCATTGAACAGGTAAGTTTGGTGATCAGCTTCCCCCTATTTGAATGTAAGCTCCATAAGGGCAGGCATTGTTACCCATATATATCCAGCCCCTAGAACAGTGCCTGGGGATGAATATGCCAGGGAGGAGAGAGAGGGGACACAGTGTGGGTTGGTTGATGGGGCTCTCCTGAAAAGCCTCTCTGTGCAGGATGATTGTGTGGCATTGATTCTCTAACTGCAGTGTATGTTATAGAGGAAGGTGCTGGAGGTCTCTTCTTAGCTGAGTTTATAGTGCAACTAAGTAGTTTGGAGTTTGTAGAGGGTCTCAATAGCGGCTATGCATCAGAATCACCTGTAGCGCCTTATCAAAATGTTTCACCTCCAGATATTGATCCAGGGATGCTCATACCTGTATTTTTAAATAGTTCTATAAGCGATTCTAATGAAAATCAGTTGGGAACCATTTCCCTATTGCATTTCTTCCTTTTTTGTTAAGAACTGGGAAATGAGGAGTAAGAATGACAGCTGGGGGGCTGGGGGGAGATGTGTGCTAGTGAGAAAGGGAGTGGTAAAATTGCTTTGGTCATGCTCTGTGTTGCTTGCTTTGTAGTGGCTTCCATGACAGCCTGCTATGTGAGTGTGAGCCACTGGAGGCAGTCAGATCTAGAAGCCTCTGACACACATGGCCTGAGAGCCAGTCCTGCTGCAAAGCCTGTGGCCCTTTGGGCTTGACTGACTGACTTCCTCAGGCACTTACGTGTAGGTGCTTGGGAGGCTGGGAGTGTCCAGCTGTGGCAGTACTGCCGTTTCTACTGCCTAACTGGGACATTTTTACCAGATGTCAAGTCACGGGTCATTTACCTTCATGTCCTTTCAAGAAGTGTTGGCTACTGCATTATTATTACTATAGGCTCCAACAGGCATCTATGTTGAGAACTTTCCAGTGGTGGCCCACAATGTTTCCAGAGTTAACTTAGTCTGTCCTATCAAAGAATGCCCTGGATGGCAGAGGGGCCACTTTTCCATGGATGTACCAAGAACCAGGTGGTTCAATGGAACTTTTTTTTTTTTTTTTTTTTTTGCAAGGCCTCACTCTGTTGCCCAGGCTGAAACACAGTGGTGTGTTGTGTGATCATATCTCATTACAGCCTCAAAATCCTGGGCTCAAGCGATCCTCCCCCTCTTAGTCACTGAGATTACAGGTATATGCCATCATGCCCAGCTATATATATATATATATATATATATATATTTTTTTTTATATATATATATATATATATATATATATATTTTTTTTTAGTAGAGATGACGTCTCCCTATGTTGCCCAGGCTGGTCTCAAACTCCTGGGCTCAAGTGATCCTCCCACCTTGGCTTCCCAGAGAACTGCGATTATAGGTGTGAGCCACTGGGCCAGCTGGAAATATTATAAACTCCTTTTTCATGTTTCTGTTGCTGATCTAGCAGGTATTTTGAATGGATGGGTCAGAAGACTGAAAGGTAACCCAACAAGAGATTAGGGGAAAACACAGTACCTATTCCTTAGATCTTCTACCATGCTTTTATCAGTTTCAAAATAAATTATTTCTTCAGGCTGAAATAGACAACCAAAGTTAGAATAGATTCTAGAGACCATGTTTACATCACAGTCACTCCTGGAATGCCAGCTATAATAAGGAGGAAGACAAACCAGGCTTCTGTGGCAAAAACACTCAATTCCATAGGTAACATGCAGACCACAGCATTTTCTTTTATTTTCACACTGCTTCACGAGAATAGGGGATGGGGGATGGGTTTACAAAAGATATATTTTCATGGGTAAAACAGACCTGGCGCCCCAATTCATTTTTCAAACAGGCATTTGACACACTATGGATGCTACTACCAAATAATCTTTGGCAGCTGCACTGGTGTCTTCCACTGTGACCTTGGTGAAGTCTTCACCTCTCTGTTCTGAGTTTTTAACATAGGGATAATAATAGTGCCTACTGCTCTAGGGTTTTGTAAAGATTTTAAAATAAAGTAATACATGTAAAGCCTGGCACATATGGAATGCTCAACAAACATCAGATATTATTATTCTAACATGGTTGATCATCTTCCTTCTTTGATTATTTGTTTCTTTCAGCTGGAAGAAGCCAGTTCTTTGTGTATGTATGCACACATGTGCATGCATACACACACACACACACACACACACATGCACATACACAGAATCCATTTCAACCTCCCCTGTCTCCAAGCCTTTGCCTGGAACAGTGCTATTCCACGTTTCTTCCAGTTCCCTTCCTGGGCAGGATTTTCTGGGAGGAGAGGACTTCTCAAGTTCCTTGCCAACCCAACCCTCAACTCCTTGCAGGTCTCACATGGACAAGAGTGAGGGGCTGGGTTTAGACAGTTTTTACTTTGGGTATTCCTGAGCTGAGGAAGAGGCAGCTGTAGGGACAGGAACAGATGTTCCCCCTTCGTGAGTGGAATGAGGGTTGTGTAAAAAGGAGGCAACATTTGATAGGCCTCTAGGTTCCTAAGTGTGGCCTCCAGACTGGCAACCTCACATCCGGGAACTTGTTCGAAACACAAATTCTTGGCCCTCACCTGAGAACTACTGAATCAGGAACTCTGGGGGTGAGGCCCAGCAACCTGTGTTTCAACAAGCTCCCCTTCCGCTGGCTCTGATGCCTGCCATGGTGGAGGAGCACTGGATTAGAGATGGTCCCAGGCACAGGGAGGAGCCCCACAGTACAGCATGGTAGGAGATGGAAGATACTGAGGAAGGGAAGGATGACTTTGTGTCATCTTGCAGGAGCTGGCAGCTATCTCACACAGGATAGGTGGACGGAATTCCCTGATTACTGTCACCAACGGCTGTCTACTCCTCACTGGGCAACTCCTGTGGATTAGTTAGGCCACTTCAGGCCTGAAAAAGAGGCCTGGTTTATGCTGACTTGAGAAGTTTATGGTGTGTTTATCCTTTCCTTTTCTGGCAAAGGCCTCTTTCTTTCTGGGCACTCATGTCCTTCAAAACTTCAAGGGGATTTCCCTGTTAACACCACTTCTGAGTACCCACATTCTCCTCATGCACATTCAAATTTGTGTTCACAATTGTGTGTAATAGTGTTCACTCTAGATAGTGGTTTATTCTGGGATGTATGTGGCAAGGCAGAAGATGGAGGGCCATGAGCCCACAGGAAAGAAGTAGAGATACAAGCTAAACACAACTATGAGTTTTACATTTATAGATTCAACTTGGCAGAAGGCTTTAGTTTCAGCCCTAAGTCAGAGTAGCTTTTACAAATACAATTTTGATCACAGCAGCCCTTGCCTTAGAGATGCTGGCTTCTGTCTGCCCTGAGGACAAAGGCCCAAACTCTCACCAGGACTGTCCACCCCAGCATTGGCCAGCCTGGCCTTTCAGCTCCTGGACAGATATCTCCTTGTCACTAAAGGTCTTCCCATTCGCTGTTCCTGCTATCTGTCGGGACCATTCTCATTCCTGACTTTTATCTAGGCCAGCTCCTGCTCACCCTTCCTCACTCATGTTTCTCATCACTCTTTCCCAGGAAGCCCCTACAACTCCCCTCCCTCAGGGCCTCCTGCTGTGCACTCCCCAAAGCACCATAATATCTTCTGTAACAGCATTCATTGCTCTGTACTGCACTTGCTTGTTCCCTTCTGTTTCTTCCTCTAGAATCCAAGTTCCAAGAACACTGAGATATGTCTTTTTTCTTGTAGTATCTACATCTAACGTAACACTGGCTCATAGTGGGAAATCAATAAATATCACCTGAATGAACAAGAGAATGATTATACATTAAACAAACAAGAGCCTCATCTTGAAATAGATTATTCTCCCCCTAGGAGGCATCAATGCTTTGGTCACAGCTTTGGGATGGGCAAAGCAAGGTATGGACTCTAGAGGCTTTAAATGTGGCTTGCTCAAGAGAGAGAAGCACTTTTCCCTTTCTTTAAAATGACTTTTCAAGTAGGAAATATAAAAATACCTATCTATGCTTGCATCTGCATGGAGAATGTTAGAAGGATGCACAAGAAACTACTGACAGTGACTTCTTTGAGAGCGGGAAAGAGATGTTGAATAAGAAAGAAACCCATCACTTTTTTTTTTCTTTGACAGAGTCTCATTCTGTTGCCCAGACTGGAGTGCAGTGGTGCAATTTCAGCTCACTGCAACCTCTGCCACTCTGGGCTCAAGTGATTCTCCTGCCTCAGCCTCCTGAGTAACTGGGATTACAGGTGTGCACCACCACATTCAGCTAAATTTTTTTGTATTTTCAGTAGAGACGGGATTTCATCATGTTGGCCAGGCTGGTCTCAAACTCCAGACCTCAAGTGATCCACCTGCCTCAGCCTCCCAAAGTGCTGGGATTACAGGCGTGAGCCACCGCACCCAGCCAGAAATCCATCACTTTATACACTTGGGCCCTCTTTGATTTCTTCCCCCACAGCCACCATGCATTCTTTTTGATAGTGTGAATTGCCTTGAATCTATACAGGCAAACATAGAGAATAATGTAATGAACATCCACCTAGCATACCTACCACCTAGCTACATCTGATCTTTGCATTCTTCCATATTTGTTTTAGACTTTTAAAAAATAAGTAAGATACTACAGACAGACTTGAAGTACTCTGTATACTGCTCCTTGATCTCATTCCTTTTTTTTCTCTCCCCAAAAGTAACCTCTAATCTGAATTTGGTATTTATCATTCCCATGAATGCTTTTCTACATCACCACATATCTATGTATACATAAACCATATACAGCTTTCAAACTCCACATAAATGGTTTTGTACTGTATGTGTCATTTCATGTCTTTTTATTTTGCTCAGCATTACATTTTTTATATTCTTTCATGTAGATATGCATGACTCTTGGCCAGTGATTCTCAACCTCGGCTGCACATTGGCATCAACTGGGGAACCTTCAAAGCTCCTGGCATGTGGGTTCCACCCTCAGAGATTGTGATGTAATGCACTGACAGTCAAATTGGGAACAACTGTAAATTGGCTCAGTTCATTCATCTTTTACTGCTGTACAGAAGATTTCATTGTATAAGTACTTCACAACTCATGTACTGATTTCTAGTTGATGAACTGTTTCAAATTTTTGTTATTTCAAGCAATTCTCTAATGAATGTTGTTGTACTTGTCTCCCCGTGAATGTTCCTCTGGGGTATATACTGAGAAGTTTGAATTGGCACATCAAAGGTTGAGCATCTTCACCTTTACCAGGTATTATCAACATATTGTTTTCCAAAGCATTTACAGAAATGTGTGCTTCCACCACTTCTCTGCCTCTTTGACAACACTCAGTATGATCACACATTTTTTTTTGCCAATTTTATGCATGTGAAATAATTTTATTGTTTTAGTTGTTTATTTATCTTAGAGAAAAGGTCTTGCAGTAGGCTCCTAGGCTGGAGTGCAGTGGTGCGATCATAGCTCACTGTAACCTCAACCTCCTGGGCTCAAACAGTCCTCTCACCTAAGCGTCCTGAGTAGCTGGGACTACACTTGCGCATCATCACCATGCCCGGGTAGTTCTTTTGTTTTTATTTTTAGAGACAGGGTCTTGCTCTGCTGCCCAGGCTGGTCTCGAACTCCTGGCCTCAAGTGATCCTCATGGCTTGACCGCCCCAAGTGTTGGGATTACAGGCATAAGCCACCATGTCCAGCAATTGTTTTATTGTTTTAAATTGTATTTACTTGATTATGAGTGAGGTTTAGCATGTAAGTTACTGCTTCTATGAATTGTCTTTTGCCTAATTTTTCTATTGTTCTTTTGCTCTCTCTTATCCTTTCTCTCTCTCTCCCTCCCTCCCTCTGGGCTCCTGTCTCCTCATTTGTGGACTGTGCAATTGCTGACACCCTGCACAGCTTGGCCCTCAATCCAGAAACAGCTGTTGACATGGTATTTCTAGTGCCTTCCCAAAGTAATACTGAGTACATCACAGATCCATTAGCCAACCCATGTAGTGATTGAGTTACTTCTTGGTCTCCTGTACCCTGAGCCCCAGACAGTGAGTCTATAGCTTTCCTTCCCATCTCCTTTCAAAAACAGGGAAGTAAAGTAGCCCCACCACAGTCCCTGTCTTTAAAAAGTGATGCTTGCTCTGGTTCTCTGGCTTTCATGAAGCATTTTCAGATCTTGCTGCCATCCCTGCTCCAGCCTACTCACTGCTAGTGTTTCTGTCCTGTTTCTATTCCGTGAGACAACTATCATGGTTGGGAGTCCAGAAAGCTTTTTGTCAATTTTTCTACTTGATCCTTACCATAGATATGGCGCAGGAGGGCTAGGTCAGAGTTAGAACTTACTACACATCTTGAACATTATATGTTATGTTTTATGGTGAAAAAATTTTAAATTCTATTTTAGCATCTAAATTTGCATTTAAGATGTCACTTTCTTCTCAATTTATTTTTTCTGCAAGTAGGGGAAAGAGCCTGTGAGCTGGATGGCAGAGAAAACTAGTTTTTAAATTAATATTGCCAAATATTTCAGTAACCAACCAACTATAAAACATAATAAGAGCTGTCACAATTAGTAAAGATTAGAAGCAATGGTAACTCTCATACAGACACCCCTGGGAAAATATGATTTACCTGTATGCTTTGTATTTTTGTTCCTTGAACGTTTTTTGGAAGCAACTGCTTCCAGAAACTTTCCTTTGAATAGTCAAAAAATACAGCCATTGGTGTATTATTTTGTTGAATATTAAACCAGACCTATGAAAACATTAATATAACATTAGTGTAGGTCCATAGGAACACAAGGCCCATTGTTGGTAAGGAAGGAGCAAAATTTTACAGTCTTACTACTCAATGAAGTGGCAGAATCCCAGCGGGGTTCTGAGGCAGGAGATAAAGAGATTCTAGGGTTTCATGATCATTAGACTACCTCAACGGTTCTCATCCTTGAAGGCACTACACAATCACCTGGAGGAGCTTTAGTGATAAAAGATTGCCCCGGCCCCATGCCCTAGGGAATCTGATAGACTATCTATATTTAAAGTTCCCCAGGTGATTCTAGTGTGTAGCCAGGGTGACTCTAGAGGAGATAACTCAAGATTTTTTTTCCCCATATACTTACATTTCTATCATCAAACAAACAATCTACACTTTTTAAGGGACAAAACGGGTCAAACTGCTTATAACATTGGCCAGTTGATGGATTCCAAAGCAAATATTCATTAGTTTCTTGAGTTACTACATAAGCCACATGCCCCTGTATGAGAAAAAAGAAAGTAATTTTTGGTGGATTTAAATAATTTCTATATATGGAAATTATACTGTGATGATTCTAATTTTTAAAGCCTTTTTTAGTGGAGTGTGGTGGCTTATACCTGTAATCCCGGCTCTTTGGGAGGCTGAGGTGGGAGGATCACTTGAGCCCAGGAGTTTGAGACCAGCCTGGGCAACATAAGGAAACCCTGTATCTATCACAAAAAATTTTTTTTTTAATTTGCTGGGCACAGCGGCACACACACCTGTAGTCCCAGCTACTTGGGAGGCTAAGGTGGGAGGATCGCTTGAGCCTGAGGAGTTGAGACTGCAATAAGCTGTGATAATGCCACTGCCCTATAGCTTGGGTGACAGAGTGAGATCCTGTCTCAATAACAAACAAACAACAAAAATAAATAAAAGCCTTTTTGAGGGCTTTTACATTTTCTTTGAAATAAAAAAAAAAAAAAGAAAGAAAAAGAAAAAACAAACCAAAGCTCCAGAAATCCTCAGCCCCAGGTTAGCATGAGGATTCAGATGAAACAACTTGTGAGCCAGTGCTGTCATGTATGGTCCTGCAGAGTGTGCCCCGATGGCAACACAGCTGCTGTTTTAACAAATCAGTGCATTACAAGGGTTTCCCAACAGATAGTACTGCAGTGTTTTGAGGTAGGGCACTTTTGTCTAATTCATACAAGATGCTATATGGACTATCCCTGCTTTGGTTAGAATATATTTGGAGACTGAGGGTGAACACCAGGCAGAGATAGGAAATGGAAACTGGCTTAAGGCTCTGACAAAACCAAGTAAAGTTAAAAAGCCATTAAATTAAATTTGGGAACAAGATTTGCAATTAGAAGCTAAAGGGAAGTATGCAGGAAACCAGTCTGAGGAATAAAAAGTAGTTATTATGTTGTTATTATTTTGCTCTGAAAGATAAGACTTTTTGTAGTGTAAGCCTATCCTACCAAAGAATAAAAATTTTTAGGTAATAATAATAATGAGACTATTTAATTTATTGAGTATTTATGTGCATCAGATATTATGCTAAGAATTAACACTAACTTTGTCACTTTCATTCACTCCAAATTCTGGGAGGAAGGGTTATTATGCCCATCTTTCATATAAAGAATCAGAGGTTAAGAGCCTTGTCAAAAGAGCCTGTGAGTGGCATTACTCCTGTCTCATGAGGAGGTAACTGAGGCTCAGAGAAGTAAACAAGGCTGAGATCATACAGTTAGTGGCATTGCTGGGTTTTTTGTCTGTGTGTGTGACAGGGTCTTGCTCTGTTGCCCAGGTTGGAGTGCAGTGGTGCCATTATAGCTCACTGCAGCCTCGACCTCCCAGGCTCAAGCGATCTTCCCTCCTCAGTCTAAGTATGTGGGACCACAGGTATGTGTCAGTATGCCTGGCTTATTTATTTATTTATTTATTTATTTATAGAGGTGGGGTCTCCCTGTGTTATCCAGGCTGATCTTGAACTCCTGAGCTCAAGCAATCCTCCCTCCTCAGCCTCCCAAAGTGCTGGGATCATAGGCATGAGCCACCATGCTCAGCAATTGCTGCATTTTAAACCTGTGTCTGACTGTCCCCCAAACCCATATTATTAAAACTACGCTGTGCAGCCTGCTCTCCTCGACTTCACAGCCCTTGCTCTTGGTCACTGTGCTCATCATCTTTATAGTAAAGAGGAGGCTTTACCTTAACCCCATGGCTGAGGTGAAACTGTGCAGGGCTACCTCCTGCAGTGTTGGTCCACAGGTACTAACGCTAATAGTTGCCAAAATATTGTTGACTGTTTACTGCCATCTAGTGGCACTTACAACTACGGCAGGAGATCATATAGAGGGAATGAACTTCTATTAATAGTTAACAAGCTTGGCAATGAAATAATAAACAATGCCGAGAGGATACAGGGAAATAAATCATCATGACAAAAACCATAAGGCAAGACTGTAAATACTGACACTTAGCAAGATACTCATGGTAGGGCTAGAAACAGTTCAGAAATGATAGCTTTCTGGTGGTACAAATGTAGAAGAAGCATATAAATTAAGCTGTAAACATTTCAGATAGGGAAACATTAATTCCTGGCTCACTTCTTATAAGATTAAAACCTCAGCAATGGAGCATGAGGAGAAGTGTTTTTTTTACAGATCTTAAAATACACTTATTAGAAACATATGATGGGCTGGGCACAGTGGCTCATGCCTGTAATCCCAGCACTTTGGGAGACCAAGGCGGGTGGATCACCTGAGGTCAGGAGTCAAGACCAGCCTGGCCAACATGATGAAACCCCATCTCTACTAAAAATACAAAAAATTAGCCGGGCGTGGTGGGTGCCTGTAATCCCAGCTACTCGGGAGGTTGAGGCAGAAAAATCACTAGAACGCGGGAGGCAGAGGTTGTAGTGAGGCGAGATCACGCTATTGCCCTCCAGCCTGGGCAGCAAGAGCGAAACTCCATCTCAAAAAACAAAAATAAAAACAAAAACCATATGATGATCATGGTGGTAACGATGGATAACAGCTGCCACAACTACACTATAACTATTACTACATTACCACCACCATCACCACCACCTTTATTGAGTCCAGGTGCTGCTCTCAGTCACTTAATATGTACTAAGTAATTTAATATTCCCAGTAACCCTATGATGTAGCACTATTTTTAGTACTCTTTTACAGGGGAGAAAAGCAAAAGGAAATCAGTCTTTACATTGTAAAAATTTTGATGAACCAACATTATCCTCTTAACTAATCATTGCTTGCCCATGAAATTCCAAATTAGTTTGTGAAGAGATGGAAACCTGGGTTTGAAGTCTTCTAAACTTGCAGCTGAAATCTGATTTCCTTTTGCTTACATTATTTCAATATGAACTCCAGCACTTACTTCTAACACTGACGTTCCCAAGAGGACCAGTGCCTTCTTTCCAAAATACAGAAAGAAATTACAGAGAAGGATGGCATGCTCCTCCTTATTTCCGATAGCTAAACTGATGCAGTGCTAAGACAAAACAAAAGCAATAGGAACAAAAAAAGAAAAGTGCGGGAAAGTTGAGTAACGCAAGCATCCAACTGATGCGGAGCACCTGTACTCACTCCAGTTCCAAACACATTTATTTTTACCAAGTTGCTAAGTTGACAGCAGAGCAGACAGCTCCAGCTTTGCTAGGGCATTAGAGGAAGAGAACATTGACTTGGAGCATTGGGGCCACCTTTATTATAGAACACTTAATGTAGATATTGTATAGAGTGACCAGACAATTTATACCCAAAATGGGATGTTTTTGTTTAGGACAAATATTAAAGTGCCCTGGGCAAGCAGGGACATATGGACTGGTATTTCGAGGAACCTTATCTGATAGGGAATCATATAGTGTTTGTAGGAAGTGATCCTTTGGGCTGTGGAGCTACATTCTGTCCTGTACCAATATAGTACTGTCAACTCAAAGAAAGGAAGAAATCTGAGTTGGATGTTAATCAGGAAAAGTGACTGAAACGTCTTCAACTCAAAGAGCTGAACAGCTGAGCAGGGTGTAACAGATCAAATAGAGAGTGCCCAGTAAAGCACAGCAATATAGCAGGGGAGAAAAAGTATAGCAGAAGTAGCCAACTGGTGGTCTATGACTTAGTTCTAGTCTACAGGTGTGTTTTGTTTGGCTCCCAGAATGTCAAAAAAAGAGAGAACATTTTCTTAGAAAACTCTGGATTTCTGGATTTTGTTGAAAAAAAAAACAAAAACAAACTCTAGCAAAGACTTGGGTCCAAATGCTCAGATGGCAACAATCTGTTGCTGACTAGTGGCTACACCATTTAAATGAGGTGTATGGCCAGGCGCGGTGGCTCATGCTTGTAATCCCAGCACTTTGGGAGGCTGAGGCGGCCAGATCACGAGGTCAGGAGATTGAGACCATCCTGGCCAACATGGTGAAACCCCATCTCTGCTAAAATACAAAAAAAAAAAAAAAAAAAATTAGCTGGGCCTGGTGGTGCGTGCCTGTAATTCCAGCTACTCAGGAGGCTGAGGCAGGAGAATTGCTTGAACTAGGGAGTTAGAGGTTGCAGTGAGTCGAGATCGTGCCACTGCACTCCAGCCTGGCGACAGAGCGAGACTCCATTTAAAAAAAAAATGATGTGGCATGCACTCTCCAGTTCAATACAGTCCCTGAGAAGGGGCTGTGGGGGCCAGGGAGGTGGGGATAAGGGGTGGGGAGCTATAGAGCTCATGGCAATGACTATTTACCAATCATTATGGAAGCATTGCAATGTTTTAACAACTGATATGGCCCTATCAGTGTGCATTGGCTGAACCTGATGGTGAAGGATGGGGGTTAGGGAGGATAGTTAAGGAGGCCCTTCTGAAAGAACAGTGTGAACAGGTGAGCTAAGGGCAGAATAACAATAGTCTTCATTGTCAGGTCAAGGAGGTTCTGGATTTTATAAGAGGAGTAGGGAGAGGATGACAGTAGGGAACTAAGTTTTCCTGAGGTCCAGATGCTTTGCATGTTACTACATTTAGTCTTTTTAAAACTCCTGTATGACATAGATAAGGAAATTGAGGTCCAAAGAAGTTAACTTATCTTAGGTCGCACATCTACTAAGTCTTTGAACTAGGATTTTGAACCAAGGTTGTTTGTTTGTTTTACTCCAAAGACTGTGTGTTAGGTGAGAGAAAATAATTCTTTTCTTGTAAAACTGAATCAGTCATACACTCATGGTTTATGACACAAACATGATTTAAGCTGAAATGGAAGAAATACTCTAAATACTCTACTTAGGGTTGCCAGACTTGAAAAGAAGTTATAGGATGCCCAGTTAGATTTGAATTTCAGATAAACAACAAATAATTTATTACTAAAAGTTTGTCCTGAATATTGCATGGGGCCTGTATTTTATTTGGCAATCAGACTAAAGAGGACTTTAATCTAAGTGCTAAGGAAGAGCACTGTTCTACGAGCTCTTCACTCAGATGGGGGTGATGGGGGAAAGCTTTTGGGAAGTGACAGTGCTTGCACAAGACTTCAGGGTCTGACCAACTCCATAGTGACAAGTCACACTGCTCTCTGGAGAATGGCATAATATTATACTCCTGGAATTCCCGTTGAGTCAAAATATTCATGAGCTACCACTTAGAATGTTGAAAAGATTTTTGGTATTCATGAATTATTTCCATAGATTGTTATGGAACTGAAGATGATGTATAAAATTATCAAATACTTTTAAATTTCACAAGGCAAAGTAATACATAAATACATAATATTTTTAAAAGGTTTCCTTAAAAGAAATACTATATATTTCAATTATATATATAAAATGTAATTTATTACCTCTGATGTCATCCATATATCAGAGCCATCATTTTCATCTGGTGTATTAGGCACAAAAGGAATCAAAGATACAAATCGAGCAATGAGGTCCTAGAATAATATTCACATTTATTGAGTGTGTGCTGTATGTCCATCACTTAGCACAATGCTTTACATGCACTCTCTCATTTAGCATATAATCTAAGCCTATAAAAGTAGACACTATTATTATTCTAGTATTACAGAAGAGGAAATAAGCTTGGAGTAATAAAATAACTTGCCCTGGGTTCCATGGCTAATACAATATGTGAAGTCTCTGGGAAACTGAGCCCAAGTTGGGCTGACTGCACAGGGTGCATGTAACCATTATATTTTATTTATATTTATTTATTTAGTAATTATTTAATTTATTACTAAAATTTTAAATATTACAATAATATGTTTCCACATTAAACATGTACTTTAAAGTACAACTGTTAAAAAATTTTAAGATATTGAAGAATAGCAAAGGTTTTTTTTTTTTTGGTTCAAAATCTATCACAATTATTTTTGTGAATATAACTTTATTATAAGCTGCTGCAGCAGGGAGATATTAGGGTAGTACAATGTGCTTTGTCAAACAATAGAAGTTATACTATGGATTTTTCCCCTATAGTGCTGGAGACAAAGACTCAGACTAATCTAGGAAAGGAGAAAGGGGTGCAAATAAACAATGTGTTAACGTAGAAAGTTCATGAACTGATGTTGAATAGCTGCCATTTATGTGCCATTATGACCTTCTACACTGGTGACTTCATGCAATTAATGAACAAGACTCACAATCCTTGACAAGCAAAGGAGCTCAGATTTGTACATAGTTTTTAAAAGATAAAGATAGCCTTTGAAATAGATCTGAGAGCACTATTACCTCCTTGGATATTGGGTGTCAGGACACACAGGCAGAAAGAAACCCATGATGGAAAAGCGGTGTAGCAATAGGCAATCTAAATTAGAACTTTTGATTTTAGCTTAAAGAGTCCAGCTAAGGGAGCTTTATGACTCACAAACAGTACAAATATTTTGAGGACAGACAACTCACTAGATTGAACCCAAATACACAAAAGGTAAAAGTGATTCTTCACAGATGCCCTTTAATCACAATGAAGATGTTAAAAATAATAATAACTTACAAATGTTGCATTAGAATTGTGAAGAAATATATCCAGAAGTTGCTGAGGTGGATTTAATGCCTTGATATATCTTGTGACTAAGAACTGTATCCCTTCATCATTAAAAACAGTAGTTACGATTCTTCGGTTGGGAAACATTGCCTTACAATTCTTTTTAAAAATCTGTGCTCTCTGCAAGACCTCTGTTTGATCTAAAAACTACAATAAAATGTAAAGTATTTCAGAATTGTACTGTATTGTTCTCACAAGAAAATATCAAGAACCAATGTTTATTTTTGCCATCTTTGAAATTATTACTGGTTTTTAAAATAGTTCATACCTCTTTGATGGTATATATAAAAGAAATTCAATGTAAAACCTACCTTATCTAGTGTTGGATTACAGGTGACATATGATATTTGAGGTTCAATGGTAGCAAAAATATTTAAGAATGTACATTCTTTTAAATTCTGCTCATTGGAATCTTCTTTAGGAAATACATAAGTATTACTCCAAGTATACCCGAGCAAAACTGGTGGAATAGTTACTTGAAATGTTCCACTAATCTGAAAGAGTATATCAGTATAATGGATTATGCATGATGAAAATAAACATCAGTCAAATATTTAGGCCCAGCAGAGTCCACTCCATCACAGAAAGCTTGCTTGCTTGCGTGAACGGGCTTCTACTCATTTGCACTTGCCCAAGAATGAGCAGGTTCTCTGTGGTGATGTGTTCATAGGCACCCTTGACACCTTGGGTCCCTGCCTAATATGTACTATGTAGAGAGGGTAGGAGTAAGAAAGGAATGGAACAAAGAAGCAAGTTACGATACCAGCGATAAAGCTCTTAGAAAATCTAATGCAGGCTCAGAGAAGAAGTTAAAAGATCATGTTACATTTTGTATTGGGTCCAGAAAGAGAAAATATGTAACAGCAAGAAAGACAACCCTGAGGTCCACAGTAGGAGAAATTGTGTGTGTGTGTGTGTGTGTGTGTATGTGTGTGTGCGTGTGTGTAAGAGGTAAATAATAAATATTAGCTGGGAGTGGTGGTGCACACCTGTGGTCCCAGCTACTTAGGAGGATGAGGTGGGAGGATCATTTGGGCTTGGGAGGCTGAGGCTGCAATAATCCATGATTGTCCCACTGCATTCCAGCCTGGGCAACGCAGTGAGATGCTGTCTCAAAAAAATGCATAATAGCTAATAGTTACTGAGTGCTTACTAATGTGCAAGACCCTGTGCCAAGTGCTTGATATAGATCGTATCATTCAATGGAGTAAACACTGCCCTTATCTCCATTTCACAAATAAGCAAACTGAGGGTCAGAGAATTGAAGTATTTGTGCAAGATCACAAAAGTAATGAGTCAGTGGAGCCAGGATTACAACCCAGATGTGTCCACCTTTGAAGCCCACACTCTTACCTACCACTGTATCCTGCAGTCTGGCCTGAGACTGAGCAGTGTCCACAGGGACTTAAAAACATAGGAATCCCTGTAGCTGTACCTCCAACAATGTGTATTCCTATTGCCAGTCTTTGCAACACGTGCCATCATGACTTCATGTGATTGCACATTGTGCAGGCACCTCTACTGTCCTACCTGATATTCGTTCTTTCCCACTTCCTTACCAATAGCTTCAGTTGGTAACATGACAGCCAGGTAGTAGGAACAGAATGTTCATTAACACTTTAACTGGTATACGATGGCAGCCATTTATGTACTACTATGACACTGTACAGTGGTGACTTCGTGCCATTAATAAACAAGGCTTACAATCCTTGACAAGCAAAGGAGCTAGGATTTGTATATATTTTTTAAATGATTGTCTCTGAAATAAATCTGAGAGCACTGTTATCTCCTTGGAAATTGGGTGTCAGGACACATAGGCAGGAAGAAACCCATGAAGGAAAAGCAGGGTAGCAAAAGGCAATCTAAATTAAGCCCTTATTTGCTTGACCAATTTGTCAAGCCCTTATTTTCTTGACAAATTCATCTTTAAGGACTTAATTCAAAAGTTATCGCCTATGTTAAGTTTTCTTTGATCTTTGGTTCTCCTCCTTAGTCTCCTCTTAACTACCAAACTCTCTGAACCACTCCCCCGGCATTTCCACTTGCAACCCAGGAACAGTAAAGTACTCCCTACTGTATGTTCCCATGTACCTATCTCATACCTCTATTAAAGCACTACAGCATTATCACATTGTACTGAAATGTTAGTTTTATTCCACAGACAGTGAACTCATTGAGGTAGAAAATTCATTTCTGAATTTTCACATTTACAGTGTCTGGCATGGCGTCGAGATGTCAAGTGCCTTGCCTATCATCACTTAGTGAAGAAGTAACAGTGGAGTCTGGGCTGGGGCTTTTCTACTTTGCTAGTCATGTAGGCATTTTCCTGCTACATAATAAACCAACAGCAGAGCCCTCTGAGGGTCTCACAGAGACTAGTGCAAATCATAGGTCTTACCATTGTCAATAAACAGTGTTGACAAGCTGAAACTCCTGGTACCCATGATTACAAAGAAACACCATTAATCAGAATGTTTCATGAATCTGATCTTATAGAACTCTTATATGCAAATACAAATGTTGTTTTAAGACCTAAGACTAGTTTTCCTATTCTTTGTTAGTTAACACTCTAAAGAACTCTCCAGAGACAGTTCAAATCTTCAAACACTTCAAAAGCCCAGAACATTCTAATACAGGATCATCTTAACTGACCTACCAGCCTGCCAATCACAGAGTCTGATTCAAAGACAACAGAAAGTTTTTCTATGAGCCAGAGGTCAAAACTTAGAATGAGCAAAGAAGCATTTTCTCTTACCTCAGATTGTTGCAGAAGAGCAGAAAAAGGGAAGACAATGCATCCAAGCCAATTCTTTCTTATATATGAGTGACCACTACAGCTCTTGAGACAGTGATCCTATGAAAATAAATAATTTTTTATTACTTACTTAATATCATGTGATGAATAGTTTTATAAACTCACAGGTAAATATAAAAAGTCATTCTCTTTCTTCTAAAAAAGAAATCAAAAGATAAATAGAAAAGATCTGTTTTTCTTGCTTTTTAATTTCTTTGAAAGATAACTATTTAAAGCAAAAATAATAGTCTGAGAGAAAATTATCTGTTGTGGAGTTTATGACTTGTGTAAAGTAGAATGTATGACAACACTAGCACAATGCAAGGAAGGGGAAATGGAGGCATTATATTATAGTATCCTGCTCTTACACTATATGTGAAGTGGTACTGTATTATGTACAGATAGTCTGTGGCAAATTAAAGAGAATATTGTAAACCTGAGAGCAACAGTTAAGAAAACAAACAATTATAGCTAATAAGCCAATAGTGGAGATAAAATGAAATCATAAAAGTATTCCATCAATCCAAAAGAAGGCAGGAAAAAAGAATACAGAATAGTTGGGATAAGCAGAAAATAAATAGGAAGATGGTACACAGCCAGGTTAATAATTATACAAAATGTAAATGGTCATACATTCAAAGGCAGAGATTGTCAGAGTGGATTAAAAAGCAAGACTCAACTGTATGCTGTCTAGAGTAAACCCATTTTAAATATAAAGACACAGCTTAAAAGAAAATAAAAAGATATGTTATACAAACACTAATGAAAAGAAAGCCGAGTCACTATATTTATAACAGTCAAACCATATTTAAAAACAAGAAATATAATCAGGAATAAAGAGAGATATTTTATACTGATACAGGAATCTATTCATCAAAAAGAAATATGTATGTAATATGTAATATATATCTAACATGTATGAACCTACAAACAGAGTTGCAAAATACAGAGCTAAAAAACATGACATCAAAAGCAAGTTGATAAGTTTGACTTCATCGAAATTAAAAACCTTGCTCTTCAAAACACACTGCTAAGAAAATAAAAAGATAAACTACATATTGGGAGAAAATATCTGCAAATCATATATCTGACAAAAGACTTGAATACAAAGGACTCCCAAAATTCAATAAGAAAATAACCCAATTTTAAAAATAGACAAAAGACTTGAACAGACACCTCACCAAAAAAGATATATAAATGGCAAATAAATATTTACATGGAAGGGTGCCTAACACCATTAGTCATTAGGAAATGCAAATTAGAGCTACAATGAGAAACCACCACACAACTATTAGAGTGGCTAAAGTTTAAAAGTTTGACCAAGTGTTTGTAAGAAAGTGAAAGAACTGGAAGTCTCCTACATTATTGGTGGGCATAAAAAGTGGTACAATCACTTTGGAAAACAGTTTAGCAGTTTCTTATTCATTTACCATCATATCCAGCTATTTTTATTTACTAAGAGAAATGAAAGCATTTGTCTATAAAAGGACTTTACACAAATGTTCATAGCAGCTTTATTTATAATAGTCAAAAAATGAAAACAACCTAAATGTCCATCAACAGGTGAATATATAAACAAGCAATGAAATGCATGTTTATCAATGGAATACTGCTATATAATAAAAAGAAATGAACTATTTGATAAAACTACAACATGAATGAATCTGAAAATAATTTTTCTGAGTAAAAGAAGCAAAACCAAAAAAAAAAAAAAAAGAACACATACCATAGGATTCCATTTTCGATAAAATTCTAGAAAATAGAAACGATAGTGACAGAACACAAATCACTGGTTGTGGGCAGGAGGTAGATAGGCCAACAGAGCAGGGGGATACTTTTGAGGGTAATGGATATGTTTATTATCTTAATTGTGATGCCAGTTTCATTGGTATATACATATATCAAAATGTCAAATTATACACTTTAAATATGTGCAGATTATTGCATGCTAATCATTCCTCAATAACACTATTACCAAAATTAGAGGAAGTATTCATAGTAGGGAGAAGCAGGGATTAGGCATAAAAGGGATTGGCATTCACTACCACCACCACCCCTCCCATTGGCAGCACCCTATGATCTACTCCACTTTTGGCCACTTATATTTTTCATTTCATCAACCAAAGGCCAGAGAATCTAGGGAAAGTGAAAGAAAATAGCTGAAGTTTGAAAAAAGCTGCTAAAACCCTGATTCCTGCCTTTAGTTAATAACCACTGCTTTGGACATTAGGAGCCCTTCCAACTTTTTGCACTTAGGAAGTTACCCCATCCACTTACCAGACAATATGAGAAGTGTCTTTTAAATCCAGAGGCTAACCAGCAACAACAGAGCTGAGCAAGATGGACTGTGCTGCTCTAGTCTAAAAGGTAATAGGCACACTTAGGTAGCTTTGTAGGAATCAAGTCCTTGGAATTCTGACTGATGTGCTCTCAACTGCATTAATCTTTCCATCCTAAGTCCCAGGGATGCTGGAGGCTTCTTAGGTCTACCTTGCCTTAGGCTATTGATTATAGCTCTATCAAGGTTCACTTTAGAATTAGTTCCCTACATGGATGGAGCTGGAGGCCATTATCCTTAGCAAACTAACACAGGAAAAGAAAACCAAATACCACATGCTCTCACTTATAAGTGGGAGCTAAACGATGAGAACACATGGACACATAGAGAGGGATAACACACACTGGGGCCTATTGGAGTGTGGAGGGTGGGAGGTGGGAAAGGATCAGGAAAAATAGCTAATGGATACTAGGCTTAATACCTGGGTGATGAAATAATCTGTACAACAAACCCCTGTGACACAAGTTTACCTGTATAACAAACTGGCATGTGTACCCCTGAACTTCAAAGTCAAATAAAAATAAAAAGTATGTAAAATTAGTTCCTTATGCATCCTCTCTGAGAAGCAATGAAAGAATTTTAAGATCAACAATACGAATTATATATGAAGCAACCTTTAAGGAATCTATTAGTATGGGAACTGTATGTATCAAGTAATAAAAAGAAGACAATATCTGGAGCTATAATGTGTATGTGGTGAGTCTGCATATCCTGGTGTAAGTTGAAGCAGGGCCAGGCACTCTGATGGTTAAATGGTGGAAGAGGTTCTGCTATGATTGGACCATCTCTTTAAATAACTCATATAAATAAAACTCAGATATCTGTGTATTTAGTCTCTCAATCCCTTGTAAATCAAAGGAACCCCTTCATCTTTGTCCTGGAAGATAATTTCTTTGTGAGCAACATAGCTTGTCCAATAGGGTCCCTTATCTTGTCATCAGGAGGAACATCTTTGTATGTTAATTAGCAGTCATAGAGTTGGGACAGTGGCTTGACTAAATGAACCATGGACTAAAGGCTCAAATGTACAGCATGACTTCCACAAGGTAATAAAACTGAAATTTAAAATCAAAAGTTTACACAAAAGCCTTTCAAACATTTGAAAATGCGAAGATACAGTATTAGAAGACTGTTAGGCCAAGCAAGAAAATGTTATAACAAGCAAGAAATGTTATGTATATATATATTATATAAATTCTATGTATATAATATATATTACATATATAAAATAAAAAATAAGTCACTAAATATAAAATACATAGCCTAAGATGTTTACCGAGATAAATTTATAGTCTCAGAATGTTTCTATTATTCATGAGAAGGCAAGAGATCAAACAAACTAGGCATTCAATACATTTGGCCAAAGTAAGTACAAAAACTGTAGTCCTGGAGGAATAGGGAGAAAAAAATAATTAAAATACAAGTGGAAATAAATGAATTAGAAAACCAAAAAAGTGAAAAGTAAAAACAATTTCAGTAGTTGGTTCTTTAAAGAATAGGCAAACATCTTCCAAATTAAATAATTTTTTAAAAATTTGAAAGACATGGTTGGATAAAGTTAGAAACCAGATGAGAGTAGATAATAGCAAGTCAAAAATTATGAGACTATGCTGAAAATTTATATGCTAATACATTTTAAAATCTTGAAAATAACTATTTTTTTAAAAAAAGTATTTAAACCAATCTGAGTTTTGGGTTAGTTTAAGGTCTTTCTGTGGCTACTGGGATTTTTGTTAGAGTTTCAGTTAATCTAAGTTTTAAATCTGGAGTATGCATGGGGCTTGCTCTGCCAGTTCCAAAGGCAGTTCAGTCCATTTCTTTCATGCCAAGCGTTAGAAATAGGCTACGTGTCTGTAAGAGTTCCAATTCTTCAGCTTTCTGCTAATACATAACTGAAGAAAGGGAGACCTGTGGGAAGTAAGAAAACAGTTGATAGCAGGAAGAAAATATACAGGAGGGGCACAGAGAAAAAAAGAGGAAAAATGAAACATTTCTAGACAAAATAATGTTCAGTGATAACTTAAAACCTTCTTTCAATTGTGTGGCTATCTCGGGGCTCAGCCTGGCTCTAGTCATTTAGAAGACAATGGAATGTTTTGGCCCATAGCTACCCTAAAACCTTGTCCATGAGAGGAGGACAAGAATGCAAGGCCCTTTCCTTTTTTAAAGAGCATGCCAATATTGTCACAAACAAGTCTGATACCTAAAGCATGTGGATCTCATTCCAATAACAACAAACTCACTCTAATAACAATGCAAAGCACTTTCAAGGGTTCAGTTGTTAATCAACTGCTATTCAATTCTGATCAAATTAGTCTTTGAGATAATTCACTTTTGAGAGAAAAAATTTGTTAGACATTCTTTTGGGTTTTCTAAGCTTTACCCGTTACCAATTTCGATCATCAAAACACTACTCAGTTTAACTCCTTGGAGAAAAGCTATCACCAAATTATTGCTCAATATTTTACCTTCAGCATTTATCATGGTTGATTTAAAGTTTCTTTAATAAGAATGTGTGTTGTATCTCCTGGAAAACTGAGTTGGAAAACATAGCCATTATGATTTGCAGTGGTTTTTACAGAAGGCTCGTTCCTGAACCTTACTCTTCAAGGTCTTGTTCAACTTCTCTGACATGGATCCCCAGGCCCTCCAGGTAGAATTAATTGCTCCTTCAGTAGCATTGCCATAGAATTTGGAAAACGTTTCTATTAAAGCATTTAATCTACATACCTTAAAAGAGTAGATACTATGGGTATGCATCTTTATATTTTTAGTAGCAAGTTCAATAGTGAGGAAACTAACGTTTATTTTGGAGCTTGCTAGGGTGCTGGGCATTGTGCTAGGAACTTTTACACATCTATGAGGATGACAGTAATTTTAGAAATTAGATTAAGTAGAACTGAATTTTAGCCTTAGGAATAATTTGATCTCTTTTGCAGGAGTGGTATATTTTCTTTGATCAGATAATAAGATATATGTAACCTATTTCTGTTTATATTTCTGTATTGGCTACAGGAAGCTCACATTTAATTGTAATGTTCAATTGCAGAAACCTACTTCTCCCAAGTTCTTGATAATATTTATTCCTCCTCCTCCTGTATGTGGTTTATGATCTCTGTTATTTTTGAACTGACTTGTTATATGTCTGATTTTATTGCAAATTGCCTCAAATCCTTTCAAGAAAATGTTGGATGTAGACATTGCATCTAAAAGCATATTTACAAACATGTTAGTAGACTTCATTCAGTTTGACCTTAGAATTATTTCAGCATTGGCTATTGTAATTATTCTACTTTACCTCATGTTTTTCAGTCATCATTTCATCAAAAATGTTGATATATATGTTATCTTTTATTTTAGATAAGCTTGAGAAGCTATAATCATGTCCTGGTGAGCTGCAAATAAGAAAAATATATTCAAATGCTTAATTTTCTCAAAATCCACTTATTTCCTAAGAGCACTATTCATAAAGAACTATAAAATTACCTGTGTTGTTTTCTTTTATGAAGTATAAACTAAGAAAAAGTTCTATGTTCTGAAGACTGGCTGCTACCTTTCATTAGAGCCAGCATGTGCTTTGTAATTTACATGTCTCTTAAGATGAAAAATAAAAATGTTTAAGTGTTGAACAGAAAGGCTTTCACTACAGCTATCAATTGCAAAGATTCTTTGGAGTATTGTATAGATTTTTCAACTATCTTAAATTCTGCTAGTTTCTGCTAGTTGACACATAGAGATAAAATGCTCTTTTATTCCCAGTTAATAGATATGACTTTAAATACAGAATTTACGGCCCGGCATGGTGGCTCACGCCTGTAATCCCAGCACTTTGGGAGGCCGAGGCGGGTGGATCACCTGAGGTCAGGAGTTCGAGGCAAGCCTGGCTAACATGGCGAAACCCTGTCTCTACTAAAAATACACACACACACACACACACACACACACACACACACACACACAATTAGCCGGGCCTGGTGGCAGGCGGTTGTAATCCCAGCTACTCAGGAGGCTGAGGCAGGAGAATCGCTTGAACCCGGGAGGCGGAGGTTGCAGTGAGTCGAGATCACGCCACTGCACTCCAGCCTGGGTAACAAGAGCAGAACTCCATCTCTAAATAAATACATAAATAAATAACGGAATTTATTCTCTTTCCCATGTTAATTTTCTCCAAGCAGAAACTGGGATAATGGAGTGCATTTAATTTTGCAAGCTGTCTGCTGATGGCATTCTTGATTAGGTACATTTTGGAGGTAGTTGAAAGGGTAGTGTATATCATGAGCAATGAACTTTCACTCTCAGCTCCAGTTTGTGCACTGAATCTCCATCAAACATTTAACAGTGATGGAAATCTCAATCCTGTACAATAGGTTACTTTACACAGAGAAACTGAAGCTCACAGAAGTTAAATAACTTACTCAAGGTAATGCCACCAGCAAATCACAGAGCCTGATCTGGACATAGCTTTTCTTCTTTTTAATATTTTTATTTAGTTTATTTATTTCTATATATATATATATATATATATTTATTTATTTTTTGAGACAGGGTCTATCTTTCCCAGGCTGATCTTGAACTCCTGGGCTCAAGTGATCCTCCTACCTCAGCCTCTCGAGTAGCTGGGCCTACAGGCTGTACCACCACACTTGGCTGGACCCGGTTCTAACAAACTCCAAAGACCAGGTCTTTTCATTATACAGCTGCCACTGACATTACTTGTTGAATCTTGTTGCTTAAGGAAGCAACCACTATTTCAAAGGATCTTCAACAGCTTCTCTAACTTTCTGAAGCCTACAAGCAATGATGATTGAAAAATGCTAGTTGAGTTTAGAGAACAATTTTAAGTGGAAGTTTCCTTATATTTCCTAGTGATAAAATAACTAGCTGACTCCCCTACTTTGTTCCTCAAGGATTTCCTTTCATGTTGCCAGAATCTAAGAAAGGGCGGGGCAGGCAATATTTATTTACAACATTGTGCTAGCAGGAGAAAGAACAACTGTCATCCTTACAACATTTTTTAGCTTGTTAACTTAGTATATTCCTGACATCACTTAAGTCCTTCTGCATTATTTTGCATTCTGTATTCTGTTAAAATGTTCTTCAGATGTTACCATAATTCTTCCCCCAGAAAGGGCTTATGGAGCTAATTATTTAATATTATTTATTACTTATAAATATTATTTATTATGACTACTTATCCATTTGCTTGTGGTTTTTATTCACTAAAATGTCACAAGAAGAGGGGAGTTGGGGTCTTGTATCAGAGGCAACAAAAAGTAGTAGCTGGATGGTTTTGCCTTATCCAAAGCCTCTGATCCACTTGGTTGTGCTCTACATTGTTCTTGGCCTATTTCACTGCTATAATTGCAAGGATGTAAACACTCCCAAGTCTTCTCATTAGTTCACTTATAAGTTTATGTATCTTATTGACTGTTTTATGTTCTCCTAAATTTATTTAATACAGTATATTTCTTCTAACTCTAATGTCTACATTAATATTCCAAATATTTGCAAACACACATGACCACACATTTTACATTTACAAACTTTTCAAACAAATACATTTTATATGTTAATTATTTAACTTGATATTATACAATATTATATAACAGATTTCCCTTTAAGTCAATAATTTCCTTCACACACAAAGAATAAATAGTTCAAGAAAGCAAGTGTCAGAAAACAAGGCAAAGTGAGAGGTACAAGATTCAGACAGGCAGCCAAATAACAAGAATATCTGTTTAGGAACTCTGGCCAATGACTCTGAAAATATAATTGAGCCTATGTTGAATCTGGAAGAACAAATTTGATTTCTGCTAATAGCAGAAGTTCCATAGTATCTAAGCTAACAAAATTCTAAGGTGTGCTTCCTTATAGTTCCCCTACCCCTAATTTGAAATAATGGCATAAACAGGGTCTCCCTTTCCTTGCAAATCCTGTTTAGGATCTGAAGCCTTTCACTTTCAGAAGGGGTGGCTGGGATGTGAATGTTTATATAGCCTCCAAGATGTCATCACATATATGCAAGTGATTATATCGGTTCTTCTGAGTTCCTTTAGCCTTTGTTAGTGGGGTTATATATTAACATAGGCTTCAGATAAAGCATAGAAATCCTATAAAATCATATAAACGATGAAAACATGAAATATAAAATATTCGTAGGAAATTATAGAAAATAAATTATAAAAAAATATAAAATGATGGCTAATCCACGACAATCCTGCTCTATGTGTATGAATAAGAAGTAAATTTTCCCACCTTTCAAAATAAAAAGAAACATATTATTTGAAAAAATGTTTAGATGTTTAATAGCTACACATACCTGCTCATGAGAGAAATTTATACCCAGCAGTAAAGCATAGCAATACTAAAGGAAGTGGCAATGGAATTAGATCCATTTTACTGGGTCTGTGTGTGTGTGTATGTGTGTGTCCCTAAACACCACATAAAGGATTATTCTAGTCTATATCTGTTTTATTCCTTCTTGGTAGCAAGCAGGAACATAGGTGTATATTTCTTTTTGGATTTAAAAATCTGATTTATTAACTATTTTAACTAAAAATACTTTTATATACAGGAATGTTATTGAAAAAGATATCCTCACTCATTCTTCAGAAAATGCGATGGTCTAAAATTTTAATGCAAGTTGACATATGTTCTAAAGTAAGGAAAGTAAAGGAAGACCACTATTTATTAAAGAAGATTTTTTTAAAAGGACATACCATAAAGGAAAGGACTGGTACAGTTTAAAACTTCTTTTCATCAAAATGCATCATAAAGAAAATGAAAAGTCAAGCCATTAGGGAAAGATAGTTTTAACACATATAACTCACAAAGGGCTGGTATCCATAATATATAGAGAATTGCTTTAAAAAAAATAAAGACAGGCCGGGCACGGTGGCTCACACCTGTAATCCCAGCACTTTGGGAGGCCGAGGCGGGAGGATCATGAGGTCAGGAGATCAATACCATCCTGACTAACATGGTGAAACCCTGTCTCTATCAAAAATACAAATAAATTAGCTGGGCGTGGTGGCAGGCACCTGTAGTCCCAGCTACTCGGGAGGCTGAGGCAGGAGAATGGTTCGAACCTGGGAGGCAGAGCTTGCAGTGAGCCCAGATCGCGCCACTGCACTCCAGCCTGGGCGACAGAGCAAGACTCCGCCTCAAAGATAAATATATAAATACATTTTATTTATTTATTTATTTATTTATTATAAATAAATAAAGACAGACGAAACAATAGAAAAATAGAGAAAAGTATCCTTTCGGCTGGAGCAGCCATCTTCCAGTAATTCGCCAAAATGATGAACGCAAAGGAAAAGAAGAAAGGCACCTGATGTATGTTCTCTAGGCCTTTTAGAAAACATGGAGTTGTTCCTTTGGCCATGTATATGCGAATCTATAAGAAAGGTGATATTGTAGACATCAAGAGAATGGATATTGTTTAAAAAGGAATGCCCACAGGTGTTACCACGGCAAAACTGGAAGAGTCTACAATGTTACCCAACATGCTGTTGGCATTGTTGTAAACAAAGAAGGGCAAGATTCTTGCCAAGAGAATTAATGTGTGTATTGAGCACATAAGTGCTCTAAGAGCTGAGATAGCTTCCCGAAACACGTGAAGGAAAATGATCAGAAAAAGAAGCCAGAGAGAAAGGTACCTGGGTTCAACTGAAGTGCCAGCCTGCTTCACCCAGAGAAGCACCCTTTGTGAGACCCAATGGGAAGGAGCCTGAGCTGCTGGAACCTACTCCCTATAAAGTCATGGCATAATTGGTGTTAAAAAAAAAAAAAAAAAAAAGACCTCTGGACTGTAAAAATGTTTCTCTTCATTGAGAAGAAGTGTGGTGTCCTCTCTCTCAAATAAATATTTAAAGCAAATTTTAATTGTGTCCTAATGCATTATATAATGTCTTTACTAGTCAAATTTAATGTATTTCTTGCTTAGATGTGAGGTGGCTTATTGTGCAACAAATTACTCAATTGGTTAGAAAACAGTCAGATATTATTTATGAAATATTTGTACTGGTTTGAAGATAGTCCCTCTAAATCATCATGGAAGAAATAAAATAATTTCCAAAAAGAAAAAAAAAAGAAAAACAGACAAAAGTAATGAAAGGTCATTTCACAGAAAAGAAAATACCAATGACCAATGAACCTATGGAAAGAAGCTCAATGTGGATAAATAAGTAAACTGTGATACATCCATATAATAGAATATTATGCAGGGGTAAAAAGAAGTAAGCAATCAAGCTATAAAAAGACATGGAGAAAACTTGACAGGCATGTTTTTCATGGAAGAAAGCCAATCTGAAATGGCTCCATACTGTATGATTCCAACTATATGACTATGATGGCTAATTTTATGTGTCAACTGGGCTGAGACACAGTTTCTAGATATTTGGTCAAACATTATTCTAGATGTTTCTCTGAAGGTTTTTTTGTTTGTTTTTTGTTTTTTTCTTTGAGACGGAGTCTCCTTCTGTCGCCCAGGCTGGAGTGCAGTGGCGCGATCTCTGTTCACTGCAACCTCCTCCTCCTGAGTTCAAGCGATTCTCCTGCCTCAGCCTCCCAAGTAGCTGGGATTACAGGCATCCACCAGCACAGCTCACCATCTTGGCCAGGCTGGTCTCAAACTCTTGACCTCTAGTGATCCACCCGCCTCGACCTCCCAAAGTGCTGGGATTACAGATGTGAGCCACTGCACCTGGCCTCTGAAGGTATTTTTTAGGTACAGTTTAAGCCAGTTGACTTTGAGTAAAGCAGATAACCCTCCATAATAAGGGTGGACCTTATCCAATCAGTTGAAGGCCTTAATAGACAAAAGACTGACCTCCCCTGTGGAAGAGGGAATTCTGCCAGCAGATTTCCTTCAGACTTAAACTGCAACTCTTTCCCAAGTCTCCAGCTTGCCATCCTACCCTGCACATTGTGGACTTGCCAGCCTCCACAATCATGTGATCCAATTCCTTAAAATAAATTTCTCTCTCTCTCTCTCTGTCTACATCCTATTGTTTCTGTTTCTCTGGAGAACCTTGATGTACACAATGACATTCTTTAAAAGGCAAAACTGTGAAGGCAGTAAAAAGATCAGTGGTTGGCAAGGTTCCAGGGGGAGGGAGGGATGAATAGACAGAGCACACAGGATGTTTAGGGGAGTGTAACCATTCTGTGTGATACTATAATGGTAGATACATGTCACTGTACATTTGTCAAAACCTATAGAATGTACAACACCAAGAGTAAACCCTAACGTTAAATATGGACTATGGTTGATAGTGATGTATCAATGTTGGCTCATTGATTGTAACAAATATCACACAATGCAGATGTTGATGCTGAGGGAGCTGTGTGTGTGCTGTGGTGAGGGCATTTGTGGGAACTCTGTACTTCCCATCCAATTTTCTTGTGAGCCTAAAATTGCTCTAAAAATAAAGTCTCTTAATTTAAAAAAAATTGAAAAAAAAACTGCCTCTTTAAAAAGAAATTATAAATTAAACCACAATGAGAATATAATTTTAGATCCACCATATTGAGAAAAATAATTTTTAAAACACAAAATATTATGAAGACATGGCACAAAAGGAAATTGTATATACTGCTGTTGGGAGTGTATATTGATATAATCACTTTAGAAAAGAGTTTGCATTGTCCAGTAAAGTTGAAGCTGACTTCAGCTACAACCTAGCAATTCCACTTTTGAACACATATCCTAGAAAACAGGTTCTCAAAGTGTCACCTGACTAGTAGCATTAGAACCACTGGGAACTTGCTAAAGATGGAATTATCAGACCCTACCCCAGACCTACTGAATTAGAAACTACAGAAGTGGGCTTACCAATCTGTGTTTTAAGAAGCAGGCCAGGTGTGGTGGCTCATGCCTGTAATCCCAGCACTCTGGGAGGCCAGGCAGGAGGATCATTTGAGCCCAGGAGTTTGACACCAGCCTGGGCAACATAGTGAGACCCTAGTGCTACAAAAATAAAAATAAATTAGCTGGGTGTGGTGGTACACTCCTGTAGTCTCGGCTACTTGGGAGGCTGAGGCAGGAGAATCACTTAAGCCCAGGAGTTTGAGGCAGTGAGCTATGATTATACAACTGCACTTCAGCCTGGGCAACAGAGTGAGATCCTGTCCTAATTAAAAAAAAAAGCTGTCTAGATGATTTGAATGCATAAAAAGGTCTGAGAGCCACTGTCTTAAAAAGAAACTCTTGCACATGTGCTCCAGAGGACAAGTACAAGAATGTTCAAAGCAATATTGCTTGTAATGGCAAAAATTAGAAAAAAGACCAATGTTCATCAACAGAAGAAAGTATAAATAAATTATGGCATTTTTATACAACAGAATACAATATAGAAATAAAAATAAAAAAATAACAATGTCTTAGTTCATTTTGTGCTGCCATAACAGAGTATCTGAGACTAGGTAATTTATAAAGAACAGAAATTTATTTCCTACAATTATGGAGGCTGCAAAGTTCAAAATCAAGATGTCAGCATCTGGTGTCTGGTGAGGGCCTTCTTGCTGTGTCTTCACATAGTGGAAGGTGGAAGGGAAAAAGGAGACAAATGCTGTGTCCTCACATGGCGGAAGAGTAGAAGAAAGTGAACCCACACTGCAAGCCCTTTTTATAATGACATTAATCTATTCATAAGGGTGGAGCTCTCATGGCCTCAAACACCTCCCATTAGGCCTCACTTCCCAGCATTGGGAGTTAAGTTTTCAACACATGAATTTTGGGGAGCACATTTAGGCCACAGCAAACAGCTACAAGCATGAACATGGATGAATCTTTCAAAATAATTAAAGAAACAAGATTACAGAAGAATAAACAAATATAACTCAATTTATATAAAGTTGAAAACATACATAAGTAAATAATACATACTTAGGGATGAATACCTATGAAGTAAAGTCATACAGGAGAGAAAGAATGATAAACACAAATTCATGGTTATTACCTCTAGGGAGAAAGAAAGAAGATGCCGTTAGGTAATGGCACAAAGGGCCTTCTAAGGTGTTGGTAATATTACATGTTTTTAAGCTGGATGGTAAATACATAGATATTCATTTTATTACTTTTCTTTAGAACTTATGTTTATATATACATATAGATTATATATTATGCTATACAGTATACATTATGTATTAGTTTATGTGCATGAAATATTTCAAAATTTAAAAGCTTAAATAAAGCCTATTTCAATAATTATTTTCAATAAGTGGCTCAAGAAAATAATTTTATTATTGCTCTTTTTTTAGGAGCTATGGAAAAATGAACTCCAACTTACACAAAATCTACTTTAATTTCTTCATTCCAGCATGGATGAGATCCACTTGCTGTATTGGTTTTGTATACAGTGTGCTGGAAAGAAACTTCCACGAATGGATGTACAGTATCCTGAAACACATAATAAACATTGACTAGATTTTGAAATACTATATATAGTCGATAAAGGTAGAGGCCTAGGAAATTACTTGGCAAATGTATGGCTTAAGTTTTCTAGTTTTTCAAATGACCATTATTTATTTATTTATTGAATAAACATCTACTGGGTCTATTCTATATCAGGTACTTTTCTAGGATCTAAAGATAAACAGAACTTTCTCTTAAGGATTTTAAAGTCTATCAGGGGAAAATATACAGGTAAACAAACAAGTGCAATGAAATGTGAGAAATAAGAGAAACATCTTTAAGGTATGAAAATTATTCAGGAAAAGGAATGATTAACTTTTGGGGGTGACAATAAGGAGAGCATCATGGAGAAAACATTGCTTGAGCGTGTGCTTTGAAACTTTAAGTCGTAGTTCCTTTGGACAATAACATGGATATGCGTCGAGGCCATTCCAGGCAAAGGAAACAACTAGTAGAGGCCTCATAGAACAAGGAGTAGCATGATATGCCTATGGGATAGAAAGAGATGAGGCTGATTGTAGGCATGGGCCAGATGCCTGAAGATTTTGTAGCCATTTTAAGGAGCTTACACCTTATCATATAGACCCTGAGAGCAGGGAATGAAATAGTTAGAATTACATTTTATAAAGGCCACCTTTACTGTGTCATGGAAAATAAACTGGAAGCCAAAGAAAATATAGATGGAGAGATGAATTAAGAGTCAATTGTAATTCAGAACAAACATAATCAATATTATACTTTATAGAAGTGTTAAATACTTACCTCATGTAAGGTCTCATCTGAGGCTACTGATTTGATTGTTTCTCTATGTCTGAGGCAAGATATAGATGATTTCAAACAAGTAGGCATATCCAAGGATCTTCAGGAAAAACAATAGAGAGACATACACCTTAATTAGTTTTAATATTAGTTTTGGTAGGAGTGGGTGGGTTTTTCCTGTGCTTATGAAGATATATAAGTCAGTTTCTCTGGTTCTTACTGAGTTTGCCTTGAATTGTCTTATCATGTGTGGTTACAGCTAAACATTTGATAATTACTACTCTGGAAGCGCAACTCCTAAATATTGAACTATGGATTAGATCTCGTCTATGATAAAATATTCACAGGTATTCAGAAAAAGGGGAAGAAAAGGCAAGTTATTCACGATGGATGTCAATTAAAATATATATTGTGGGTGGAGGATTACCCAGGTGCCGAGGCAAGAGACTGAAGGCACAAACTGTTGCAGTGTAATAAGGAAAATAGTTAAAATAAGAATAGTTATAATACAGATTAGATATAGAGATGATCATGGACATTATCAGTCATTAGTATAAACATTATTAATCATTAGCTTTTAATATTACTCTTTTTGTATTACTAATATAACCAAGGAATGACCGGCGGGTATAGGGTCAGATGCTGAAGGGACATTGTGAGAAGTGACCTAGAAAGGAAGAGGTGAGCCCTCTGTCACACCCGCATAAGGGCCGCTTGAGGGCTCCTTGGTCAAGCGGTAACGCCAGTGTCTGGGAAGGCACTCGTTACTTAGCAGACTGTGAAAGGAGTCTCCTTTCCTTGGAGGAGTCAGGGAACACTCTGCTCTACCAGCTTCTTGTGGAAGGCTGGATATTATCCAGGCCTGCCTGCAGTCATCCGGAGGCCTAAACCCCTCCCTGTGGCACTGTGCTTCAATGGTCACGCTCCTTGTCCACTTTCATGTTCCTCCCGTACTCCTGGTTCCTCTTTGAAGTTCTTAGAAGATAGCGGTAGAAGAAATAGTGAAAGTCTTAAAGTCTTTGATCTTTCTTACAAGTGCATAGAAGAAAACACTGATGTATGCTGCCTTCCCTGTCTGCTTTGGCTACCTAAAAGGGAAGGGCCCCCTGTCCCATGATCAGGTGACTTGCTTGACCTTATAATCACTTGGACGACTCACCCTCCTTACCCTGCCCCCTTTCTTGTATGCAATGAATATCAGTGCGCCCAGCCATTTGAGGCCACCACCGGTCTCTGCATCTTGGTGGTAGTGGTCCCCTGGGCCCAGCGGTTTTCTCTTTATCTCTTTGTCTTGTGTCTTTATTTCTTACTATCTCTCGTCTCTGCACACAGGGAGAATCCCTGCTAAGCCCCGTAGGGCTGGACTGTACTATATATATATATATATATATATATATATATATATATATATATATACACATACATACACACACACACACACACACACACACACACACACACACACACATTCTCTCTCTCTATATATATATATATACACTCTCTCTCTCTCTCTCTCTATATATATATATATATACACTCTTTATATATACACTCTATATATATTCTCTCTCTCTATATATATATACTCTATATATATACACACTCTTTCTATATATATATGACAAGTTATACTTTAAGAATATATCCCTCCTACTTTTTTGGTGTTACAATATTCTTTTTTTTTTTTTAGCAGCATGATGCTTATAGAAAATGGTGGTGATTTTATATGTCTTTATTTCACAAAACAGCCTTTGAAATATGCATTTGTTTTGAGCATACTTAATTCTTTTAGAAGAACAAGGCTGTAATTTGTAAGACACTGGCAAAACCTTTAAGAGATGTTAACTATAGATTAGTAGCCAGTAAGCAAAGCATTTGTTTTTCATAGGAAGAATTCATGAGCTGTGGTAGGCATAAATGTAAGCAAGCAGGGCACATGTATTGAACACAGACAGAGGGGAATGCCTAACATTCTTAAGGCATTTGGGTATAAATATTAGTAATATATAAATCATACTGACACTACATATATGAGACACTAAATATCCAGGATACACTAAATACACGTGGGCACTTAATATTCATGATGCTGTACTTTGCCCACCCACTAGTGATGTCCACTCTGGCCCCATGTATCCTCTGCCCCCAAAACACAAATAAAACCCAATGGGGCACATACAATTTGTAGATGTTACCTAAAAATAACAGGTCTAAAACAGAGCAGGGTGTAACTGTAGCAATTCTGATTTTACACACCATTCCACATTTGCTTCGCAGCTTTCCTGGGGCATTTTCTCCACCTTTCTGCTTCCAGTACTGAGAGAGTCAGTGGCATGGAATAGGGCAGTTGGCAGCAGAAGCTTCAGAATTTTCACAACAGGGAATAGAGACAAAGGAATTTACTTGATACAGTATGAGAAGGTGAGCATGCAGCCAATACCCTCAAAATATACATGTTAAAGTTACTCTGGGAATCTCGAACCTCAGAAAACTCTTAATACATGGCATTGACAGTAGGTATGACTATGCAAATGAAGATTTCAATTTTCATTCATTTTATGTATATGGAGCATTAACAAAGTGCAAAGGTTTACAAATAGAACAGCATGGAGAATTCTCACATTTAAAATAGACCTTTTGCAACTCTAAAAATTGGGGCATATTGCCTTACCCATTAATTGTTGTTTTTCTGGTAGGAATATTATAGGCCCTCACTATTCGGACAAGAATCTTAATATCTCCGTCAGAGATCGCCTGCGCTGTGACTTTTTTCCTTTCTTTCCTCTGAGGTTTTAACTTTCTCCGTGGTTCAACAAACTTACAAACTGCATCTGTCAATTGGCTAAAGGGTAAAAAATGATCATTAGCCTCATTTACGTTTTCTTGGTTTTAAAAGATAACAGTCTTTTGAGTAATTGAAATGAGACCATTATTCTAAACCATATTCTCTGCATTATGGAGGGGAGACAGAATTGTCTTAAACTCAAGGAGAAATATTTTTCTTAGCATAGGAAGGAAGAGATGCTATGTTCCTTCATGTTGAGAGAGACTGTGATTGCTCCTTGCCCCTTGGGTACATGGTCCAAACAGATACGTGGACATGGAGAGGTAAAGCCATGAAACATGATGATCTTTTGGAAGATTATTCATTGTTCAGGAATCATTCTCTTGAAAGTGCCCGAATATTAACATTTTATCCATGGCTCTGAAACTAGAATTAGTTATATATGCCGCCAACCCAGGCAACACAAATCCATAGAATTATAGTTTTATGGTCACACTCATTTTCCCCTCAAGGACTGAAAAGTAAAACACAATAGAGTTCAGCATCCTAAACCCGTTGAAAACCTTACTGATCATTCCAGGAGTCTGCATGTGGCCTCCAGGGAGTTTTCCCAGAGACAGCCCTGTTCCTACCCTTAGTTCACAGATAGGACAGTATGAGAATTGAGTTACTTCAGCAAACGCTCCCCCAACTGCTGCCTGTGGATCTCAGTACCTTTGTACAGCTGAGGATTCTCTGTTTTGCAAAGGGGTGATTACAGGCTTAGCATGGTGCTAGCAGCAACAACTTTTCCTATAGCAGTCTCAGGACAGGAAATCTTATGGCAAAACTAATTTGGGACAAAGGTGTTTCTTTTATTTTTCTTTCTTGCCCTGAAACCTGTCTAAGGAGAGGGCAAAAAACTGCCCCCAAATACTATATAATTGAAAATATATCATGTAGAGATCCCAAAATGCAACTTTAAATTGACCAAATATTTTAAATCATTATATTTCATGTTATGATCTGAAACCGCATCTTTTGACATATGGCTTAATTAAAATAAAAATAGAGAACTTAGAGGATTTTAAAGATATTATCTTAAAGGTTTATATTTCATACTTAATAGTTTTTAGCAATTACCTTGTAGATACAATTTCTTCATAATCATTCACAATATCTGACAAGTTACATTTGCTAATTTTAACAATTCTCTTCATTATCAACCTTCTCACCTAAAAAAAATTTAGAATTTAATAAAAAATGTATTGTTTATATTTTAAGGTTAAGTATTTACAATGCTACCGGTGCCAGTATATTTTACTCCTAATTTTTGCAAGCAATGAATGGAGTAGGAGATTAGACAAGTGAAAATACTCTTCTGTTTGCTGCCATTATTAAAGTAATTTCCAACTTTGACACTGTCACACCAAAGCTAGTTTATTTCCACTTTTTTTTGTCTTTCTACATCCAGTTCATCTCATCCTAAACTCTTTGCTCTCTTATTTTTTTCATCTAACTCACAGTGTATGTGGCCAGAACTAGTTTTCACCAAAGGAGACAATTGCCCTGTGAATCCACTTCTACAATAGCCACTAGTAATGGATATGAGTCTTGATCTACAAACCCAAGGAATTTTGATCCCATTTCTGTATTTCCTTCGAGTCAATCCTATTCTGACTTTAAGACCTCATTCTGGCAGCCTGGCAAGAAAGTCAGTGCTTGAAGGAAGCCATCTCCCTCTTCCTACTTGGAGAACCCACAGATCTTAGCTCCTCCAAGGACTCTGAACATCTCCTTTTTAGTCTGAGGAAATCCTTCCCTTTCTCCTCTTACCCTGTCTTTAGTTTTTCAGATATGAAACCAGGCAGAAGCATGTCTGGAGGCAATTTTCTGCTTTCTGTCCTGTCAAAGATCATTCTGGAGACAATGTAATCGAGACCCTAGTTATCTTCTTGAAGCGGGTAGGGAAATGGAGTGGTGAGAGATGAATGGGAAAAACATAACTCCTAAAAATTATCCTGCCACACGGACAACAAATTGTTTCCCTTGAAGGTGAACAAGACCCCGGTGGCCCCTTCACTGGCCACTCTCTCTCTTCTCCCACTTTCCCTTGGCACGATGCAGGCTGAGCTCCTGGCTGTTCCTCCCACAGGCCAGGTGTGCTTCTACGCCAAGTTTTCTACGCTGGGTTCCATCAGCCTAGAATATTCTTTCCCTAAACTTCCATGGCTAGCTTCCTTGTCTCCTTTAGGTCTTTTGCAGAAGTGTTACCTTCTTACCGGATTCTTTGACCACTTCTATTTAAAATTGTGCCCTTACTCACCCCAACCCCTCCCCTCCACCCAGAACTCCTGTTCTCTCTTCCTACTTTATTTTTCATAGCACCTTTCACTCTGTAACATACTAATAATGTGTTTCCAATTATCTGACTTATAGAATATATACTCAAGGAGCTCAGGGATTATAATAGGTGCTCAATAAATATTTCTTGAATAAATTAATGAAATGGACAGATTGAAGAGATGTGCTACCCTCTTAGAGAAAACGTTTCAGTAAAAACTTTAGTAATATTTGAGACTACTGGGACCTCATTCTGTACTGCTGTAATCCTGGCCTCAGCCATCACTGACTCCAGTAACACAGCAGGAAATGTAATGCACATAACTCACAGTTCCATGAGTTCCTCTCATAGAAGGATTTAGGTACCTATGGCCGTAATAGGCCTCCAGAAGCAAACTTTTCCAGTATCTTTGATTATAGTAATTATCCCATGAAACTACCAAACCTGTAGTTTCATTTTATTTTATTTTTCAAACCTGTAGTTTTAAACTGTCCTCAGCAAAGAAGTCTTCACAAGGAGTTAAAATCTAAACACAAAATGTTTGGAAAGTGCCTTTCCGGGATTCCTGTATGAAGTTCAAGCATACTCAGATACTTGCTCTCTTACATCCTTCCTAACCCTCTGCTACCCTCCCTCCTGGGCTTCTCCTTACATAAAAAAGAAGAAACAGGATAAGGAGGATATGTGTTCTCTTTTCTTATAAGCAAGAACAC
This sequence comes from Homo sapiens, assembly GCF_000001405.40. Taxonomy (NCBI): domain Eukaryota; kingdom Metazoa; phylum Chordata; class Mammalia; order Primates; family Hominidae; genus Homo; species Homo sapiens. The sequence continues at coordinate 95,989,547 of NC_000010.11, read as the reverse complement.
TTCTTTATTTCCCGAGACCACAAACTCACTATTAAAGCACATCCCAACTTAAAACATACAGCAAGCTAGTAAAGAAGTAAGAGAGGCAGGGGATGAGTGGGAAAAACAGCTGCCAGTGATAAAGGGGGCTGTCTCATGCCTGGGAGAGCTACAGCGGTCCACATTCCATCTCACAGTCATGGTGTACGAACTAGAAGAACACTTGTGGTTTGATCTCATTTGCCCCTCACATTGGATGTAAAGCAAAGCAAGCATTAATATTGTCCGTTTTTGTAAAAAATAAAGTGGGACTCAGTGATTTGGTTACTTGCCAGTGACACACAGGGTAGTAAGAACAGGTCTTCAGACACCTGCCTGGGGCTCTACTAGCTATACATGGTTGCCTCTCACCTGTCCCCATGAGGGATCTGGAATGTATCTCTTAGCTCTTTCCATAGCTTTCCTTGCTTCTTTTCAAATTACCCTGCAAGGCTGCACTGGTGCTCTACAGCAAAGAAGATGTAGGTGGGTAAGAGTCTACTTTTGTAGGAGTTGTAGAAACCACCTCAACTCCCATCCTTTAATTCATTAATTTCTCAAACATTTATCAGCATTTTCTCAGTGTAAGATACTATGCTAGGCACTAAGGATCTGTAGATGTCGCCCCTGCACTAAGCTTCTAAGTCTAGTGGCATGATGAGGGGTTGATAGAAATCAGGCATGAAATCCAGTGAAGGATTCCACTCAAACCTGGTTAAGACTCTGCTAGAGTGTTTTGTAAATATTCACTATTTGGCTTCGTTTCAAAGCGTATCTATTTTTCTAATACTGTCTGTGTGCCTCTGGTAGCTCCTTCATCCCTTCATCTCCTGAATTGCTATAGTCCTTGACATCATGAGGCACCAGTAAATATGAGTTCTGGCAAAATGCTGGGGTATCTCTCAAGGTGAACTTTTAGAGTCAAAGAAGAGATGGGAAGTCTTTAAAATGTATGTTTAAACAGAAAAGGTTGGGATGTGCTTTAATAATGAGTTCACTGTCAATGAAGTAACCTAACTCTCAAAAAGAGGTCTGAAAAGAACAGAAAACTCCTCAGTGATCTGAAAGAGGTGACGAGTGAGTGGATTCGTCCATCTGACTCTCTGGAAGGACTATAATACCATGGATCTAGCAGACCAGTTTTCACAAAAACAAATGCAAATATATTGATAATACTGTGTTGTTACCTTTTTCAGAAAATTGGCAGAATTAATCCTTTGTGCTGTAATAGAATTTACATCTGAAACGGATACCTCCTTCTCTTTCTGACTTTCATACTCCTAAATACAGAATTGTTAGTTTCACTTCTTGAATGTAACAAAGAGTTCACATATGACACATTGCAATAAATATCACTAGTCACTTCAGTCCATGTGTAAGACACTGGAAACATTCTGAGACTGACAGAAGAAAACATTTCTTTTAGATTCTCCCACTGAGGATAGGCTAAAAACCAGTTTCTAACTATATTCTGTTTGGGTCTAGATTGAAGTCCATTCATCTTTTAAATTAGAGTAATGATTAAGAACAAGATTTGTGACTGAGAAAATGATTTTTTAGAAAAGTGAAGAGGATTGAGAAAAGATTCTTCATGTATGCATTTGCCCTGTATCACTAAAAACAAAATACGTGGTTAAGAGCATGGGCAGTGGAGGCAGACAGTCCTAGGTTCAAGTTGGCCCTGGCATTTACTAACTGTGCAGTTTGGAAAAGTTGATTAACTGCTCCAGACCCCACTTTCCTCTTCAGTAATAATAATAATGCCTCTGTCACAAGATTGTTTGTGAGACTTAATTGAAATAATATCTGTAAAGTGCCTGGCATATACTAAGTAGTTAATGTGTGTTGACTATAATAAATAATTTTAATATTACATATATAGTCAGTATAAGATTGTCAGGATGCTTCATCTAAATAAAGTAAATTTGCATTTGTTATTTATGCATTTTCAGTATTATATATCCCCAATGCACTTGGAAATGATTTTATATTATAGATATTATTAAAGACTATACAAAAATAATGAAGTAAATACTTTAGAATCTTCAGCCATGAAACAACGCATGCTCATTATCTGAAGGTAAGTTACTTGTTCTTCTAATTATCCATAAGAAATCCTGAAATTAATTCTTTTGCAAGTAACAACTTTTATTTAACAAAATATTATATTGCCATTTCATATCACGTTATTTACATTTTTTTTTTTGAGACAGAGTCTCACTCTGTCACCCAGGCTGGAGTACAGTGGCACGATCTCAGTTCACTGCAACCTCTGCCTCCTGGGTTCAAGTGATTCTCCTGCCTCAGCCTCCCAAGTAGCTGGGATTACAGGTGTGTGCTGCCACACCTGGCTAATTTTTGTATTTTTAGTAGAGACGAGGGTCTCACCATGTTGGTCAGGCTGGTCTTGAAACCCTGACCTTGTGATCTGCCCACCTCAGCCTCCTAAAGGGCTGGGATTACAGGCATGAGCCACCATACCCGGCCTCATATCACTTTATTTACTTTTAAAGTATTAAGTTTTAGGAGTTAACACAATACTCTGGATATTAATATTTTAATTTTATATATGTTGGGAATAACTTTTCTAATCTGTAGGTTTTTAATTTTAATGTTATAAAATTTATTAATCTGGCCAGGCACTGTGGCTCATGCCTGTAATCCTAACACTGTGGGAGGCCGAGGCGGGCGGATCACTTAAAGTTAGGAGTTCAAGACCAGTCTGGGCAACATGACAAAACCCTGTCTCTACCAAAAATACAAAAATTAGCCAGGCATGACAGCGCACACCTGTAGCCCCAGCTACTACAGAGGCTGAGGAATGAGAATCACTTGAACCCAGGAGGTGGAGGTTGCACTGAGCCGAGATCACGCCATTGCACTCCAGCCTGTGCGACAAAGTGAGACTCCATCTCAAAGAAAAACTAATTAATCTTGTTCTTTATAATTTATACTTTTCGTGTCTTATTTAAGAAATACCTTTGTATCCCAAAATTGAAATGCCCATTTCAAGTTTTGCTTTTCACAAGTAATCTTCACTACACATGGTATTTATTTCTTTTCTGATGTCTGAATCTAATTTTATTTCTTTCCACATGTATGAATAACAATTCCAGAACCAGTTAATGCATCCTTCATTCTTTTCCAACTGATTTGTTATCAGGGGAACCCGCCCCCAATAATTCAACGTTATTTCACGTAGGTTCTTTTCTATTTCCCTAAGTGTCGGCCGGTCTGAGAAATAAAGGGAAAGAGTACAAAAGAGAGAAATTTTAAAGCTGGATGTCTGGGGGAGACATCTCATGTTGGCAGGTTCCGTGATGCCCCCCGAGCCGTAAAACCAGCAAGTTTTTATTAGTGATTTTCAAAAAGGTAGGGAGTGTACGAATAGGGTGTGGGTCACAGAGGTCACATGCTTCACAAAGTAATAAAATATCACAAGGCAAATGGAGGCAGGGTGAGATTACAGGGCCGGGGCGAAATTAAAATTGCTAATGAAGTTTTGGGCACGCATTGTCATTGATAACATCTTATCAGGAGACAGGGTTTGAGAGCAGACAACCGGTCTGACCAAAATTTATTAGGCGGGAATTTCCTTGTCCTAATAAGCCTGGGAGCGCTACGGGAGACCGGGGCTTATTTCATCCTGTATCCACAACTGTAAAAGACAGACATCCCTAGAGCGGCCATTTTAGAAGCCTACCCCTAGGCACACATTCTCTTTCTCAGGGCTGTTCCTTGCTGAGAAAAAGAATTCAGTGATATTTCTCCTATTTGCTTTTGACAGAAGAGAAATATGGCTCTGTTCTGCCTGGCTCTCAGGCAGCCAGACCTAATGGTTATCTCCCTTGTTCCCTGAACATTGCTGTTATCCTGTTCTTTTTTCAAGGTGCCCAGATTTCATATTGTTTAAACAATTTGTGCAGTTAACACAATCATCACAGGGTCCTAGGGCGACATTCATCCTCAGCTTATGAAGATGACAGGATTAAGAGATTAAAGTAAAGACAGGCATAGGAAATCACAAGAATATTGATTGGGGAAGTGATAAGTGTCCATGAAATCTTCACAATTTATGTTAAGAGATTGCAGTAAAGACAGGCGTAAGAAATTATAAAAGTATTAGTTTGGGGAACTAATAAATGTCCATGAAATCTTCACAATTTATGTTCTTCTGCCATGGCTTCAGCTGGTCCTTCCGTTCGGGGTCCCTGACTTCCCGCAACAATTTGTAATGACAATGCTGTCAAATATAAAATTTCCACATATGCATAATAAGTCTATTCTATTTCTTTGGTTGGGAATTGCATTTCTATATTTACAGTTTAATATGGGTAGAATTGGCAGTTTACAATGTTGACTCTTCCTATCAATGAACATTTACTCAGATTCTTTTGTATATCATTCAAAAATATTTCAAAATGTTATCTGTTGAGTTTTTGCATAACTTCTGTCAAATATATTCCTATGTATCTTACAGTCTTTATTGCTCTTACAAGTGATATATTTGTTAAATTACATTTTTAGTGGGTTTTTACTGGTATATTAGATGCTATTTATTTTTGTTTAAAATTTTTTCGAATTTTCAAACATATAGAAAAGTAGAAATATATATACACACACATGTGTATGTGGGTGTGTGTGTAATTTTTTTTTTTTAAAGACAGGGTCTCACTCTGTCACCCAGACTGGAGTGCAGTGGCAGGAGCTCAGCTCACTGTAGCCTTGACCTCAAGTGATCCTCCCACCTCAGCCTCCAAGTAGCTGGCACTACAGGTGTGGTCCACCATGCCCAGCTAATTTTGTTTATTTTTTTGTAGAGATGAGGTCTCACTATTTTGCCCAGGTTGGTCTCAAACTCCTGGACTCAAACTATCCTTCTGCCTCAGCTCCCCAGAGTGCCAAGATTACAGGCATGAGTCACTGCACCTGGCTGAAAAAAAGAAATTTTAAAATCCATATCTCTACCCCATTGATTAAATAATTAATATTTTATCATATTTGTTTTATCTGTTTTTATTTATTTTATTTTTGGCTAACATATTCTCAATTACAGTCATGATGACACTTTAAGCATCTCTAGATAAATACTTCAGCATGAATCTCCAAAGACTAAGGACATGCTTCTACATAACCACAATGCCGTAAGCACCACAAGCAATTCTCCAATATTATCTAATATTTGATCCATATCCAAATCTCACCAAGTAGCAAACTTAAAGCAACTAATATGAAAAGCTAGCCTTATTTGATAGTGTGCTAGACCTGGCTGGCACCAGCTAGTGAGAACCTATTGTGCATCCCAGCTTTTGTTTTCTTTTAGAAATATTTTAAAGATTCTAACATTGAGATGGGCCTTATAATTAATGTTTAAGTTTACTGTGGTAGTGTCTCTCCCCCTTACTCCCAAAGCCGCTTTTAAATTGGTGATACATTTTATGATAACAAAAATATAATAGTTACATAAATTTAGAATATGCCTAAAGGATTTTGGCTGCTGAATACTGAATAGACTGTTTGGACAACACTAAATCGTAAAGTCAAGCTGAAGAATTTCTGGAATTTGGGAGATACGTATATTTTTAATGCCTAAAGAGAAGGGAGGAAATCTGTCTACAGATTATTAGCTTAAAAAAAAAGAAATAAATTAAGATAGGGTTAAAGCAGCAAAACGTTAACTTTATCATACAATAAGCCATATTCAAATAGAAACCAAATACCTGGAAGACTAAATCTGGAATCTCTGTATCATGGAGGGGCATTTGCTGTAGAAGGAAATTATCTAATTGACCTGCATTTCTAAGTTGCAATAGCTGGAAACGTTTACTCTTTGCCATTTCCTCTTCAGAAACGAAGTTAAATTCATCTTGCAACTGTTCAAGACGAAAATACTTTGGAATATCCTGCCCCTTAAGTCTCATGTACTGTAAAACGCAAAGTCTTTAGTTAAAATATTAATTTTTTTTAATTCAGGAATTACTTCAAAAGACTTTTTCCCCAACTGTGAGATCTGAGTGGCAATATAAGTAGGAAATGGAACAACTGAATTTGTAGTCTAGAACATACAAAAAACAAAACAAAATAGAATCCAGCCTTTGTGGCTTTCCAACCTTTTCCCAGTCATGACTTACAAAGAAAACGAAAATATTCGCACTGAACACTGAATTTTGTATTGTACACTGATAGGGCAGATGAGACTGTTCCTATCTGGTCATCCTGAGTTGAGAGAGGATCAATATTTCTGTATACCTATAACCAATTCTGCACCTCAGCTGAGAAGCTCTAATCTAGGGAGTTTACTTGCAGCAATCTAATCTATAGGTTGTTTTATTCAACAAATGCAAATGTGAGTGCATAGTACACACGAGGAATAGTGCTAGCTGCCATCAGAGAGACACAGATTTCTTAGCTGTAGTTCCACAAGGAAAAATAAAATATATGAATGAATAACTACAGTAGGCTGGGCGCAGTGGCTCATGCCTGTAATCCCAGCACTTTGGGAGGCCATGGCAGGTGGATCACCTGAGTTCAGGAGTTCAAGACCAGCTTGGCCAACATGGTAAAACCCCCTCTCTACTAAAAATACAAAAATTAGCTGGGCGCAGTGGCGTGTGGCTGTAATCCCAGCTACACGAGAGGCTGAGGCAAGAGAATTGCCGGAACCTGGGAGGCGGAGGTTGTGGTGACCCGAGATCGCACCACTGTACTCCAGCCTGGCAACAGAACGAGAGTCCATCTAAAAAAAACAAACAACAATAACAACAAAAAACAAAGAAACCTATAGTAAAAGGCAGAATGAAATTAGAGTCATAAGAGTTGATTTTTTAAAAGAGAAGAAGAAAGGTTAACAGGAAAGCAAGGAAAGAAAATGTGGTGCCTAACTGAGGTTACCAGGGAAGCATTTATTAGACTTGCAGGGTGAATAAGATAACCGCTATGGACACCCTTCTAGGCAGAGCAGTGGCATGAATAAAGGTATGAAGAAAGCATGTGTGAGGTACATAGAGCAGTTCAGTTGGCTATAAAGAAGAGTAGAGGTGACCATATAATGGAGTCTGAGAGAAGGAGTGTGTTTATAAATCATCTCGGTATCTTCAGTATCTAATACCATGGCTGGCACATGGTAACTGCACAATAGATGTTAGCATAAAAGACTGTCAGATGTGCTGTGGCTGCTAAGTAGTGGCAGAGGACCATCCATCAGGCCTAAAGGAGGAATTATTTCAGTTGCTGAGTTTCTAATTGTCTTTACAGTATTGTACACTGGTTGAAAATGGTCTCTGTCCTCAGATTTACTTTTACATAACCCCAAGAGCCTAGAAAAATATACAGCAAACTATGGGGGAAACTATACTTTCCTAAGTAGAGCTTAGGAAATAGAATATGTTTACAGTATTGATATTTGCTTTAACTTACCGTAACAGATTCCATTAAATCAGAATATTCTGGATTATTTGGATCAATTCTGACTTCATTTGCCCATTCAAAAAGCTTCTGTTCATTCATGAGCCATGGAATTCCAGGAACACTTCTTGCATCTACATTCCTTAACATACTAACATAGAGAAAATATTTTGTGAACTTGCATACAATATAAAATATATGTATTATATATAATACACTGTTATATAGGGTAAAAACATACCCATTCTGGGTATTTGAAGATAAAATTTATCCATCCTCTGTATTTATGGATAGAATAGAAAGTTGAGATGTGACATCTCTCCTAGTTTTCACTCTAACTTGTATCACAGCTTTTTGATAAATGTTTATAAGAGACAATAACCTTATTAAGAATAGTCTGTAAATATTCATCTTTGCCATCGATATTGTATGTAACAGCTAAAATACTGTAGATGCTTAAATGAATGGTGCTTATGGGATGTATTATGTAAACCCTAAGCATAGTAACTTATTAAATGTTTTCTTTTCACAGGATGCACAATATTGAAATTTAATCAAAATATTCACTTAAGCAAAATTAAGAAAGCACAGAAAATAAAAACCACATTTAGGCTACATATTTACAGTGGAAACATAATAGAAAGTAATGCAATTAACTGGGTAAGTATGTGCCAGAGGACCATCCTTGGTCATATGAGATAATCTTTTTTTTTTTTTTTTTTTTTTTGAGACGGAGTCTCACTCTGTAGCCAGTTGCCAGGCTGGAGTGCGGTGGCGCGATCCCGGCTCACTGCAACCTCTGCCTCCCAGGTTCAAAGCGATTCTCATGCCTCAGCCTCCCGAGTAGCTGAGACTACAGGCACGTGCTACCACGCCTGGCTAACTTGTGTATTTTTAGTAGAGAGGGCATTTCACCATGTTGGCCAGGATGGTTTCAATCTCCTGACCTTGTGATCCGCCCCCCTTGGCCTCCCAAAGTGCTGGGATTACAGGCATGAGCCACTGTGCCCTGCCATGAGATAATCTTAAAAGTTGGAAAGCTGTAAAAGATAGGCTAGACTCCTAATATATTCTTAGTGACCTTAGCTATAGACTAAGTGCAAAAGGAATTCAACCCTAATTGAGTAAGGATTTCTTTAGAGCCATCAATTATCCCAGCTATTTAATCTGTCTCTTCATAGAGAATTTGTCTTATCATGTGTAACTAGAGAAATTTGGACTACAATCCAAATTTCTACAATCCTTTCTATAAAGTAGTCCAGAAAGGTTCCTGTCTATAAATTGGGATTCCAGAAATACAGTTCTGACACGGATTCAACAATGTCTTAGCCCAAACACGAGCACACATTTTATACTGTCTCCTTCCCATTTGTTCATATTTCTTTGATGATTCTTCTGAGGCTATTGCTGCAAAAGCCAATGTGTGGTATGGTAAGATGTAAGGAAAATTACGAACAGGTGAAGTTTGCATATTCTTCTTTTCTTTTGCTTCCCATGTCTGCCCTCATTTTGAACTGTTTTGATATCTATGTCATAAGAGATCGCTAGGACCTGACACCCTTTACACCATCATGTAATAAATTTTCCTTCTTGAAACAGTCTTAGCCCAGATCACCTAGAAGACAGCCTCAGGTAAAGCTTAAATCTTAACGAATAGATTAGAAACTTTTCCCGTTATATCCTTTAACAACAACAACAACAACAACAACAAACAACAAAGAAAGTTGTAATTGAATTTCAACATAGTCCCATGGTTTCTGCCTCAGAGAAAGTAATACAAATCTCAGAGCCTTGCTACAATGATTCCCCCAGCTGCTCCTATACACGTTTAGCTGTAGGCTATGGCTCACAGCAGTGCTGTTCTTGGGTCAAAACCAGTCAAATGATTGAAGATTTTTCCCTCCCTCCTTCCCTCCCTCCCTCCCTTCCTCTCTTCCTTCCTTCCTTCCTCCTCCCTCCCTCTTCTTTTCGATTGAAGATTTCTACTTTGGTGATGGAGAGCTGGAAGCAGTACTTTATAAAAGGCATGGGAAACTCTTTGGTTGTTGTCTATCTAATGCAGCCCTGACATTTACATCTTGTTTCTGACAAAAGAATCAAAGTATAGCATGGCCCCAAGAAAGAGGCGAGCTTTAATTCTAGCAGGCCCCAAGACCTTGGCTTATACACCCAAATGCAAGGCCACAGCCACCACATTTGTAAATTGAGGTAAAATATACATAACATTTACCACTTTATTTTAAAATACACAATTCAGTGGCATTAAGTACACTCACAATGTTGTGCAACCATCACCACCATCCATTTCCAGATTGTAATGATGGTTGTACAAGCCTGTGAATATATTAAAACCATTGCATTGCATGTTTTAATTGGCTGAATTTTATGGTTTGTGAGTTGTATCTCAATAAAGATGTTAAAAAATAGTTAAAAATATAACTGTGCTGAGAGCTAAGATAAACATTCCTGTGAACCAGAAATGGAAAAGAAAGGCAGAGTGGTGAGTGGGGATAGCACTGTGGGCTTGCTGGGCTTCAGGCCTAGGAGCAGTCCATGGTGGTTGTGGGCTCAGTTCCTGAGACAGGGAACTAGCACCAGGCTTATCATTTTAAGCCAAAGATCTGGGGGGAACTTTACTTAGATAAAGAGACCTTTAAAAAAATACTGACCACTGCATGGGGCCATGGCTTTTAGAAAGCTATGAGTCTAGAGAGGGAAAAGGACACAGACACTGCCCCATAATGAGGAACTGAACCAGGCTCACAGCTCACCAGATACCTAGATCTGTGATGACTCCAGTAGCAACCCAGTATAACAACCCAATCTCCCAACCTATCCAGTAAGTAGGCTTACAGCCCACTTCTGGATTTAGGAGGACAGATGAAGTCAAATTCAGAACCATTAGGTAAGGAGGGGTAGATACAGAAGGAGAGAGAGGAAAAAAAAAAAAAAACACCAAAAACCCAGAAACGTATAAATCAAAATCACCCAAAAGTTCTTCAAGTCAAAATGACACTGCTAACCAAAACTTCTGAGCAAAGAAGCCATGCTCAGAAAAATAATCAACAGTTATCAACTATCAGAACATAAATTAATTCTAGTTGAAATTCATTTTATGAAAGTCTGCCAAACACATTTTAATGAAGTATGCTTACGATGTAAAAGCAAATGAAAACTAATAATTCACTTTTAAATGCAAGAAATAATGGAACAAAATGCCAAAATGAAATAAGAAAATGTAGATATGAAAGAGAATCAAACAGAAAACTTGGCAGCAGAAAATAAAAGTAAAAATTATAACATAAAAATCAAATAAACCTTATACTGGACAAAGTTGAATAATGAATTAAGGAACTAAAAAATAGTACGCAGAAATTCACCCAGGATGCAGATGAAATAAAAACATAAAAATGTGAAATAATAGGTAAGAGATGTGGCTAATAGGCTGAGGCTTGGCTGGGCTCAGTGGCTTAGGCCTGTAATCCTAGCACTTTGTGAGGCCAAGGTGAAAGGATCACTTGAGCCCAGGAGTTTATCAGCCTGGGCAACATAGCAAGACCTCCTCATCTCTTAAAAAGAAAACAAAGAAAGCAAGAAAAAAATTAGCTGGATGTGGTGGCACCTGCCTACAGTCTCAGCTACTCGGGAGGCTGAGGCAGGAGAGTTGTTGAGCCCTGGAGTTTGAGGCTGCTATGATTACACCACTACATTCCAGCCTGAGTGACAGAGTGAGACCCTGTCTCAAAAATAAATAAATGAATAATAGACCAAGAGGCTCCAATACAAATTCAATAAGAAATCCTGAAGGAGAGAAGAGTGGGAATGGGGAAGAAGTAATATTTGAAGAAATAGTGGCTGAGAAGTTTCTGTAATTGATGAAAGATGTGAGGCTTTAAACATGAAATTTATTCTGCTAAGCAGGAAGAAGAATAATGATAAATCCACACATATACAGTATAGTAAAATTTCAGTACTTTAAGGATAAAGCAAAATTTTTTTCATGGCTCAAATGGCAGTTTCTTCCTTTTTTATTAAGGTTAAAGATACATAATATAAAATTTACCACCATTTTAAAGTGTATGATTCAGTAGTATTACGTATACTCACGGTACTGTATAACCATCATCATTACCTATTTCCAGAATTTTTTTCTTCATCCCAAACTGAAACTCTGTACACATTAAAAAATAACTCCTCATTTCTCCCTTCCCCATCCCTGGTAACCTTTATTCCACTTTCTGTCTCTGAATTAAAGTGAAATATTTCAATATTATCAGAGAGAAAAGATAGCCTATAAAAGCCCAACATTTAGACCAATAGCAGACTTATAAATAGCAATGATAAATCCCACAAGATAATGCAGTACTGTAACAGCTTCAAAGTGCTAAAGGGAAATAAATAACATCCTCAAATTTTCTACTCACCTAAACTATTAAGAATGAGGGCAAAATAAAGACACTTTTAGATCTAGAAAGGCTAAAGAATTTTGCTATCCATAGAAACTAACTGAAAGAATCATTAAAGGAGCATGCTTTCAGCATGAAAAGTAAATCGAGAATGAAGGATGGGAAATAAGAAATAAGGTAAACATAAAAGTCAATGAACTATGTTAAAAATTTCATTAACTAGTGTGTGTAAGAAAAACTGTTTCATGTTTAAAAATGAAAACTCTAGACAACGATCATTTAGGTTAGAGAGGTGTGGTGTTTTTTTTGTTTGTTTGTTTTTGGTTTTCTGATTTGTTTGTTTATTGAGACAGAGTCTCACTCTGTCACCAGGCTGGAGTGCAATGGCATGATCTTGGCTCACTGCAATCACCGCTTCCCAGGTTCAAGCGATTCTCCTGCCTCAGCCTCCTGGGTAGCTGGGACTACATGCGTGTGCCACCATGTCCAGCTAATTTTTGTATTTTTAGTAGAGATGGGGTTCCACTCCACCATGTTGGCCAGGCTGGTCTCAAACTCCTGACTTCAGGTGATCTGCCCACCTTGGCCTCCAAAGTGCTGGGATTACACGGTGAGCCACCACGCCCAGCTGGAGAGGTGTGTTTAATGTGGTATTAAAGCACTAAAGCTGGGCTGGGTGCGGTGGCTCATGCCTGTAATCCCAACACTTTGGGAGGTGGAGCCAGGCGGATCACCTGAGTTCAGCAGTTTGACACTAGCCTGACCAACATGGAGAGACCCCGTCTCTACTAAAAATACCAAAAATTAGCTGAGCTTGGTAGCGCATGCCTGTAATCCCAGCTACTCTGGAGGCTGAGGCAGGAGAACTGCTTGAACCAGGGAGGCAGAGGTTGCAGTGAGCCGAGATTGCACCATTGCACTCCAGCCTGGGCAACAAGAGCGAAGCTCTGTCTTAAACAAAAAAAAGCATCAAAGCTTTCTGAGACTCTCTTTCGGTTCACTACTTTATCTACAGTTCAGTCAGTGTTTGATGAATGAGTAAGTGAATGAATGAGTAACAAAACTGCCTTTCAGTTCTCCTTTGGCTTCATTCTCTGACTTCCACAAGTCAGTCCTGCCCTCTGGAGCACCCATCCCAATTCCTAGAACCTACTGCTCAGAGCCAGTCCTTGAGCTGCCACAACAAAACTGTGGGAAAGTTCTGTAACTTCCTCTAATTGTAAAGTTTGACTTAGAGAGGGCCCTGGACTTTGAAAACCTCTTTTGCAATTTACTTCCTGCTGAAACCTGTCATCTGTCCCACTCTTGCATGTAACTGTTTTCAATCTTTTGTAAGCTTGAGTTTCCAAGTAATAGGAATTGTAAGACAACGGAGACAAGCCAATGAATATGGCTTGAAGGTCACTTGCTGGTAACCTTCAGTGACAAGTGGGTAGGATTAGGAAGGGAATGGGTGAGCAGAAAGTGGAGGGAATGTATGCAGACCAGTAGGCCACACATAGGAGAACTCTGGCAGGAAAAATCTAGCCAAAATGGGCTTCAGGATTTAATCAGGTGCTTGAGTTTTTGCTTGTTTGTTTTAAAACAAAGAAGGCTTTTGGGTACAAAAGACCAACAGCCTAGGGAGATGGACAAGTTGAATGGAAGAAAAAGATATAAATGCGTCTGTAGAATTGTAAAAGAGAGTTGCAAATTACCTGCATAAAAGTTAGCCTCAGAGTGAGGAGGACAAACATCTCACTCCAAGAAAAATGCAAACAATATTATGATGAGGCAAAGATTAGGAATAGCTGCTGTGGAGACTATGCTAGAGAAATATTAAGAAATATAACAAAATAATAGTTCTAGGTATTAAACACTTTTCCACTGGCTCCAAAATGAATTACCTTTAATAACTGTAAGATTTGCTCTTAAAATGACCTTCTCCAGGTCTCTAAGAAGATGACCTCATTTACTTAGCAAAACAAGGACATCCATCAAAGTTCCATTTCTGTTTTCATAGTGATGACTGTCCCATTCCCTGAGTTGAGGAAGAGAGAGTTTCTCTTCTCCAGAACCACAGTTATTCACTTGGGTTCTGGTTTGATACCTTCCTGACTCTGAAGGACCTTATACTCTTTCCAATATATTGGGTCTTTTTCCCCACTGATTTCAATCTTTTGTAAGCTCATCACTTTTAATCACTTCTTTTAAGAAGATAAATATGGCCCCAATTTTTAAGAAATCTGTACCTTGATTCTTTTGTCTTCTGTTATTTTTTAGCATTTTTTTATTGTCAAACTCCTTGGTAAGTAAACTACCCCCACTATGTCAGTTTCGTCCATACCAACGATCTCCTTGTGCTACTGCCATTTAGCTTTTTTCTCTTTGTTTCTTATGTACCGAAGAAAAGCATTTATGAACTCTTACTATGACTCTGGCCATATGCTACTGGTTTTTATATATAATGTTCTCCCTGTTCTTTTTTAAACAGTCTCTAATTTCAGTTTTGATTTTCCATTTAATCCAGTTATGTATAACAATTTTCAAAACTATAATATTTTTAAAACATAATTTTTTAGAGAAGTTTTAGATTTGCAGCAAAATTGAACAAAAGGCACAGAGAGTTCCCATGTACCCCATCCCCATAAACATGCACAGCCTCCCCAGCTGTTAACATCCCTCGCTGGAGTGGTACCTTTTTTTACAATCCATGAACCTACATTGACACATCATTGTCACTCAAAGTCCATAGTTTACATTAGGGTTCACCCTTGGTCTTGTAAATTCTGTAGGTTTTGACAACTGTGTAATGACATGTATCCACCATTATAATGTTATGCAAAATAGTTTCACTACTCTAAAAATCCCGTGTGCTCCAACTATTCATTCTTATCTCCCCCTAGAACCTCTGGCAACCACTGATCTTTCTACTGTCTCCACAGTTTTGCCCTTTCTAGAATGCCATAAGTTATATGAAGCTTTTCATTTCCGTTTATTTTTAAAAATATGTGTTAAGATGTGGAGGGGAGAGGATATCTTTTTGTTATCATTGTTCATTATTTTAAATGATGAAATAAACTTTTTCCTTTATATTTACCATTTCCCTCAAACATAGCACATTATGGAAGCCAGCATTATCATCATTTTCATAGAATTTACTGTACTTATTTCTAGTAATCCCACAAATAATTAATCTGAAAATTAACCCCAACCCTTCTGGGAACTCCCAGAATGATGATAATGCATAAATGATTCTTTGCTAATCCAGAATGACTGGGAGATATACAGGCCCCAGAAATAAAGTCCCTGGGAGTCTTGACCTTTGCCTACAAGTGAGGGACTCTGGGAATGCCTCTCTCATCATCTGTGTGGCTATAATTCCAAGCACTGAAGGGACACATTCTCTTACATATAAATACACATACTGCCTTAGTAGAGTGATTTAAATAAAAGATAAATCAACATTCAAATAGACTAAACTCTTCCTATTGCTGCTCAAGTTTTCTCTTTTACACATAATATGTTTTGTGTGATGCTTTGCTGAGACCTGGCATTATTTTTCAAAGATAAAAGTTTATTACCTGCAGTAAGAAGATCTTAATGATTGTGGCATAGGTATCAGAGGAAGACCATTTTCATCTAAGCTCCATGATAGAGAATAGCTAAGTTTTCCTGATGTCAAAAGACAGAGTTCTTCAGTTCCATTTCCCTCAAGAAGAAAAGGCACATCTGTTTATAAAAGGCATTAAAAACATATGAATTGTTTTAAGTGCAGTTGAAGCACATTGTGGGTTTTTTCCTGAGTTTTACTTGTGGAACTCTAGGAACACAAAGGAAGATCTGTGCTAACCCCACTCTTTTTTTTTTTTTTTTTTTGAGACAGAGTTTTGCTCTTGATGCCCAGGCTGGAGTAAAGTGGGGCAATCTCAGCTCCCTGCAACCTCCACCTCCTGGGTTCAAATGATTCTCCTGCCTCAGGCTCCCAAGTAGCTGGGATTACAGGTGTCAACCACCATGCCTGGCTAATTTTTTGTATTTTTTAGTAGAGATGGGGTTTTACCATGTTGGCCAGGCTGGTCTCGAACTCCTGACCTGAGGTGATCCACCTGCCTGGGCCTCCCAAAGTGCTAGGATTACAGGTGTGAGCCACCACGCCCGGCCCTAACTCCACTCTTATCTTAGTGCTCTCCCTCATCTCCTCTCTAAGATCCTTCAAGGACTACAAAAGAGAAGGTAAAGATTGAGATGAATATGTAGAGATGAATATCATGATTTTCTTCCTTTCATGCCTGGAGGCTTCTTAACCATTCTCTGTGGGAGTGGCTTCCAGCAAGAAAGGACCATTGGCAGCAGAAAAAGAGGCCAGCAAGCTGTTCTTTCTCCTCTTTCCTTACATTCCCAAGTCTTCTGCATCTAATCTCCAAAGAGTTTAACAATACTTCTTAAAACTTTTGCTGAGTGCACAGTGTTCCCTAAATTTTTTGAGTCCTGAGTCTTTTGTCCCGGGTCTCCATAAGCTTATTTTTCTGCTTCATCTGGACTTGAAGCAAACTCCGTTCTTCCCTCGTTCTCTGCCCATTTCCCCCCGCCCCCTCCTCCTTGCTCACTTGTTCATACTTCCTTACTTTTCACCAAATAGGCCCAAGTAGTTTCCAAACCCCTAGGAAGGTGAAAGAAAGGAATAATGGGGAGAAGGAGAGGAATGACAGTGATCTCAGAGACGCACTAACTTACATTTAACCGTATAAGAGGAGTAAAATCAATTGAAAAACAACTAACAGAAACATCCCTTCTTTCTTCTCTCCTTTTCTCTGTCCCTCCCTCTTTCCTTCCCTCCCTCATTTTCTTCTTCCCTTCCCTATACAGTTCAAAGACAAACCCATATGTCTGCGAGCACCTGTAGGTTCACTAAAGGAGAGGTCGAGGCAGAGCAGCCAGCCCACTCAAAAGCAGAGCTTGCTTTCCAGACAGCATTCTGTCCTTGCCTTGGATGGCCTGCAAAAAGCGTGGGTGCTAACTGCTCATTTGAAATTTCCCAAAAATCTGACCCAAGACAAAACTTTAAACAATCTAGTTTAACATCTGAATGAATAATTTAATTCATTTTTAACAGAATAAACACAGGGCCAGGTGCGGTGGCTCACGCCTGTAATCCCAGCACTTTGGGAGGCTGAGGGGGGCGGATCACCTGAGATCAGGAGTTTGAGACCAGCCTGGTTAAAATGGTGAAACCCTGTCTCTACTAAAAATACAAAAATTAGATGGGCGTGGTGGCAGGGATCTGTAATCCCAGCTACTGGAGGCACGAGAATTGCTTGAACCTGGGAGGTGGAGGTTGCAGTGAGCTGAGATCGAGCCACTGCACTTCATCCTGGGTGAGATTCTGTCTCAAACAAACAAACAAACAAAAAAGAATATTGTAAATACAGGATTTTGTACTTATGTGAGTGAGCCAGGGTCACTTAGGAATATGGTACTCAGGAAGAAAATAGGGGGAATGTAATATTTTTAATAAACTCACTGCTTCCTACTTCTCCATCGGCAGGCATGACCAGCTTATCAGAGCTAAACTCTACATATTGCAAAGCGGTTTTGCCTTTCAGCTCTGTGTAGTTAGGTAAAGGTATATATAGTTTTGCCAGTAAGCTTGTCCTTTTACTTTTTTCATAAACCTAAATATAAAAGAAATGGCTGATAGATCACTAAAAATACAACACAGAAAAAGGAAAAAATAAGCACCCTTAACAACATATATTTTTTTAAATACCAGAATATAAAATAAGTATTGCTCTATAGCATTTCATCCACATGATTATGAGAAAAGCAGCCAGTCATGTCCTTGAAAGTGTAATGCCTTTTACTGGCTCCATAGAAAATGAATTGAATACAAGGGATTATGAATACAGTTCTGAGAATAAATATATGAGGTACATATAACATAATATCATAGCAATTTTGAGTAGCACTTTAAAAATTCTTTATCTCATGTAAATCTGATAAAAATTATAGGAAATAAATATTATTCTCATTTTATAAGTGAGGAAATGGAAGCTGTATATGAAAATATGTTTGTTTTTATTATAAGTGGTTGAGACTCAGGTTGAATTGCTTAGGAAAAAGGTAGTGATTGGTCATGAAATTCAAGGATGAGTTAAACAAGCTATGGGAGTGGTGAGGGAGGAAAAGCTCCAGAAGAAAGGAAAAGGGGGTGCTGAGTAGACAGTCCCATAGAGGTTCACTGGGCATGAAACCCAGGTCTTCTAATTCTATATGGTGTGTTTTTTACTACAATTCCATATAAGTTTACTGCCATAACTATAACTTTTTTCTTTCTTTTTTTTTTTTTTTTGAGGTTGAGTCTTGCTCTGTTGCCCAGGCTGGATTGTAGTGGTGCAATCACTGCTCACTGCAACCTCCGCCTCCTGGGTTCAAGCAATTCTCCTGCCTCAGCCTCCCAAGTACCAGGGATTACAGGTGCCCACCACCACACCTGGCTAATTTTTGTATTTTTAGTAGAGACGGGATTTCATCATTTTGGCCGGGCTGAACTCGAACTCCTGACCTCAGGTGATCTGCCTGCCTTGGCCTCCCAAAGTGCTAGGATTACAGGTGTGAGCCACTGCACCCAGTCTAAGCAAACTTTTTTCAATAAAAAATCTTATTTTGACTTATACTGTGTTGTCAGTGCTTGGGAAAACAGTGATATGAGCTCTAAGAAGGAAATCAGAGGGGAAAATTGCTCCTTGAAAGATAAGAAAGAATGTGCCAATCAAAGTGATGACTTATTAGCCAAGAAAGCAAAGAAAAAGGAAAGTCAAAGAGGCACATATTTTTTCTAGTTATCTGGTTTTACTTCCTTGTAAGAGAGAATTTAAGACACCACACTGGTCCCTTTGACAAAGGCATCCCTACTGCAGAAAGGTTTGTAGGAGTTGTAGCTCTGTGAAATAACTTTCTTATTGTAAATCAGTAAATGGGTTAACTTTCAGAGAACATGAACTGATAAATATATTCAAATGTTGAGTTGGCATTTACACTTCAGCCTTGTGAATTTGCTTAGGGTATGTAGGATGGATTCTCAGTGGACTGTCAAACCCAGGTTCTTGGACTACAGGCTGGAGGCCAGCCCCTGGACAGCAAGGTAAGTGTACTGAGATAGAGAATTTTATCAGTTGAGGGTTCCTAGGAGCCAGTCTTGTCCCCTGACAACTGTCAACACCATGATGCGATGAGATTGAGCATCTTAAAAGTGGTCAGAATGAAAATGGGCGTTTTTAAACGGAGCAGCTAACATGTACAAAAGCTTAGAGGTAGGAAATTACAAGCACGTGTGGGAAAAGACAAGCAGCTCAGTTTGGCTGAAGTGATGAATGAATAAGGAGGAGTAGTAAGAAATGAACTAAAGGCGGGGCATGTTGGTTCATGCCTGCAATCCCAGCACTTTGGGAGGCTGAGGCAGGCAGATCACTTGAGGTCAGGAGTTCGAGACCAGCCTGGCCGACATGGTGAAATCCTGTCTCTACTAAAGACACAAAAATTAGCGGGGCATGGTGGTGGGCATCTGTATCCCAGCTACTTGGCAGGCTGAGGAAGGAGAATTGGTTGAACCCAGGAAGTGGAGGTTGTGGTGGCTGGGATCACACCACTGCACTCCAGCCTGGGCAACAGGGTGAGACTTCATCTTAGAAAAAAAAAAAAAAAGAATTAAAAATGTAGGTTAAAGTCTGTTAGGCTAGGGCATATCGATTTATTTTGCAATTTTTGCATTTGCTAATGGTGAATTTATCTCTTAACTAGATTCCTCTCCCTCCCTGCCTCTTAGTTTGTTAGGCTCATATGCTAAGTGATAGGATGATAAAGGACTCAAAATACACATTTACCTATTTGGGGAGGCAGATTTTAAACTTCAAGTGATTGGATTATTATATCACAATTTACTTTAGGGACAACAGTAAGAAAGTATAGTTCTTTTTTTTTTGTATTAGGAATTCAGTGTGGAAAGTAGGCATATTTTTAATGTAGGAATTTCAACAGAGGGACATTGTAAGAGAGTGGAAACCTGAATACATGAATAATGAATAGAACATCTATCAGGAGAGAATAAAATTATTCTCGACATTATAAAAATAATTGTGATTTATATATGTAACTACAATTCTCTCCCTACTCCTCAAGCACCTCCCTTCTTACACACAAATCTTTATTCCCTCCTAATTTTTTTTTCAAGTCTAGCTTTAAGTTTAACCCCATTTTTAGCCACCAGGACTTCTTGTCTAGACTCGTTTGTTGTCTCTCATTTTTCTCCATCATCCTATTTTCTTCTTCCATTAGTGTGGGGGTTCTTACAGTGGGATCTTTGCACAGAGACTGGGGGTCTTTTGTGTGTATGTTCTTTCATCTGATTCTTAGAGGGATCTAAAAATCCAAAAAAGGAGGAAGAACAAATACAGCAAGAGACTGAAGCCACCAAGTCAGGAATGTGGAAGTTCGTATTATAGAAATCATTCAACACTTAAAATAGCTATGCTACTCATTATCCTGTAAACAGCACTTTTCCACCTCATTGCAATGAATAGTAGTGCTGCACATCCAGGGGTGCAGAAATTTTAGCAGGAGACGAGTATTTGGAACACTACAAATCAAATAACTTTGTACTTACAGCATAAAAGACTAGTGGTGAATTATACATTTATAAATATCTTATCATCTACACATAAAGATCAGTCCATCTCTTAACATCAAAGAAATTACTTATCACATATAACTGTAGCTAACAAAAAATTTTAAATTATGTATGGCATAAAATAAGATACAAAAGTAAATGACAATGGCATACCTCCAAACAAATCACTTCAGGCCAATACATTAACTGAATATTGAAAATTTGCTGAAACATGACTTTAAAATCAAACTGTAGGGGAGATACTGAAGTACAAGAAACCTGTTTATTGTTGTAAAATATTTTAATAAAGTATTTGAGCTTCTGAATTTTGGCTCTTCTTTTTTGTTCATGCCTAAAAATTAAACAAACCTTTAAATCACCCTTAAAAAGTACAACAGACATAACATATTGTTCTTTCAAAATGTATATTAGCATGTTAAACAGAAGATAATTTCAGAGGACAAATGTTATCTTTACATCAAATAACACTTGTCTACATGTGGATAAAAGTTTCTTCTTCCCAGTCAAATGTTTTTAATGAAAGAGATGTACTCAAAATATGTATTCAAAAATAGAACTAAAATCAAGGTCCTATAAATCATTCAGCTCTTATTTTACTAAATTACAATTTAAAGAGATTACAGCACATATCTACCAGATGTCTTATGAGAGGAAAAAACTGAGGGGCTTGGGAATGGGGAGGGGAGGTTGAATCAAGAATTTAAAAATATTTCCTAACTTTAAAAAGACACACACATAGACTATATACACAAACACACAACCCTCCACACACCATGTTGTCAATAACTTCAAAGATGTGGCTCTAAGGCAACAGGCTTGCTGTGTCCTCTTAAAGGTCTTTGTAAATCACCTTAAGCTTTAGGCTGTGTACCCCTTTTCTCCAGGACAGTGGGGAGGCCACCCTATCTCTGAACCCAAAGATCAAAGGAGCAAGCCAGGTTACTTCCCTGGGGGAAACACTTGTTGAGGCATAAGTTGATCCCTTGACTGATATAAAACTCCTAGAGTCTTTCATTCGTTGTTTAATTCACTCAACCAATGTTTATTGAATATTTTCCTAGTGGCAAGAGAACTGATCTAATGATGTTTAAGACTTGACCCTCTTTCTCAGAAGGGAGAAGGCTGGGTGGAAGATAAACCCTAAGTTGAAACATAAAATCCCCTTCTGCTCCCCAATCTAATCACCCTATGGGCCCAGTATGTCCCTGCCTTATTATCTGTCCATCTCTGTAACCTTCTCAAAGAGTTAGGGGACAAAAGATTACCTATTCTTATCTCCCTGTTGGCCTCTTTCGACCATATTCCCAATTACCTTTCAAGAAATATCTAAGTAAAAGTTACCCTTTCTGTTGCCCTCTAAAAGTATTGATTTTAAAAATTTGAATTTGATTTTAAAAGTTTGTTGAATTGATTTTAAAAATTTGTTTATTCAGGGTTATAATTATCTTCAGGAAATCTTGCCTTTCTCTTCACCTGTAAACTCTTTTTAATTTTTCTCTAATCTCTGTATTCTTTTCACTTCTATCCTCTATATCGACATATTATTCTTTTCTGGAGAATGAGTTTTTATTCTACTGGGTGTGTTAAATAGATGACAGCAATGCTATCGGATGGCAATGGCTTTGCAAAGATATAAAACACCATACATCCTTTTGCCTTGACTTCCACTAAGTTTTAGTCTAGGTTTTCCAGCACAAATATCTTCTTCCTCCTCTTTCTTCTCTCTCCCTCCAACTTTCATTTTATGGCTCCTGTATTCTTCCCCTTGTTTAGATAGTCTTTTTATATGGGTGTCCTACATAATAAAGTATCTCAGGCCCTTTTTGGAAGAAGGTACAGAACAAATAAAGGATTTCTCCACTGCTGCACTTCTCTGGTCAGAAAGTGGGTGGTGATAATTGTGACTTTGTGTCTGCTGCCCTTTTGGTTGTTAATGTAAGCATCCATTCACTCATTTAATATATATAAACATTTATTGATTACCCAGTATTTTCCAACACTGCTAAATGATGCACATTCCCAATACTCAATGATGGACTGGTACCAAGTGTGCCATGGGATAGAGATGTTGAAAAATTAGACCTAGTACTCTAAGTTGCCATATCCTCTTTAAGGGAGATGGGATCCATAGGCCTAGTAGATGGAGAAATGGGGTTACCTATGATGTCTGTTTTTGCATAATGTTCTAGGCATAGAGAGAAAACATTACAGCTCAAGGAAGAAATCACAACTGTGAAGTAAAGAAGTTTGTAATGTCAAAGAAGAAAATTGTTTAGGGGGCCCTCTTGATGTGAAATAGTTTTTATGAGAGCCAGAGTTCCTTTAACAAGCAAAGACAATGGTATATTACTTTTTACAGTGCCTTTATATCTCACCTATTTATACCTGAACGAAAATTACTAACATAGCAAAACAAAACAAAAAAACCCTGCAAATTATCAATATATGAAGACTAGCAGTGAAGATATCACAGTTTCTATAGAACACCAAACTGGTTTATGTCCCACCTCAGGCATGTATTAGATGTGTGAACCTGGGCAATTTAACTTCCCATGAGCTACATTCCTTCTTTAAGATGAGGATAATATGGAACTCTATAGAGTTATGGTGACAATTAAATATGAAAATGTGTTTTTAAAAACTTAGAGTGCCTGGCATATGGTACTCACCCAAGAAATCCCACTTTATTATTAAAAACAATCCAATTAATAGACAATATATAATAAATAAATAATTATTTAAACATGCTTACAAGGAACACTTGGATAAGCTTGTTAATTCTGCAGTGAAAGAAAGTTGTGGCCTCAAGGTAATTGGCTTTATTCTTTCAATTTCTGTTTCGTCTGAAGCTAGATATGAGAGGCTCTAGAAATCAAAAAATAAATATATGATTTGCCATGTACATCCCTGTGTAGGACATTTATTCTTAAAATTCATTTATTTCTTGTATTTGTCAGTTTGTTGGATAACTTTTAGAAATACCAAGATTTCACATTCTATCAAAAAATAAAATATTATAACTAGTTGAGTTTAATGTTATTTTGCAATATAAATACCTCCAGTTTTTTCCCATTCTTAAGTTCTTTTCCTTCATTTTTCTTCTCAGTTTCAGACATTTCTGAGATTTGCTCTTGTTCATCACATTTATTCATTTTAATCCTAATTAATAATAAACAGAATTATTGAAAGCAGAAATAATGGAGGTATTTGAGAGTTGTTCGAGATTTTGCCAACACACACACACACACACACACACACACACACACACAAAACCAATCTCTTACAAGTAATTTTACATTCTAAGGAAATTACCAATTTGATAAATATTTAAAAAACTTTATAAGCTTGTTCTCGGCTTTCAGATATTTCTCCCTACTCAGTAAATTTACCATTAGTGTTTACAGCCCTTTCTAAGGGCATCAAGAAACCTTTCCTCTGGTGAGAATAAGTAACAGGGGAATGGGGAGATAAATATTCAAGGACACATACCCTGTTTCCTCTCATTTTTCTTTCTCTCATATTTTTTAAGCTGTGAGAACCTGAGCAGGTATAAGGGCAGGTGATCATGGTGATATTAAGTAGTAAATCATAGTTGGTGTTTATGCATAAACAGTAAACAATTCATGGCATTAGCACTATTGCCACTGCTGCTGCTACTACTACTACTATTACTACTACTACTAGCTAATCCTTATATAGTACTTACTAAGTATGTGCCAGGCAATAGTGTAAGTACTTTACACGTATTGACTGATTTAATTATCACAACCCTATGAAGTAAGTACTATTATTCCTCTTTTATTAGTAGTTCAATAAAATCTCAGTTATCTGAACAGTGTCAGAAAATTATTGATGTAGGAGTCAAGTTTTTCTGATAGTGTAAAAATTTCTTGTTTTCAGTATAAGGTTTTGTTTTCCATTTTAATCATTTAAGAAGGAAATCCTTTGGTAAAATATTACATGCTCTGTTGGGAATGTAAAATGGTGCAGCTGTTTTGGCAAACAGTCTGGCAGTTCCTCAAAAATGTTAACTACAGAGTTACCATATGACCCAGCAATTCCACTCATATACCCAAAAGAAAGAAAAGCCTATGTCTGCATATGTGAGGAGTGACTGCTAATGGGAAGATGGTTTCTTTAGGAGGTGACAAAAACATCCTAAGATTAAATTGCGGTGATTGTTGCACAATTCTGGGAATTTATTAAAAACCACTGAACTGGAGACTTTGAATGGGTGAACCATATGGTATGTGAATTATATCTCAAGAGAGCTGTTTAAAAGGTATTATATGCTTTTTGCCTTCTGAAATAGAATATAGGGGACTAAGTGCAGATATTATCTATATGGTAGTATCTTGGGCTGAAAACCCAGCCCCATTAATGGCACTGCAGAATCTGGGTAAATTCCTTAAGAACTCTATGCCTCACTTTTCTCATCTGAAAATTAGGTTGTTGTGAGGATTAAATGCACTAATTTAAGTAAAGTGCTCAGCCCAGGACTTGGAGTAAAACAAACACTTAATAAATATTATTATTATTTTCTTCGGATTCAGGGCAATCAATACGACATCAGTAAACTTGCTGTTCTTTAATACAATGGCTTTTAACCTTTGTTACATATTAAAATCACCAGGGAAGCATTTTAAAACTCATGATGTCCAGACCATACCCCATACTAATTAAATTAGAACAGTCATTTTTAGAAATTCCTAACTGATTTCAATCTATAATAATTTGGGGAATAAGTGTTACGAGTAACTTAGACAATAGGTGTTATACCCAGATTTTCTTCTGAGGGAAACTATTGAAGCAGGGTCTATAGCTTCCTCCTTTCTATTCTGAGCCAAATGACTCTGGGAAATGATGAAGGTCCTGATGCTATTTTATCAAATGTTGTTGCATTTCCTGCTTACATAGCTTGCACTTTCTTTCTCATTTTAAGTTTCTTTGGCAGTTATCTGAATCTTCTCCAGGTAGGCAGTGCCAAACAGAGAGCACAAGTGAAGACAATATAAGAAATCTGGATTCTCTGTGTTATTTGCCAGTGCTGTAGTTTGGGTTCAGGGGCAGAAGAAAATACAATCTATCATCTATAGCGACTGACCCACCCAGTCTCTCTAAGCTGAATGCAGTGTTGCTAACAGTTAACAAGGAGAGTTTGCCACCTGAACGAGAAGACAGGGCTATCTCCTCAACTTCCTGTTACCTCATTTCTGCCGCTGTAACTTTATAAAACTTGCTCTAGCTGAGATTATCAATAACCTCCATGTCAGGAAATCCAGTGAACATTTTTAGTAGTGAACTTCACTGATAATAACTGCTAACCACTTCCTTCTACTTAAAATACTCCTGTTTCCTTGCCTCTGGGGCAAAATACTCTAACGGGTGCTTCTCTGTCCCTCCTCTGGTTTCTCCTCCTCTACCATGCCATTCAAAGCAATTTCTCAAGACTCAGTGCTTGGGGTCTCTCCTCATCTTATTCTCTGCCTTCTCCCTAGGCAGTTTCATGCACACCCATGGCTTCAATTATGCTTATTTACTGTGTCACAGACCATGCACGTAGCTGCCCACTCAATTACCTTATTTAGAGATATCTCAAAGGCATATCAACTTCAACATGCCCCAAACCAAATACATGACGAAATGATAACCTGAGCTCAGTGTCTAGGTACCAGGCCTTCTTATCATGAGTACTATCTTTCCAGGAAGCCTAGCTACAAGTTTATTCAGTTAGGGCTCACAAGGACCAGGTATGTTGTGAGGTCAATAGTGGTAAAGTTGGCCAGGAAACAGTTCCGAGGAACATCTTCAAACAGATAGCTTCTCCAATTGATCAGAATGATATTTTTAACTGCTTAAACTAAATGCCCCAATTTAGGGTCACTGGGGCTACCCCAGCTGGGGCCAGCCTGGTGACTGACAGTGTGGTATTTAGCTGAGAGGCAGTCTGGAGAGACAAATTGAAGCCAAAGTCAGCTGGAAAAGTTGAATGTCAGGAAGAACAAACACAAAGGGCCTCAGGTGGGGCTGGAGTTCAGAATAGTGGCAACAAGAGTTAGTGGTGAGCAGGCAATATGGGTCCAGAGCCATTGTTCTGGGTAACCCTACGACATCTGTGTCTCCTCTTTGTTGCTCAGGGATTCATGATGCATGGGTGTGTGAGGTTGGTTTAAAGGATTAGAAGCAAGTCATTACATTTACATTAATTTAGGAGTCTAAGATAAAGTTCAATGCTGGGTTTAGGTTTAGAAACCGTCCAGAGCACTTTTGTTAAAAAAAAAAAAAAAAAAACTACTGCAGCAAGAAAAAAAAATCAACAAAATAAACATTTTTCTTATTTGCCTGAAATTATACTAACCTTTCATACTTTTGAAAACCAAAAGACCCAGGACAATGGGTTGTGGGGAGAAAATTAGTTATTTCCCTGTGAGTTCACAAACAGCTTAAGTGTTTGGGTTTGAATTATTTCCTCCATAAGACATGGTTTTATGATTTTATCAAATAATCTAAAATGCGTTTCATCTAAAGTATGATTGCTGGCTCCACATTTAACTTTATAAGAATGTGCCAAACTGTTTCCAAAGTGGCTGTACCATTTTGCATTCCCATCAGCAATGAATAAGTTTCTATTGCTCAGCATCCTTTCCAGCATTTGTTAATGTCTTGTCTTTTCTTTCCTTTAGTTTTGGATTTTAGCCATTCTAATAGGTGTGTAGCACTGTTTCTTTCTGGTTTTAATTTGCATTTCTCTATTGACAAATCAATAGAGAATGACATGACAATATTGAGCATCTTTTCATGTGTTCATTTCCCATCCATACACATTCTTGAGTGAAGTGTCTGTTCAAATCATTTCCCCATGTTTAATTGGGTTTTCTTAAGTTGTAAGAATTCCACTTTATATATTCAACATATATATGCATATATATATATATATATGTTTATGTATTTAAGATACAAATTCTTTGTTGACTACATGGAATAGTTGCCTAGCTTCTGGATGTCTTCCTAGTCACTGTGAATTTCCAGTTATTCATGAGAAGTTCCTCAGGAGACCAATAAGAGCAAATAGAGCAGCCACTTACCTCTGAACCTGTAACTTTATTGGGGTGCTTGTAAACCCTTGCCCATGTCGAAGAGATTTAATCTGTTTCCAAGTTCGTAATATACTGTGTAGTAGGGAGAGGTCCTTTCCCCTTTCTAAGTCATACATCTGTTTTGTATTACTACAACAAAAATGGCAGAGCAAAAATTTGTCAGTGGATTAGAACTAAAAGCCTTCAAAAGTGGCATGGAAGAATGTATTGCAATAACTCTTCTGAACTCCCTCCCCACCTTATTCTTTTCATTTTATACACATCTGAACGCCATCTTACTATATTTTATGTTACCCACTGCAATTCCATTAGAAATTTGTTCCTTTATGACTTAATGGCTTTTCACTATTCAAAAGTGCCCTGCTAAAATGCAAATGCTTCTGAGAAAGGAAATAGCCTAGCTAGAATTCTACGAGATTTTTTTTTCTTTTTTGAGAGAGTCTCGCTCTGTTGCCCAGGCTGGAGTGCTATGGCACGATCTCAGCTCACTGCAACCTCCATCTCCCGGGTTCAAGTGATTCTCCTGCCTCAGTCTCCCAAGTAGCTGGGACCATAGGCATGTGCCACCATGCCTGGCTAATTGTTATATTTTAGTAGAGATGGGGTTTTACCATGTTGGGCACACTGGTCTCAAACTTCTGACCTCAAGCGATCTGCCTGCCTCAGCCTCCTAAAGCACTGGGGTTATAAGCGTAAGCCACTGAGCCCTGCCAGAACGCTACAAGATTCTGAAGTACCAAAGAGAGAAGAGCAATGGTGGAAGAAAGGAGCAATAAAAGAAAGGGAGTGGAAAGCCCCTACGTTTTGATAATTGTGCTTGCTATCTATTCAGGATTTAGTTAATTTCTGGTTGGCACTTCACTATTTACAAAAAAGAAGATGCAAACCAGCTGCTGCATGTCCCTTCCAATACTTTGGTGCAGTATGATGCTCCCACAACTTTTATTTTGCCACCTAAGTTCTATTTGGACGGTTCCAAAGCCACTGGTGAGGGATTGGCTTAGATTAAGGATGCCAAAATCTCAAGAGGTCTTGATGGGAAAGGATGGTGGTAGCCTAGCACCATAGAGTTTGAGTCACTCTAAGAAAGTGCTGGGGAGGGATTCTTACTTAAAGTGCATGAAGATAGAAAATATGCATTTCAAGGCTGAGCATGGTGGTGCATGCCTATAATCTCAGCATTTTAGAGGCCAAGGTGGGGTGGATCACTTGACCCCAGAAGTTGAAGACCAGCCTGGGCAACATGGTGAAACCCTGTCTCTACAAAAGTTACAAAAACTAGCCAAGCATGATGGTGCACACTTGTAGTCCCAGCTACTCAGGAGACTGAGGTGGGAGGACCACTTGAGACTAGAAGGTTGAGACTGCAGTGAGCCGTGATTGTGCCACTGAGCTCCAGGCCAGGCAACAGAGGGAGACCTTGTCTCAAAAAAAAAGAAAATATGTATTTCAAAACTCAGTTTATATCACTTCCTCAGTACAGCCTTGCTTGAAAACCCCCACAACAAAATTAAATTTTCTTATATCTCTTCATGCTTTTCCTTTTAAATATTCATCACACTTGTAATAAGTCATTCAATGTCTCTTTCCCTGTGTGATTTCAAGGTTCAGGGTACTTCAGGATAACAGGTGTATATTGTAAATGTTACCAACATTTTTTGTAAGCCTCCATTACCTCCCAATCCACTCACATAGCTGAAGTGTGAAACAAGAATACTTAAAGGAGTGTGGTCATTTTGAGTAAATGCCATAAGAAGTGTGATGCAGTAGAAAGGATAGCAAGATACTTGGAGTCAGACAAGCCCAGTGTTAACTGTGGTTCTCCAACTTACTTAAGAAAACTGCTTAAGTGTTCTGGGTCTTCACATGCTCAATTTTTCTTCAACCTCCTGACACCTATTTGAATGAAGTACCTCTAAACTGAAAGCAATGGATCAAATTATTAATCAGAAAATAATAAAATAAATACACTATTCTCCATATATTTCCAGATTTTCTGGAAATTGTATAATGTATTTATTACACTTTTTTCAGGTTAACAATTAGAATATTGCTTCAAATTTAGAGGTACTTTGCCTAATAGGCTAATAATCATATTTTTAGAATACTGAAGTAACATACTGTTTTAAAAAAGTTTCTTCTGTGTTTCATAACTTTGCAAACACATTATATTAGTATGTTAAATTACACTAATCAACACATTGTATTAGTATGTTAAGTTACACTAATTAATTTCTAATGTTGAACCATCCTTGCATTCCTTGGATTATTCCAAATTGGAATAATCCAAATTTGGTTATAATGTATGGAATAACCAAATTTGGTTATAATGTATTATTTGATAAAATTCTGTTTAGTACATTAGTATCTATGCTCATGAGTGAAATTCAGTTGCAATATTTTGATACAGTTGCCAGGTTTTAATTTCAAGGATACTGTAACCTCATTAAACGAGCTGAAAATGTAGCCTCTTTTTCTTTTATTTGAAAGAGTTTGTGAAGAATAGTAGTTATCATTAAATAAGAGGTTGTGAAACTTTTTTGTGCATCAGAATCACCTGGAGGGCTTGCTAAACACAGATTACCAGGCCCTACCTGTAGAGTTCCCGATTCAGTGGTCTGTGGTAGACCTGATAATGTGCATTTCTAACAAACTCCCAGGTGAAGGTGATGATGCTGGTCTGGGGACCATACTTTGAGACCCACTGCTTTAAACGTTCTAGAAAGTACTCTAGTCATCTGAGCCTGGAGTTTTCTTTGCAGAAAGGTTTCAAATTAATGGTTTGATTTCTTTAACAATTATTGAATTACTTAAGGTTTTTTTTCTTGTCTTTCACTTCTTGAATATGTTTGATTAGTTGTATTTTGTGTAGATTTGTCTTTTCCATATAAATGTTTACATTCTTTAGCATAAAGTTATTTAAAATATACAGCATCTATAGTAATGTTCCTTTTCCTTTCCTGACATTGTATATTTGTGCTGTCTCACTTTTTCCACTTGATCAGCTTTCCCAGAGTTTATCAATTTTTATCCAACTTTTGAGTGTACTGATTTTCTCTATTATGGTTTTATTATTAATTTCTGTTTATCTCTTTGTTATTTCATTCCTCTTACCCTTTATCCTAATTTCTTTTCTTTCTCTCTATCTTCTCCTTTTGAATCTCCTCCACTGAATATGTTGGTCCACTTAATGGTGTTCCACAGGTCTCTTAGGCTCTGTTTGTGTTTCTTCAATATTTTTTTCTTTCTGTTGCTCAAATTCAATGATTTACATTGTCCTATCTACAAGATCACTAATTCTTTCTTCTGCCTGCTGTAATCTGCCTTTGAATCTCTCTAGTGACTTTTTCATTTCAATTATACTTTTCAGCTTCATTCTCTTTTTCAATTTTCTATCTCTTTATTGTTACTTCCATTTTGTTTATATGTGGTTTATTTAATTAATTAATTAATTTATTTATTTACTGAGACAGAGTCTCACTCTGTCACCCAGGCTGGAATGCAGTGGCACAATCTCAGCTCACTGCAAGCTCTGCCTCCCAGGTTCAAGCAATTCTCCCACCTTAGCCTCCAGAGTAGCTGGGACTACAGGTGCACACCATGACACTTGGCTAATTTTTGTATTTTTAGTACAGTTGGGGTTTCACCATGTTAACTACGCTAGTCTTGAACTCCTGGCCTCAAGAAATCTGCTCACCTCAGCCTCTCAAAGTGCTGGGATTACAGGCTTGGAGCCAACACGCCCGGCCTATTTTGTTTATGCATGGTTTAACGTACGGTTTTCTTGACTTTCTTGACATCTTTCTTTAGTTCTTTGAGCATCTTTATGACAGTTGTTTTCAAGTCTTTATCTGGTAGATCTGCCATTGAGTAGGTCTTTATCTAGTAGGTTTTTTTTTTTGGCATAGTTTCTGTTGATTTATTCTTTTCCTTTGAGTTGGCCATACTTTCCTGTTTCTTTGTACACCTTTGTGTTTTTTTGTTGTTGAAAACTGGACATTTGAATCTAATAATGTGGTAACTCTAGAAATCACATTGTCCTCCTTTCCCAGGGCTTTCTGTTTTTTGTTATTGTTATTTTTTTTTTTTTAAATCATGGCCAGGTGTGGTGGCTCACACCTGTAATCCCAGGAATTTGGGAGGCCAAGGCAGGTGGATCACCTGAGGTCAGGAGTTCGAGACCAGCCTGGCTAATATGGTGAACCCCCATCTCTACTAAAAATACAAAAATTAGCCAGGCGTGGTGGCACACACCTGTAGTCCCAGCTACTCAGGAGGCTGAGGCAGGAGAATTGCTTGAACCTGGGAAGTGAAGGTCGCAGTGAGCCGAGATTGTGTCACTGCACTCTAGCCTGGATGACAGAGCAAGACTCTGTCTCAAAAAAAAAAAAAAAAAAAAAAAAATCATTGTCAGCTGTCTCTGTGCCCAGGATCAGGCTGAGGTATAAACATAAGGTCCTCTCCAGTCTTTTCTGAGTTGATGCCTTTCCCTGGGTATGTGTGGTCACTTTCTAATTTTCCCTGTATATGCAGTTGCTTTTAAATGTCGTAGTCTTTAATATCTGGCTCCCAAAAGAGGAAAAAGAAACAATGAAGGGGAGGGGAAGGGGCACCAGCCTTTTAAATCCTCTGGAAGTCACTTTATCCAGAGATAGAGGGGCTTGCAACAATGGGGAAAAGTACAACAATAATGGTCCCCTTCTCATTGCACCTCTGTGGTTAGAAGTAAGCAGTGATCAGAGCACAGGTCCTCAATATTTGTAGGATAAGGTCCTTTTTGCTTACCTTGGGCTCCTGAAAAATGTGTGTGGATTACTCCAGGAACAGGTACACAGCTGCCTGCCATGGGGCTGAGGGGCAGGGGTGGGGGGATAGCTGCTACTGTGCTAAGAGCTGACATTGACCAAAATTAACCCCAATTTACCACCCAAGCCTTCCTCTGGATGCTGCAAGCCTTCAATAGACTCCAGAGTTCCAAAATATAGGCTTTTCATATCCATGAGTTCTGCATCTATAGATTAACCAATCTCAGATTTAAAACATTTTTTAAAAAGCCAATAAAAATAACAATACAAGAGTAAAAAATAATGTGAATAAACAAATACAGTAGAACAACTATGTACATAGCATTTACATTGTAGTGGGTATTATAAATAATCTAGAAGCAATTTAAAGTATATGAGAGGATGTGCATAAGTTATATGCAAATACTATGTCATTTTATACAAGGGACTTGAACATCCATGAATTTTGGTATGTGTAGGAGGTTCTGGAACCAATCCCTTGCAGATACTGAGGGACAACTGCAGTTACATCAGACAGGTTCTCTGCTAGTACAACTGTTGTCTGGGTGGGCAGATTAATTCCTAGTGCTTCTTCTTCTTCCATCTTCCTAGAAACTCCTTCCACTGAATTTTTAAATTTTCATTTTATATTTTTCAATTCTATAAATTCTCTTTGGTTCTTCTTATATAAAAATAGCTCAAGAAGTACTCAATTATTTACTATATCTTGTTTGTAGATCATATTTTCAAGCTTGTCTTTTATTTTTAAATCATATTTTAAAAAGTTATATTATTTTCTATATTTGATAATTCTATTTTCTTAAGCTTTTGCTTGTATGAGCCTTCTATTATTTCTACTGGCTCTTATTCATGCTGTCTTTGTGTGTGTGTGATAGAAGAGGTTGTAAACTGTAAGCTCATGTTCCTTAAAATGTTATATCTTTGAATAATCTCTGAGCTAGGATTAAAATTGTGCTCTTTCAGAAAAAAATATGTATTTGCTTTGCCTGTTGTTTGGTGCCAATGCCAATCTGGGACTACTTTAAGTTAAATTCTAAATCTGAGATAGATTTTAGGCTAAATAAGTTGTATAAACTCATGTCAGAAGTCTGAATGAAGGCTGTCTTCTGATTATGAATACCTTCCAGTGAATTTTCCTGCTTTTAGAGATTCTGTGACACATGAATATGTTTTGTCTTGGAATTACTTTCCCAGTTATTTCATACTTTCATAACTTCGCTTTCCAGTCTATAAGCCAATGGCTCCCAACTTGTAGACCATGCTTTTTACAGGGGTCCTTAAATTCACTACTTGTGAAATATTGTCTTTAGACTGAAATAATAATATATCTTGCACATGTGTAAATGTGCACTAATTCTCAAATATATACTAACACTTCAGATCAATATAATCCAAGTCAATTTCAAAGTACTCATGAACTCATAGTTCTTCAACTTTTTAAAACAAATCAATGGATGTTAAAACTAGAACTATTTTCACATGGCACCCCTGTGAAATATTTTTACACAAACGTGGGTCTTAAAAAAGATTGAAACCATTTCTGTAATCGCCTAAAAAGTAAGGATTGTGTACTTTTCTTTATCTTCCATAGCAAGTGCAGTACTTTGTCTAAAGAAGTTACTTAATGAATGCTTGATGAACATGAATGGCTCAAAACCTACCTTATTTGCCAATAATAATCTTGTAAAGATTTTCTGGTCAGCTGGTTAATTTCTGAATTTTCATTTGACAATTTGGTAGCATCTGTCAGTGCTTTCAGCTATAACAAAAAAAAAAGAGCTCTTCGGTATATTTTATCTGCCTGTTACCATTGATCCAGTTCACCTGTAGGTCAAGGTGTGTGCAGCAGCCGAACAAATGTATAACTTTGTGTGTATTATTGGCTTATCTTCCACAATATATTTTATATAAGCACCTTGGGGAGGAACTGAGAAAGGCCTCAATATCTATGTAGGCAATAAACATCAATTTAGTATCTAATAACATCTAGTATCTTGAACATTACTAGACAATCAATTCATCAATTGATATAAAGAAATGCCATTAGATCAAGAAGGCATATTGAGCACAGGTATCAATCTTATCTTTCACCTAAAATCCCATAGTTACAGAAAAAATATATGTCTGTCTTTATCCACATTCATATCTATATACATATATTGATAACTATCTTTATGGATAAGTGCATAATGTAGGAAAACAAGAAGAATAAAATCAAGAGAACAAGATATACTGCAGAAGGTATAAAACAGAGTAACATCCATAGAGCAATAGAACTGGAGGAAACTAGGCCCTAAAACACATAAAGGAGACGTCTGTCACAGTTGGAGGTAATTTGTGGGAACTTCAAGACTAGAGTCAATTGATATAAACTTTCACTGGAAGACATACAAGAAGACCTAAACATAGGAAAACAAACTATATTCCTGGAAGAGGAAACCCAATTTTTATGAGGATCAAATTTCTTTCAAAATTAATGTAACAGTACAACACAATCACAATAAAGATGGTAACAGGGTTTTAAAAATAGAAGGTGACAAGCTAATTCTAAGGTTCATGTAGAAGATAAAATCTGTGGGGTATCCAAAAACATTCTAGAAAAGAACAACAAGGAGGCACTTGTGCTATGACATATAATTTAATAATTAAATATGGTAATGAAACAGTACGGAACTAGACAAATATGTCATATGAGGAACAGACAGTCCTCAAGCAAACCTATATATTAATAAATATGTGCAGCTGGTATAGGATAAAGTTAGTATTTTAAATCAATAGGGAAATAAATGATGGTATTTGGATATTAGGCTGCTCTTTTGGGAGAAAGAGTGGAGTTGGAGCCCAGTCTTAGCTGAGACACAGATATAAACTCTAGATAGAAAAGGCTAGAAATAATATACACACATGCCCTTTGACACACACATATATACTCACAAATCCATATGTATACACATACACAAATACATATATAATATATACCATAAGGATATATAAAAGGAAGTCTTTATAATTTTGGTCTGTCAGACACTATTCATTGCCCTTAAAGGATCATTTTTCTTTGTTGGCAGAACACCAGTTTTGTTCAATTGCTCAATCATTTTCCATGTGTTTTTGAGGTAAACTGATTAGTGCAGCTATTTGCAGCCATTTCATTCTTGCCAATGAATGGCTTAGGCATTATCATGCAAAATAATTCTAGTCAATGAAATATCAGGGGAAATCTGCTGCAGGGCAGGAGAGAGATTGGAGAAGGCTCTCAATGTGAGACACTACGCTGCATATTGTGTGTCTGACCAGTATGCCTTCAACTGGAGCAGCCACTTGGTTAGCTTCCATAAGTAGAGCTAACCACAAGTCAACTTGCTGAAGATGAAGAGAAGGACAGAAAAGGCTAGGGTTGTTGATAATATCATCGAGACACCAAATTAACCAAACCTAGAGCTGCCCTAACTTGGACAATATGAGGTAATGCCTTTTCCTTATTGTCTGAAGTAACTGAGATGAAGTTCTCCATGAATTGCAACCAAAAATATGCTAATTGATAAACTTGGGGTAGAGAAGGTCTTAGGAAGCTTAGGAAGCAAACAAGAAAATCTAAAATTCACAAGGGAAAAGATGAACAGATTTGACGTCGTAAAAATGTAAAATGCTTGCCAAGCTCAGTGGCTCATGCCTGTAATCCCAACAACTCAGGGAGCTGAGGTACGAGGATTGCTTGAGGCCAAGATTTCAAGGTCACTCTGGCAATACAGCAAGACCTTGTTTCTTAAAATTTTTTTAAAAATGACCCGGGTGTTGTGGCATGTACCTGTAGTCCCAGCTACTTGGGAGGCTGAGTGAGAGCATCACTTGAGCCCAGGAGTTAGAGGCTGCAGTGAGTTATAATTGCACTCTGGGGGACAGAGTGAGACCTTTCTCAAAAAAGAATTTTTTTTAAATTTAAAATGTTTGCCAAAATATATAATAAAGTTTAAAAGCAAGTAACAGAATAGGACAAAAATATACAAAACATATTTAAAAGACATACTTCTTTTATGGACTTACATCTAGAAAAATATATATATTCTTTTTTAACTTGTGAATTAATTAAAAATAAAGCTAGAGAAAAATACTGAATATTGGTGAAGGCTCTGGGAAGTGGGCTCTGTCCTGCCTTGCCAGTGGAAATTCAAATTGGAAAAACATTTGGGAAAGGCATTTTATCACTTTCTAATAAAATTCAAACTGCATATACCCTTACCTTTGACCAGGCAACTTCACTTCTATGGATCTATCCTATAGAAGTTTTCATATATGTGTTCAAATATATAGGTACAAGGATATTCACTGCTTCATTATTAATCATAAAGAAATGACCTAAGTGCCATTGAATGGGAGTGATTAAATATATTAAAATAAACCTATATTATGGACTTATATATATATAGTGATACATAAAAAGTTCCAAGATAGAGTATTAATTTCAGAAAACCAGCTGGGCATGGTGGTGCACACCTGTAGTCTCACCTACTTGGGAGGCTGAGGTGGGAGGATTGCTTGAGCCCAGGAGTTTGAGTCCAGCCTGGGCAACATAACAAGATGCTGTATCTAAAAAAAACCAAGTTGCCAAATAATACATATGGTAAGATCCAATTTATGTTAAAAACAATCATGGCATACATACATATAGAAATACAGGGAGAGGAGAACTTTAAGGATGTACTCAAAGAACTAAAGGATGTCCAAACCATGAGGTGATGAACGAAGTAGGGCTTTCACATCTTGACACTTCTACAATTAATCTTTTCCAGGGAGAACGTATTCCGGTATTACTTGTACAATTTTTTAAAGCTAGAGGGAAAAAGAGCAGAAATCTGCATAGCTGAGCATCCTTTCTACTCTCTCATACTATCAGCAACATCCCTCTTTGTTCTTTAAGTGGAAGTCATACTCATATAAAGGAGCATATTTCAGTTTAAGAATTCCTTGGATGCCAATGACTCTTCCACTACTCTGAATTGGTTTGAAAACACTGGGAACAGGCAAAGCCATACATTTCACACCCAGGGACTAAATTATCCATGTTTAAGAAATTAATCTTTTAGTGGGAGGCCAATGAACATGCTCTGCACCACCTGGCCTTTTCTTCTCTTCCCCACTGCTCTTCTCTACCTCAGAAGAGAAGATTATGCACACTTCCAAGCACATTTCTCTTTTCACAATTTACTGGGAGTTAGAGAAAATGTTTACATTCACATAAGAGAATAAATTGAAAAAAAGCAAAAATCCACTGAGAAATTACATTTGGTTCCTAATACAATAATAATACTGAAACATATTGCAAATAATAACCCCAAAAGTTTTTATTTTATGCAGAGAGCCATGCATATACATGAAAAATAAACCCAGAGTCTATATATACTTTAATAGATGGTACTCTAATAAACTAAAATTGATATTGCTAAATCAGATTTTAAAGATTCTATAATATTGTGGGAAAAAATTCTATAAAGCAGAAATCTGTAGATCAAATCACTTTTTAAATGATCTGCATTTTAATCTGAGTTGTTTCCTTCATTCATTTAAAAAATGGCCATATTTTACTAAAAGTTAGAATATTCAATATTTATTTTAGGAAATCTTCTGATATTGCTAATGCATGGTGTTCATCTATTAAGTTCTCCCACACAATTGCTTCATCAAATCAAATAGATTAACTCCTGGCTGGGCATGGTGGCTCACACCTGTAATCCCACCATATAAGGAGGCCGAGGCAGGCAAATCGCTTGAGCCCAGGAGTTCAAGAGCAGCCTGGGCAACATGGCAAAAGCCTGTCTCTATGAAAAAGAAAAAAACTTTAGCTGGGTGTGATGGTGCACATCTGTAGTTCCAGCTACTTAGGAGGCTGAAGTGGGAGGACAGCTTGAGCCTGGGTTGAGGCTGCAGTGAGCCATGATTGAGCCACTGCATTGCAGCCTGAATGACACCTTATCTCAAAAAAAAAAATGGATTAAGTCCTGTGGGTTTTAAACTTATATTTTAAAAAGCACATATTAGCCGGGCATGGTGGCTCATGCCTGTAATCTCAGCACTTTGGGAGGCCGAGTTAGGCAGATCACCTGAGGTCAGAAGTTCGAGAACAGCCCGGCCAACATGGCAAAACCCCATCTCTACTGAAAATACAAAAATTAGCCGTGCATGTGGTGGGCACCTGTAGTCCCAGCTACTCAGGAAGCTGAGGCAAGAGAATCGCTTGAACTCGGGAGGTAGAGGTTGCAGTGAGCCAAGATCACGCCACTGCACTCTAGCCTCGGCGACAGAGCAAGACTCCATCTCAAAAAGAAAAAAAAAAGCAGATATTTATGAAGGTTCATAACAGATATTTATGAAGGTTCATAATTAGTTCATGTCCAGTTTATTGAGACGGCTTTGTGGCTCCATCAGGATTGAATGTTTCATTAAATAGCTTAGAGGGGATTTGATTTCAAATGTATTCATTAGTTGAATGAGACATACTATCAAAATACCTTTCCCAAGAGAACACTAGTCAACAAAATGCTCATATATCAGAAAACTAGCAGAGAGTTTAAATGAGGCACAAGTTTATAAAAGTAATCAGTGGGTACTCCTTCTATTTCTCTTCAGACTTCATATACCCCTCATGATGTCATGAGATGACTGTTTGGATTAATCATCTTCAGACCAAGACTCTTCAGGTTTGTTATGAGAGTCAAGATTTCTAATATTTTAATTAAAATACTTTATTATAAGACTTAAAACAGCCACATGGCTCTTTTCATTAATAATCATTTCAAATACTCTTCTTGAGTTATAGGACCAAGAATACCATTGATTAGTAAACCATTTGTGGTAAATAAATATCCCATAGGATATATTTAAAGCTTTCTCCCCAGCCAGTCAATTCCTACAGTTTCTTTTCAGAGAAACTGAAATTGAACCATTGTTCTACTTAAATATTTAGAAAATGTTCTGATAATTTGCTCTGCACAAGGAATTTTTTCTTTTTCAATATTAAATGTTTAGCTTTATAATGAAAGCCATTCTCACCTTCTCATAAAGCAGCTGAGATACATTCTGTTGCTGCCTGTCCTGAAAACATTCATAAAGTTGGAGAAGCCTTGCGCATAATACTTGCTCTTGATTGAAGAGATGATGATGGCTGAATTGCAAACCCACAATGTTGAGGTCTAACTGGTATATTTCCCTTGAACCTTCCATTTTGTTCATAAATGAACTTCCCAGGTCATATTTTACTGCCTTTTAAAGAAAAATAAGTGCACAATGTTAATTTGATTCAGTTTCTTTTGAAATTATAAGTAACTTTTCCTTACAAAAGTAACATTTCAATTGTAGGAAAATCAAGAGATATAGAAAAACAAAAAATAATAATTTGATTCCTTTTCCTTAAATTGATTATGGCCCTTAATTTCATCAAATATATTTATATTACAGCATTTTAATCATCTTACTATTTTTTTTTTTAATTTTTTTTTTTATTATACTCTAAGTTTTAGGGTACATGTGCACATTGTGCAGGTTAGTTACATATGTATACATGTGCCATGCTGGTGCGCTGCACCCACTAACGTGTCATCTAGCATTAGGTATATCTCCCAATGCTATCCCTCCCCCCTCCCCCGACCCCACCACAGTCCCCAGAGTGTGATATTCCCCTTCCTGTGTCCATGTGATCTCATTGTTCAATTCCCACCTATGAGTGAGAATATGCGGTGTTTGGTTTTTTGTTCTTGCGATAGTTTACTGAGAATGATGGTTTCCAATTTCATCCATGTCCCTACAAAGGACATGAACTCATCATTTTTTATGGCTGCATAGTATTCCATGGTGTATATGTGCCACATTTTCTTAATCCAGTCTATCATTGTTGGACATTTGGGTTGGTTCCAAGTCTTTGCTATTGTGAATAGTGCCGCAATAAACATACGTGTGCATGTGTCTTTATAACAGCATGATTTATGGTCCTTTGGGTATATACCCAGTAATGGGATGGCTGGGTCAAATGGTATTTCTAGTTCTAGATCCCTGAGGAATCGCCACACTGACTTCCACAATGGTTGAACTAGTTTACAGTCCCACCAACAGTGTAAAAGTGTTCCTATTTCTCCACATCCTCTCCAGCACCTGTTGTTTCCTGACTTTTTAATGATTGCCATTCTAACTGGTGTGAGATGATATCTCATTGTGGTTTTGATTTGCATTTCCCTGATGGCCAGTGATGATGAGCATTTCTTCATGTGTTTTTTGGCTGCATAAATGTCTTCTTTTGAGAAGTGTCTGTTCATGTCCTTCGCCCACTTTTTGATGGGGTTGTTTGTTTTTTTCTTGTAAATTTGTTTGAGTTCATTGTAGATTCTGGATATTAGCCCTTTGTCAGATGAGTAGGTTGCGAAAATTTTCTCCCATGTTGTAGGTTGCCTGTTCACTCTGATGGTAGTTTCTTTTGCTGTGCAGAAGCTCTTTAGTTTAATTAGATCCCATTTGTCAATTTTGGCTTTTGTTGCCATTGCTTTTGGTGTTTTGGACATGAAGTCCTTGCCCACGCCTATGTCCTGAATGGTAATGCCTAGGTTTTCTTCTAGGGTTTTTATGGTTTTAGGTCTAACGTTTAAATCTTTAATCCATCTTGAATTGATTTTCGTATAAGGTGTAAGGAAGGGATCCAGTTTCAGCTTTCTACATATGGCTAGCCAGTTTTCCCAGCACCATTTATTAAATAGGGAATCCTTTCCCCATTGCTTGTTTTTCTCAGGTTTGTCAAAGATCAGATAGTTGTAGATATGCGGCATTATTTCTGAGGGCTCTGTTCTGTTCCATTGATCTATATCTCTGTTTTGGTACCAGTACCATGCTGTTTTGGTTACTGTAGCCTTGTAGTATAGTTTGAAGTCAGGTAGTGTGATGCCTCCAGCTTTGTTCTTTTGGCTTAGGATTGACTTGGCGATGCGGGCTCTTTTTTGGTTCCATATGAACTTTAAAGTAGTTTTTTCCAATTCTGTGAAGAATCATCTTACTATTAACTATTGTAATCTATCTCAGTATTGTGTGCTGGTGGAGTGGAAGTTGGACTTTCAAGTTATAAAACCAAAAATAATTTCCTATAGAAACACTATGACAAATGGTGTTTAGAACCGTGGGCCAGAGTTAAATGAGAATTACTTATTAAAACATTGTTTATAAATGAATACACTGGTGATCCTCTGGGAAATTATCTTCAGGAGCCTGGGCCCTCTAAGCAATTCCCATAAGAAGAGCACCTGTTTTTGTACATGAGATTGTCTCCATTTTGATACCAGATTGTCCTTAAATTTCTGAAGTCTGTAGGCTTTAGATCATATGGAAGATGATTCAACTGTTTTAGTCCATCTTTTTTTTTTTTTATTTCTTGAGACGGAGTCTCACTGTGTCACCAGGCTGGAATGCAGTGTGCAGTAGCGTGATCTCAGCTCACTGCAACCTCCACCTCCCAGGTTCAAGCGATGCTCCTGCCTCAGCCTCCCAAGTAGCTGGGACTACAGGTGCATGCCACCACACCCAGCTAATGTTTGTATTTTTAGTAGAGACGGTGTTTCACCATTTTGGCCAGGATAGTCTTGATCTCCTGACCTCGTGATCTGCCCACCTCGGCCTCCCAAAGTGCTGGGATTACAAGTGTGAGCCACTGCACCTGACCACCTTTTTTTTAAGTAAAAGCAAGTTTATTAAGAAAGTAAAGGAATAGGCCGAGTGTGGTGGCTCATACTTGTATAATCCCAGCATTTTGGGAGGCCGAGGCAGGTGGACCACCTGAGGTCAAGAGTTCGAGACCAGCCTGGCCAACATGGCAAAACCCCATCTCTACTAAAAATACAAAAATTAGCCGGGAGTGGTGATGGGTCCCTGTAATCCCGACTACTTGGGAGGCTGAGGCAGGAGAATCGCTAGAACCCAGGAGGCGGAGGTTGCAGTGAGCTGAGATCACACCATTGTACTCTAGCCTGGGTGACAGAGCAATACTTTGTCTCAAAAAAAAAAAAAAAAATATATATATATATATATATATATATATATATTTTTGAGTCCACTATTTGGAATTTATGCACATGTTTGAATATGCATGTGCTCAATATCATTGGTTTTCAGTAATGCAATTTACGAGGGTTGGTGAGTTACTTAGCATATGCAGCCTGATTCATCAATGCCTAGCCACTCCTGATAAAAGCCATGAATGCATCAACCCAAATAGGAGCACACTGAGCCCACTCTCTGGATCAGTCTGGTGTAATATGATATGCTCTTCAGTCTGTGCCATTGCTATTACACCTAATGTTGTCCCACCCCTAACCTGGTGTGGCAGACCCAATGCTCCTCAAGGACTGAAAGCCATCTGTACGGTGCCTAAATCTCTGCCTCCTTATTTTTTCCTGAGTTAGGAACCTTTCCTTCTTCCTTACTGGGTTTCAGGGAGGCAGACAAACAGCAATAAAGCTTGTTTATGGCTGGTAAGTCTTTGTTCTTTATGTAAGAGCCAACCCATAAAAGGGGAAACCTGCTCTTGATTTCACCTGAGAGATTTAGACAATTGGTAATAAGTTGGTAAATTGGCCATTAAACAGGAAAGAAAACACCAAGGAAAAATCATTTTCCATTTAAAACAACTAAATTGTAAATGAACTTTTGAAAATTAAAGTTCCTAAGCTAGAGAATCCTGTCTTGTTAAGCAGATCCAGCACTGGTTGAATAACTGTGTTGCTCAGTTGCTTTGGGTTTCTAATGGAGTGACACAAGCCTCTGCCCTTGGTCCTGTCCTCTTCAGCACCTACTGACTACAGTGCTAAGAAGCTAGAGGAGGGTAAATGAGGTGGTGGAATATCTAACAACAACCAAAGGAGGCAATTTAGACTGGAGAGCAAAAACTAAAGGTGGAAGTGACTGTAGGCTTCAAACATTTGAGGAGGTGTCACATAGATGAAGTACTTTATGTGTTCCTTATGGCCAAAAAGGGTCAAATAAGTAGAAGTGACCTGGAGACAGACTTTAACAACAGAAAACAAAGAACAATTAGAACTGTCCGCTGGGCGTGG
This sequence comes from Homo sapiens, assembly GCF_000001405.40. Taxonomy (NCBI): domain Eukaryota; kingdom Metazoa; phylum Chordata; class Mammalia; order Primates; family Hominidae; genus Homo; species Homo sapiens. The sequence continues at coordinate 95,946,071 of NC_000010.11, read as the reverse complement.
TGGCTCACGCCTGTAATCCTAGCACTTTGGGAGGCTGGGCGGGCAGGTCTTCTGAGGTCAAGAGTTCAAGACCAGCCTGGCCAACATGGCAAAACCCCATCTCTACTAAAAATACAAAAATTAGCCAGGCGTGGTGGTGCACACCTGTAATCCCAGCTACTCGGGAGGCTAAGGCAGGAGAAGTACTTGAACCTGGGAGGCAGAGGTTGCAGTGAGCTGAGACTGTACCATTGCACTCCAGCCTGGGCAAAAAGAGTGAAACTCCGTCTCAAAAAAAAAAAAAAAAAAAAAAAAGTCCAACATTAGAATGAATTCTTTTGAGAGGTAGCAAACTCCCTGACACATTGGTGAAAAGCAGCACTTGACCGAGTGAGTTAAATAGGCTTCTAGAACTAGGTAAGTGTGTTCTACCAAAAGCATAAAGATTTGGGCAACAATGAATCAAAGGCTACATAAAAGCACAAAAACATCCAAGCTGGTTGACATATAAAAATCTATGTAAATATATAAAAAGAGTGCTAGAAATGGGAGCAGAGGGAAGGTCATAGTCAAATGGTCAGACGAAACTAATCAGTAAATAGCAGGCAAATAGGGTACCTGGGATAGTAGAGGTACAACAAGCTGTTAAAGTACCTGGCAGAGGCAGAAGCAAAGACAGGACTCTGATATGCATACAACTATTATATCTACCTTGGTTGCCCTTATATTTATTCTGGTGAGAGACCGTAAATCAGCTTTTCCTTCAAGGCTGGCTGGGCAACACGAAAAATGTGAAGAAGATAGAAGAGAAAGGCAGGTAGAGGCATTTGTCTGACACAAAATCTAGGACATGATCTGTTAAGGATGCTACTGTCTTAGTCAATTTGTTCTACTATAACAGAGTACCTGAGGCTAGGTAAATTATAAAGAAAAGAAATTTATTCCACAGTTCTGGAGGCTGGGAAGTCCAAGATTAAGACACCACATCTCATGTCTAGTGTGGACCTTTTTGCTGTGTCCGCTGGAAGGGAGGAATGCTGTGTCCTCACATGGCAGATGGTGGAAGGGCAAAAGCCCCTTTATAAGAGCACCTAATCCATTGACAATAGCGGAGGGGCCTTAATGGCCTAATTGCCTTTTATAGGTCCTACCCCTTAATGCTATCACATTGAAAAAACCTGAATTTTAGAGGAGACACATTCAAATCACAGCAGCTGCAAGAAAGAATTTTAAAACTCAATTTAGACAGTTGGTGAGATGGCCTTTACATTTTTTCCAAATTATAGCAGTCCATGAAATCCTGTAATTGTGCTTGGATGAAGCTAGAACAGATGCACTAAAAGAAAGTTACTTGTTCAGCCCAGTGGTTTCCAACTTGGGATTCTAGATTATTACAAAGGTTAACCTGAATGGTGGTTAATATTTCTTCAATAATTGTAAATTATGCATTTACTTTTTATGATGCATTTGTTCATTTATTCATTCATTCAACAAATTGTTGTTGTTTCAAAGGCCTCTCTCCTAAAAGCAATGATCCCAGATAATTACACCAAAATATCTCTGCTATATCTGGAGCAAAATTTAGATAAAATGCATTGTCACTATAAAGTCTAGAAATTATGCCACATAATATCAAAGAATAAGATAAATAGCAGGGCTTTTCCCTCCTCTTTTATTCTTTTATGTTTTTATATTTTAATGGTGATAGATTCTTTTATAGTAAGCCAACTGGGAAAATACATGAAGATATTGTAATGTTTGGTATGGTGGTACCATTTATAAAATCTTGACAACTGTGTTCCACTATGAATTAGGATGGGGCAGAGACATTGCTAGTCTCTCATGGTATGATAAGCACCTTGTAGGAAATAACATTTTCTAAGATTATGCCAGTGAACTTCTGTCAGTCTTTATCTTCTAAATTATATTAGGACCCTAAAAGCATACAGTGACTGAGGTGATGAGTTCTATTACACATAATATAAGCATTCGTTCAATGCTAGGCATTTGGGTAGGTGTTAGCAATAAATTATAAAACAAGCCAATAAAACAAAACAAAAACCCTGCCCTGCTTGCAGTCAAGCAGAGAAAATACTAGGTAAACGGAAAATATAGATACAGAATGAGCCTCAACAAAACTGTAATTCAGTCTTTAAATCAGTTAAGTCCCTGGTTGGATGAAGATGATCATCCTCAATACGCTTAACAAAGCAAAGGATGGAACATTTCTGGTGGAAGATAACATCATCTCGGGCTTCTATAATTTTTCATATATAATAATGTAGAATACAATTTTTAAAATCACCTGTCATAATAAGAGGCAAGACTAAATGAGCAAAACCAAGAGAAAAAATAGATAATAAAAAGATTCATAGTGATCCAAATATTGTAGTTACCAGATATGAACTTTAAAGTAGCTATTATTACTGTATTAAAAATAGCAGCAAAAACCCATGAAAAGACTAAATATATCTCAAGAAAATTAGAATATTTACAGAAGAATTAAATGTCGAATGAACACTTTCAAGCAAAAAATGTATTGAAAATATGTAAAATTAAGAAGTCAGCAGATGGGCTGGTCTGAAAATATGGTGGCAGTACAGTTTTAGATCTTCCCAAATTCCTATATTAAAAGAGGCAGAGCAACTAGACAGCAAAACCAAAAATCCACGGACAAGATTTATAATAGAAGTAGTTCTCAAGAAATGCCTCATGAAACCCAAAACACAAGTCAGTGAAGACAAATCATCAATATTCAGAAGGTCTGAATAGCATTGGCGATTGTGTGGGAGATAGCAGAGAGAAGCAATGGAACATCTGATAGACCTGACAAGAGTCCAAAAGAGCCAACAGAAATGCACCAGAAAGTACAGCAGGCCAACTTAAAAACAGCAGCTAAAATTGGAACAGGTTTTGTCTACTCCAATTGTGGATGGTCAGGTTAAGGACCGAAGGAGCTGCAGGAATCTAGTTCCCAGGAATTTTCAGAATGAGCCTTCACACTGAATAGAAACTACTGGGAGTGAAATCGAAACTAAGAAGTATGGGGACCACAGGAATTAAGGAAAAAGGAGGTCCAGAAAAAAATCTGGGGAAGGGAATAGAGCCAAGACATTTCAGAAATCCAGCCACAATATATTTTAACACAACACAAAAACAACAGGTCTGTGAAAATAGAAAAGTTATTTGAACTGAGCCTTTTTATAAAAGTTTAGGAAAAATAATTTTATATAAAAATAAGCAGTAGAAAAGGATCAAGATTAAATCCATCAAAGTTTCTATAAGAAAAAAGAATAAACAGCAAAATAACAGCCTACAGGAAATCAAAGCACACCAGAAAGGTATCCAAAACCAGATAAAAATAGAAATGTGGTTTTCACAGTGAGCTGAATTTATATGGAAGTTATATGACATTTAAAAACATAAATCAGAATTAAACTCAGAAATTAGGTGAAAGAAAATGGCAAAAAATTTAAAATTTAGAAATTAAGCCTATACTAGAAAGAACACAAGGGCAAATAAACACTACCAAATCTTTTTCTTAAGGTGAAGAAGGGGATATTTTAAACATATAAAAGAAATAAAGGGAAAGAACTCATTGGGTGGATTTAACTGGAGATAAAATATGGCAGAAAATTATATAAGTGAATGGTTAAGACAGGTCAATAGAATATATGCAAACTAAAATTCAGAGAGAAAAAAGAATTTTTTAAAAAGCAAAAGTAGAAGACAAATTAGAGAAAATATAAAATCTGAATGGTCCTATTTTTTATGGTAAAAAATACAAAACATGAGATCTACCCTCGTTTAAGTTTACAGTACTATTAACTATAAGCACAATGTTGTACCATAGATCCCTAGGGCTTTTTCATCTTGCATGACTGAAATTCTATACCCTTTGAACAGCAACTCCCTATTTCTCTCTTCCCCAAGCCCCTGGCAACCGCCATTCTACCTTCTGCTTCTGTGAAGCTGAACTACTTTGGATACCTCATATAAGCAGAATCATGCAGAATTTGTTCTTCTGTGATTGACTTATTTCATTTAGTATAACATCTTCAAGCTTCACCCATGTTTTAGCATATGACAAGATTTATTATTTATGGCTACATACACCATGTTTTCTTTATTCAACTGTCAATGAACAGCTAGGTTGTTTCCACCTCTTGGCTATTGTGAATAATGCTGCAATGAACATGGGAATGCAAATATCACTTCAAAATCTTAAATTTAATTTTTCTGGATAAATACCCAGAAGTGAGATTGTTGGATCATATTACGGTTCTATTTTAAATTTGCAGAGGAACTCCATACCATTTTCCATAGTGGTCGCACCATTTTACATTCCCACCAACAGTGTACAAGGGTTCTAATTTCTCCGCATTGTTGCCAACACTTGTTATTTTCAGGGGATTTTTTTTTTAAATAATGACCATCCTAACAGGTGAGAAGTGATATCTTACTATGGTTTTGATTTGCATTTCTCTGACAATTAGTGATGTTAGGCATGTTTTATATGTCTGTTGGCCATTTGTATGCATCTTTGGTTTTTTTTGGAGAAATGTCTGTTCAAGTCTTTTTCCCATTTTTTAATTTGTTACTGAGTTAAATCAGTTCTTTATATATTTTGGATTTCAATCTCTTATCAGATATATGGTTTGCAAATATTTTCTCCCATTCCATAGGTTGCCTTCTGTCTCTGGTGATTGTTTCCTTTACTGCAACAGATGCATTTTAGTTTGTTGTAGTCTCACTTCTCTATTTTTGTTTTGTTGCCTACGCTTTTGGTGTCATATCCAGGAAACCACTGCCAAGAACGATGTTATAAAGGCTTTCCTCCACGTTCTCATCTAGGAGTTTTATAGTTTCAGGTATTGTTTTTAAGTCTTTACTCCATCTCGAGTTGATGTTTGTGTATGATGTAAGATAAAGGTCTGATTTCATTCTTTTGCAAGTGGATGTCCAGTCTTCCCAGCACCATTTGTTGAAGAGACTATCCTTTCCCCATTGTGTAGTCTTGGCACCCTCTTGAAGATCATTTGACTGTATATACATAAGTTTATTTCTGGGCTCTTCATTCTGTTCCATTGGTCCATATATCTGTCTTTATGCCAGTACCATCCTGTTTTGATTAATGTAGCTTTGTAATATATTTTGAAGTCAGGAATATAAAGCTTCTACCTTGAAGGTCCTTTGTGGTTCCTTATTAATTATTGGATTTTTTTTCCATTTCTGTAAAAAAATGTCATTGGGAGTTTGAAATGGATTGCTCTAAGTCTGCAGATCAGTTTGGGTAGTATGGATATTTTTAACAATATTAAGTCCTCTAACCCATGAACATGGGATGTCTTTCCATTGACTAGTCCTTTATTTTTAAAGTCATAGATGGTCAGCTGACTAATGTCAAAGATGACAATGAATTATAATGAGAAAAGGTTTATTGATTTTTTTCAATAAATGGTACTAAGTCAACTGGATATCCATGTGGATGAAATGAAATATGACCCCCTACCTACCACTATACATAGAAAGTACCTTCCAGATGGGTGGTAACTCTAAATGAGAAAGGTACAACAATAAACTTTTTAGAATAAAAACAGAAGAATACTTTTGGGACCTGGAGTAAGCACACTTTCTTAAACAGGCTATAAAAGGTGCTAACCCTAAAGAAAAAGAAAATGGTAAATTATACTACATTAAAATTAAGAATATCCCATCAAAAAGCACAATTAAGAGTGATATGGTTTGGATCTGTGTCTCCACCCAAATCTCATGTTGAGTTGTAACCCCCAATGTTGGAGGTGGGGCTTGGTACAAAGTGATTGGATCATGGGGGTGGGTCCTTCATGAATGGTTTAACACCATCCCCTTGGGGTTGTTCTGGTGATAGAGTTCTCATGAGATCTAGTCATTCAAAAGTGGGTGGCACCTCCCCTCTTCTCTTTCTTCTTCCTACTCTAGCCTCGTGAAGTGCCAGCTCCCTCTTTGCCCTCCACCATGACTGCAAGTTTCCTGAGGCCTCCCAGAAGTTTCTTGAGGCCTCCCCAGAAGCCAAGCAGATGCCAGCATCATGCTTCCTGTACAGCCTGTAGAATCATGAGCCAATTACACCTCTTTTATTTATAAATTACCCAGTCTCAGGTATTTCTTTATAGTAATGTGAGAATGGACTAATACAGACAGTGAGAAAATTAGCCATAGAGTACATTATATGAGGGCTCACATCCAGAAATCAACACATCAATAAGAAAAAGCAGACAATCCAATAAGAAAAAAATGGGTAAAAGTCTTAACCAAGCTTTCATAAAAAAGGCTGTCCTAATAACCAACAGACATGAAAAGGTGTTCAGTTTCATTAGTCATTAGGGAAATGCAGATTAAAACTTCAATGAAATACAACTTATGTACATCAGAATGGCTATGATTTAAAAGACAGATAATACCAAATGTTGACAGGAATATAAAGCAGCTGAAACTCTCACACACTTCTTAGTTTGTGTATAGTTTGGTACAACCACTTTAGAAAATCATTTGGCACTATATAGTAAAACTAAACATATACAAACCTATAACCCAGCATTTCTACTCTGAGATATTTACCAACAGAAAATGCATACACACACAGTTATCAGAAGATGTGCAAATTTTCATGGTAGTGTTATTAGTAATAGTCAAAACTGGATGTAACTTATATCCATCAATAAAAGAATGGTTAATAAATAAAGGTATTTTTCATACTATGGAGTTCTATACAGCAACAGAAATGAACAAGCTATTGCTGTACACAACAATATAGAGTACCTATTCTATTATTCCATTTATATAAAATAGGTAAAACTAACAGACAAGAGTAACGTAGTGGTAGAAGTTATAATAGTGGCTACCTTGAGTATCATTCATTTATTCATTATTTTTGTAAAATTAGCACCATACATAATTTTGCATTCTGCTTTTTTCACTTCAGATTTTATTTTGAGCATTTCCCCATATCATTCAATATTCCTTGAAACTATAATTTTAAGGGCTATTTAACATTTCATCATGATTTAGACATTATATTAGTAGACTTAGTATCTTTAAAGGATAAATCAACACCACAAAACCACCAGCGATAATTGATATTACAAGAATTTTAACCATAATTACAAATAAATTGTTGTTGGTTACCTTCCTGTATATGGTCTTAAGTAATGGATTTAAAGGTTCCTTCCTTACATTTAGTCTGAAATTCCATGACTGTTTAATAGGTGTAGGTAATGACATTATTTCTCCACTTTCTCCAAACCAACATTTTCCCTATCAAAAATATTTAAGTATAGTAATTAAATATTTTGCTAAATAAGTCACATAGTAGCCAGTGTTTTAACTTGTTAGGTGGTGCACTTGCCTCTTCTAGTTTAAGCAGGCGATTTTCCATTTTGTTGCAGGTCTTTTTGTATATTTCTGGCTTTCTCTGAATATAGAATCCTTCATCTTCTAGAATACGTGGCATCATATCTTTTGGCAGTTTGCGCTGGTTAACCACTTTATAACAATAAAACTTAGATATTACTTTAAAGTCCAAAATATTAAATGGATATTGACCAAATAAGTAGTACAAACAACTATAATTACACCCTACTACTGAAGTCTAGCAGAAAGCCTCTCTCTCACTGTCTCTTACTTTCTCGCTCGCTCTCTCTCTCTATATATAAATACATATGCCTATATATGTACATTTTTTAAATGAAGAATGAGTTCTCTTAATCAGTTCCCTTAATTCAGGGAAGTCATGAAAAACAAATATAGAAAAGTTACTATAATTTTAGATCAGTATTTTTTATTTATCCAGCATACAATAAAGCTATTATCCCATAACATAATTCGTTAATGACTTGAATATTTTACTGGGAAAGAATGTTACCTGGAGAACTACTTGGTACAAAAATATTTGCCTTCTGTTTTTTTATTTGTTCTTGATCATCTTCATAGTCAGCAGCTTTTACTTTGAGTATATCTGTCAAAATGAATTCTTTCATAAACTCTTCCTCTTCACTCTCAGCAACATTTTGTAAATTAACACCAAGTGAAAAGCATTTGGGATAACTACGGTTTACTGGTCTCTGTTGAATACCAAAAAGGAAAATAAGTTTACATGCTTGTCTCCAATGATTAATATGCAAATAAATGAAATGTACTGGAACCTTACTGTGAACTGTGCGTCTGATCCTGCCACCCACAGAACAAGTTCCAGTTGAACTTGTGTTACAATGAAATTTCACTGAATTTAGAACTCATTTAAGGTTTAGTATTACACAATATGATTTTTCTATAGCCCATCTTTGCAATTCTTCACTGAAAGACTGCTGAAATAGCCCTTCCTCCCCTATGGAAAATGTTCTGAGATACTCAACTGTAATATTTCAACTACTGAGAATACACAGTGTAGGGCAGGGTCCAAAGATACCAGACCATGTGACCCTAAATCCTTTTTTTCCCCATCATTCAGAAAACAGTACCACCTAAAGTGCTGTAGAGTAGGCATGCTTTTTTCTACAAGGTATTCATGAAAAAAAAAAAGAAAGAAGAAAGAAAAGTAAAGATTCAGCATAGAAGTCTAGTAGAGTGATTATAGTGAAATTCTGATATATGATATATATAAAGGTTATAAACAATTTGAACATAGATGTGGAAACAGATACATTACTAAATATTAAAATGAATGTATCATACTCATAAATTTAATGAGTCTATTCATGAAAGCAAAATCATTATTTTGGATGATTTTATCTGTCTAATTTGAAATATACACATACTGAACAACAGAGACAGTGTGTGAGTCAGACAAAAATCCCTCAGTTTTCAAAAACACACATTTAGGGTAAATAATAAAATTTAAAAAGTTAATCACAGAATTCCTTTGACCAGATAATCCCTACATGGCCTCGATCAATACTGACAAAGTTAAATAAGTAATGTCATTAAACATCCACTAGGTTCATATAAAATCATATCATCATACCCTCCCTCCTATATCCCTGCCATGAAATCAGGATAATATTTTATATCCAGAAATCTTCATGATATCCTTTTCAGAATTTAAATAAAGTATGCCAACATCTAGGAGCAAGATTTGGCGGATCTCCACATGGGGGCTCTCTTTGAAGATCCCAGTCGTAGACTACAAAGCCTCTTTGCTCCAACTGGAGCTCTCATAACCAAGCTTCCTTTATAACACCCCTTGTGTGGGCCAGGGCTTTCCACCTGCCTTCAGAGCTAAGGTCTGCCCTGATGGTAGACTACGCTGGGCTCTCATCTTGGACTCTAGCCTCTGAGTTATGACTCTGTGGGTCTTTTTTTTATAAGCCCTACCCAATCTGCCTATATTTTTAGCTTGAGACAAGCTGTGATCTGGACCAATACAAGTCCTACCTGCTCAACTGTTCCTCACTTAGTCTGAGTCCAGCTGCTATCCCAGATCACTTTCTTGGTCTTCACTATGCAGCTCACAGCAGAGCAATGTGTGTGCTGTTGGCTATTGTGTGATAGGGTGAATGGGGTCAGAAGATATAAGTCTAGATGGATACAAGTGAGTTTTGTGCAGTAAAAAAGGGGTAGTGTCCCTGCCCCTTCTCACAGGAACATGCCTTGTTAACTGTGGTGTGACAAGCAGAACCTTCTGAAAGTAACCCCAGGCCTCACTCTGGGTTGCCCAGATGAGATATCTGGAACGAGGGCTCCCCTTTCTCCCAGCAGGAAGGTGCCACACTCAAACTCAGCCTCTTACAAAAGAAGTAGCATTCTCCTTTCTGTGATGGGGACAGTAGTCACTAGCTGCAGGGCAGATAGCTTTTCCAAACAACTTCTCTAAACAGCTCACATCTAAACCTTGACTTCCTCATACCCAAGAAGCCCATTTGCCCCACTCTTTACTCCTACTGACCTAATATCTTTATGCTTGCCCTACAAGAAGGAAAAGTGGCCACAGCCACAGCACCTAGCCCTGGCATACTCTGCTGGGTGGGAGGATCAGAGACACGGCCCGCTTTTGTTTTTGCAGAAAAGCCTATCTTAACCCAAATTGTGGGATGCTGGGAAGTCAGATGACTGATTAAGAGCATAGGAAAGTTTGATACCCATTTAATCAATATTCATTCAAATATTCATTGTGTGCCTAACATATTCCAGGAAGAAAATAAACAAATAGACACAGAAATATACATTAAGTGGTGATAAGTGTTATGAAGAAAAATAAAGCAGGGTAAGAGGATAGAGAATGCTGGGCTGGGTAGGTTGGGGGTACTATTTTAGATAGGGTTGTCAGGCATAGCATCTATAATAATATGTCATTTGAACAGAAATCCAAAGTTAGCGGGGGACACAGCTTACGGAAAAGGAAAGAGCTTTCTAGGCAGACACCTTGGTACAAAGGCCCTGAGGCAGGAGCTTGCTGTAAATGAGAAACAGGAAGGAAGCCAATGTGGCTGGTGTTAGATGACAGAGAGGAGAGTAGTGAAAAATGAAATAAAGTCAGAGAGGTGCTAAGGGGACCAGGTCCCCCCTGTAAGGACTTTTATTGTGAATGAGGTAGGAAACCATTAGAAAGTGTAAGCAAAAAAAAAAAAAAAATCTGTCTTAGATTTTAACAAGGTCACTGTGATGACTGTATGGTATGGAAAATGGACTACAGGGACAATAGTGAATACAGAGGGAGACAGTGGCAGTGATTCTGATGAGAGGCTATGGTGAAGTACCAGAGAGGCTGGTGAAAAGTGGGTCTGATATGGGAATACTTTGAAGGCAGAACCAACAGGGTTTGTAAGAAATTGGATTTGAAGCATTTGAGTAAAAGGAAATCTGAGGATGAGACCAAGGTTCAACTGAGCAACTGGAAAAATGGAATTGCCATTTACTACTGTGATTCTGTTTATATAAAACTGTGTGGCCAGATGTGGTGGCTCACGCCTGTAATCCCAACACTTTGGAAGGCCGAGGTGGGCAGATCACCTGAGGTCAGGAGTTTGAGACCAGCCTGGCCAACACAGCGAAACCCCATCTCTACTAAAAATACAAAAATTAGCCAGGTGTAGTGGCACATTCCTGTAATCCTAGCTACTCGGGAGGCTGAGGCAAGAGAATCGCTTGAAGCCAGGAGACAGAGGTTGCAGTGAGCTGAGGTCATGCCACTGCACTCCAGCCTGGGTGACAGACCAAGACTCCATCTCAAAACAAAACAAAACAAAACAAACAAACAAAAAACTCTGTGGCTGGCAAGATGGCGGAATAGGAACAGCTCCAGTCTGCAGCTCCCAGCAAGACTAACGCAGAAGGCCGGTGATGTCTACATTTCCAACTGAGGTACCTGGCTTATTGCACTGGGACTGATTAGACAGTGGGTGCAGCCCACAGAGGGTGAGCAGAAGCAGGGTGGGGCACCGCCTCACCCAGGAAGCATAAGGGGTTGGGGAACTCCCTCCCCTAGCCAAGGGAAGCCCTGAGGGACTGTGCCATGAGGAACACTTTTCCCATGGTCTTCTCAACCTGCAGACCAGGAGATTCCCTTGGGGGCCTACGTCACCAGGGCCCTGGGTTTCAATACAAAACTGGGTGGCTGTTTGGCAGACACTGAGGTAGCTTCAAGAGGTTTTTTTGTTTGTTTGTTTGTTTTTTTTTTTTCATACCCCAGTGGTGCCTGGAACGCCAACAAGACAGAATCGACAGAACCGTTCACTCCCCTGGAAAGGAGGCTGAAGCCAGGGAGCCATGTGGTCTAGCTTTGTGGATCCCACCCCGACGGAGCCCCGCAAGCTAAGATCAACTGGCTTGAAATTCTCACTGCCAGCACAGCAGTCTGAAGTCGACCTGGGACGCTCAAGCTTGGTGGGGAAGGGGCGTCCGCCATTACTGAGGCTTGGGTAGGCGGGTTTTCCCCTTACAGTGTAAACAAAGCCACGGGGAAGTTCAAACTAGGCAGAGCCCACCACAGCTTGGCAAAGCTGCTGTAGCCAAACTGCCTCTCTAGACTCCTCCTCTCTGGCCAGGGCATCTCTGAAAGAAAGGCAGTAGCCCCAGTCAGGAGCTTATAAATAAAACTCCCATCTCCTGGGACAGAGCACCTGGGGAAGGGGCGGCTGTGGGCACAGCTTCAGCAGACTTAAACGTTCCTGCCTGCCAGCTCTGAAGAGAGCAGCAGATCTTCCAGCACAGTGCTCGAGCTCTGCTAAGGGACAGACTCCCTCCTCAAGTGGTTCCCTGACCCCTGTGCCTCCTGACTGGGAGACACTTCCCAGCACAGGTCGACAGACACCTCATACAGGAGAGCTCCGCTGGCATCTGATGGGTGCCCCTCTGGGACGAAGCTTCCAGAGGAAGGAAGAGGCAGCAATCTTTGCTGTTCTGTAGCCTCTGCTGGTGACACCCAGGCAAAGGGGGTCTGGAGTGGACCTCCAGCAAACTCCAGTAGACCTGCAGCAGAGGGGTCTCTTACAAGGAAAACTAACAAACAGAAAGGAATAGCATCAACATCAACAAAAAGGATGTCCACACAGAAACCCCATCCAAAGGTCACCAACACCAAAGACCAAAGGTAAATAAATCCATGAAGATGAGGAAAAAACAGCAGAAAAAGGCTGAAAATTTCAAAAACCAGAACGCCTCTTTTCCTCCAAAGGATCACAACTCCTCACCAGCAAGGGAACAAAACTGGACAGAGAATAAGTTTGATGAATTGACAGAAGTAGGCTTCAGAAGGTGGGTAATAACAAATTCCTCTGAGCTAAAAGAGCATGTTCTAACCTAATGCAAGGAAGCTAAGAACCTTGAAAAAAAGTTAGAGGAATTGCTAACTGGAACAACCAGTTTAAAGAAGAACATAAATGACCAGATGGAGCTGAAAAACACAGCACGAGAACTTCGTGAAGCATACAAAAGTACCAACAGCTGAATCGATCAAGCAGAAGAAAAGATACCAGAGATTGAAGATCAACTTAATGAAATAAAGCATGAAGACAAGATTAGAGAAAAAAGAATGAAAAGAAATGAACAAAGCCTCTAAGAAATATGGGACTATGTGAAAAGACCAAACCTACATTTGATTGGTGTACCTGAAAGTGACGAGGAGAATGGAACTGAGTTGGAAAACACTCTTCAGGATATTATCCAAGAGAACTTCCCCAACTTAGCAAGACAGGTCAACATTCAAATTCAGGAAATACAGAGAATACCACAAAGATACTCCTCGAGAAGAGCAACCCCAAGAAACATAATCGCCAGAGTCACCAAGGTTGAAATGAAGGAAAAAATGTTAAGGGCAGCCAGAGAGAAAGGTCAAGTTACCCACAAAGGGAAGTCCATCAGACTAACAGTGGATCTCTATGCAGAAATCCTACAAGCCAGAAAAGAGTGGGGGCCAATATTCAACATTCTTAAAGAAAAGAATTTTCAACCCAGAATTTCATATTCAGCCAAACTAAACTTCGTAAGCTAAGGAGAAATAAAATCCTTTACAGACAAGCAAATGCTGAGAGATTTTGTTACCACCAGGCCTGACTTACAAGAGCTCCTGAAAAAAGTACTAAATATGGAAAGGAAAAACCAGCATCAGCCACTGCAAAAACATACCAAATTATAAAGACCATTGACACTATGAAGAAATTGCATCAACTAATAGGCAAAATAACCAGCTAGCATCGTAATGACAGTATCAGATTCACACAGAACAATATTAATCTTAAATGTAAATGGGCTAAATGCCCCAGTTAAAAGATACAGACTGGCAAATTGGATAATGAGTCAAGACCCATTGGTGTGCTGTATTCAGGAGACCCATCTCACATGCAAAGACACACATAGGCTCAAAATAAAGGGATGGAGGAAGATTTGCCAAGCAAATGGAAAGCAAAAAAAAGCAGGGGTTGCCATCCTAGTCTCTGATAAAACATACTTTAAACCAACAAAGATGAAAAAAGACAAAGAAGGGCATTACATAATGGTAAAGGATTGATGCAACAAGAAGAGCTAACTATCCTAAATATATATATGCATCCAACACTGGGGCACCCAGATTCATAAAGCAAGTCCTTAGAGACCTACAAAGAGACTTAGACTCCCACACAATAATAATGGGAGACTTTAACATCCCACTGTCAATATTAGACAGATGAATGAGACAGAAAATTAACAAGGATATTCAGGACTTGAACTCAGCTCTGGACCAAGTGGACCTAACAGACATCTACGGAACTCTCCACCCCAAATCAACAGAATATACATTCTTCTCAGCACCACATTGCACTTATTCTAAAATTGACCACATAATTGGAAGTAAAACACTCCTCAGCAAATGCAAAAGAATGGAAATCGTAACAGTCTCTCAGACCACAGTGCAATCAAATTAGAACTCAGGATTAAGAAACTCACTCAAAACTGCACAACTACATGGAAACTGAACAACCTGCTCCTGAATGACTACTGGGTAAGTATCAAAATTAAGGCAGAAATAAATAAGTTATTTGAAACCAAAGAAAACAAAGACACAATGTACCGGAATCTCTGGGACACAGTTAAAGCAGTGTTTAGAGGGAAATTTATAGCACAAAAAGCCCACAGGAAAAAGTGGGAAAGATCTAAAATCAACACCCTAACATCACAATTAAAAGAACTGGAGAAGCATGAGCAAACAAATTCAAAAGCTAGCAGAAGACAAGAAATAACTAAGATCAGAGCAGAACTGAAGGAGATAGAGACACAAAAAACTCTTCAAAAAATCAATGAATCCAGGAGCTGGTTTTTTGAAAAGATTAACAAAATAGACCACTAGCCAGACTAATAAAGAAGAAAAGAGAGGAGAATCAAATAGACACAATAAAAAACGATAAAGGGGATGTCACCACTGATCCCACAGAAATACAAACTACCATCAGAGAATGCTATTAACACCTCTACACAAATAAACTAGAAAATCTAGAAGAAATGGATAAATTCCTGGACACATACACCCTCCCAAGACTATACCAGGAAGAAGTCGAATCCCTGAATAGACCAATATCAAATTCTGAAATTGAGGCAATAATTAATAGCCTACCAACCATAAAAAGCCCAGGACCAGACAGATTCACAGCCGAATTCTACCAGAGATACAAAGAGGAGCTGATATCATTCCCTCTGAAACCATTCCAAACAATAGAAAAAGAGAGACTCCTCGCTAACTCATTTTATGAGGCCAGCATCATCCTGATACCAAAACCTGTCAGGGACACAACAAAAAAAGAAAATTTCAGGCCAATATTTCTGATGAACATCGATGCAAAAATCCTCAATAAAATACTGGCAAACCAAGTCCAACACCACCTCAAAAAGCTTATCCACCACGATCAGTGGGCTTCATCCTGGGAAGCAAGGCTGATTCCACATATGAAAATCAATAAACATAATCCATCACGTAAACAGAACCAATGACAAAAACCACATGACTATCTCAATAGATGCAGAAAAGACCTTTGATAAAATTCAACACCCTTTCATGCTAAAAACTCCCAATAAACTAGGTATTGATGGAATGTATATAAGAGCTATTCAGGACAAACCCACAGCCAATATCAAACTGAATGGGCAGAAGCTGGAAGCATTCCCTTTGAAAACTGGCACAAGACAAGGATGCCCTCTCTCACCACTCCTATTCAACATAGTATTGGAAGTTCTGACCAGGGAAATCAGGCAAGAGAAAGAAATAAAGGGTATTCAAATAGGAAGAGAAGAAGTCAAATTGTCTCTGTTTGCAGATGACATGATTGCATATTTAGAAAACCCCATCGTCTCAGCCCAAAACCTCCTTAAGCTGATAAGCAACTTCGGGAAAGTCTCAGGATACAAAATCAATGTGCAAAAATCACAGGCATTCTTATACACCAATAACAGACAAACAGAGAGCCAAATCATGAGTGAACTCCCATTCACAATTGCTACACAGAGAATAAAATACCTAGGAATACAACTTATAAGGGATGTGAAGCACCTCTTCAAGGAGAACTATAAACCACTGCTCAATTAAATAAAAGAGGACACAAACAAATGGAAATATATTCCATGCTCATGGATAGGAAGAATCAATATCGTGAAAATGGCCATACTGCCCAAAGTAATTTATAGATTCAATGCTATCCCCATCAAGCTACCATTGACTTTCTTCACAGAATTAGAAAAAAATACTTTAAATTTCATATGGAACCAAAAAAGAGCCTGGATAGCCAAGACAATATTAAGCAAAAAGAACAAAGCTGTAGGCATCACGCTACCTGACTTCAAACTATACTACAAGGCTACAGTAACCAAACAGCATGGTACTGGTACCAAAATAGATATATAGACTAATGGAACAGAACAGAGGCCTCAGAAATAATGCTACACATCTACAACCATCTGATCTTTGATAAACCTGACAAAAACAAGCAATGGGGTAAAGATTCCCTATTTAATCAATGGTGTTGGGAAAACTGGTTAGCCATATGCCGAAAACTGAAACTGGACCCCTTCCTTACACCTTATACAAAAATTAACTCGAGATGGATTAAAGACTTAAATGTAAGACCTAAAACCATAAAAACCCTAGAAGAAAACCTAGGCAATAATATTCAGGACATAGGCATGGGCAAAGGATTTATAACTAAAACACCAAAAGCAATGGCAACAAAAGCCAAAATTGACAAATGGGATCTAATTAAACTAAAGAGCTTCTGCACAGCAAAAGAAACTATCACCAGAGTGAACAGGCAACCTACAGAATGGGAGAAAATTTTTGCAATCTACTCATCTGAAAAGGGCTAATATCCAGAATCTACAAATAACTTAAACAAATTTACAAGAAAAAACAACCCCATCAAAAAGTGAGCGAAGGATATGAACAGACACTTCTCAAAAGAAGACATTTATGCAGCCAGCAAACATATGAAAAAAAAGCTCACCATCACTGGTCATTAGAGAAATGCAAATCAAAGCCACAATGAGATACCATCTCACACCAGTTAGAATGGCGATCATTAAAAAGTCAGGAAAGAATGGATGCTGGAGAGGATGGGGAGAAATAGGAACACTTTTACACTGTTGGTGGGAGTGTCTTCCACCATTGTGGAAGACAGTGTGGCAATTCCCTAAGGATCTAGAACCAGAAATACCATTTGACCAAGCAATCTCATTACTGGGTATATACCCAAAGGATTATAAATCATGCTACTATAAAGACACATGCACACGTATGTTTACTACAGCACTGTTCACAATAGCAAAGACTTGGAATCAACCCAAATGCCCATCAATGATAGACTGAATAAAAAAAATGTGGCACACATACACCATGGAATACTATGGAGACAAAAAAGGATGAGTTCATGTCCTTTGCAGGGACATGGATGAAGCTGGAAACAATCAGTCTCAGGAAACTAACACAGGAACAGAAAACCAAACACCGCATGTTCTCACTCATAAGTAGGAGTTGAACAATGAGAACACATGGACACAGGGAAGGGAACATCACACACCAGGGCCTGTCAGGGGGTGGGGGCGAGGGGAGGCATAGCATTAGGAGAATACCTAATGTAGATGACGGGTTGATGGGTGCAAGCAAACCACCATGGCACCTGTATACCTATGTAACAAACCTGCAAGTTCAGCACATGTATCCCAGAACTTAAAGTATAATAGTAATAAAAACGTGTGTGTGCATGTACAGGGCTAAGCATAGAGAAAAGTATGAAAAAATGATAATAGTGACTATCTTAGGGCAGTGGGATTTCAGATGATTTTTATTTTCTTCCTTGTGGCTTTCTGCATTACGTTTTTATACTGTGTATGTTTTACTTGTTCAAAATTTTAAGAGTTTTTTTTTTTTAATTGTGCAAAAAACAACAATAACAAAACGAGAATGAAAGGACTGGAGCAGAATGCAAAGAAAGGAGACTGGAAGAGACTGGGAGGTGGAAGTAGGAAGGCAAATGGGGGACCCAGAGGGACTTGACAGGGGGACCTGAGGGATCTGGAGGGACCAAGAGGTGTCAAAAGACATTATGTAGAACTACTGAGAATAAGAGGTACTGGGTAGCAGAGGGCTCAAGAAAACTGTAGGGAGACTGGAAGGTACACAGGAATTGAAGAAAGTGTCCAGGAACAAGAGCAGATAGGGAGACAAGTCAGGAGGAAATGGGAAAGACCAGTGAGGCTAAGTAGGACTGGAGGAAAGGGCAACCCCAGGGAAACAGGGAGACTACACAGTTTGAGGGGGACTGAGAGGGACTGACTAGAAGGAGGGCTTGGGATTGGGTTAGGAGGAATGAAGAATGAGGAGACCATGAGGAGTAGTGGAGATTGTGGAGAACAATGTAGGGCCCTTGGAAAGGATAGGAACAAAAAAAAAAAAAGAAAGAAAGAAAGAAAGAAAAAAGAAAACACAGGCTTTTGAGCTGACAGCCTAGACTTTCCAGCTGTATCAAGGCTTAACCCTCTTTGCTTGATTTTCGTTACCTGTAAAGATAAGCATAATGCCTGCCTCACAGGGTTAAGATGAGGATTTAATGCTACAATTCGTGTTAAAAACTTAGTAATCACTGGGCATTCAGAGTGCACTCAATAAATGCTAGGTTTTATTATTATGAACAGCTTCTTAATTCAAAGAGAAGATGAAGGCACAATAATAAAACTTTATCTCCCGTCCAAGTATTTCATTCTGCACTTTTAATAAAGAATCATTTTTTCCTGAGAGTGAGATGGTGGGAGGGAGGCAAACAAATCCAACCTGCTCTGAAGACTTGCCCAAAGCTGAACCTTCTTCACCACTCAGAATGAAAAATGAAAGACTTTCATCCAATGAGACTTCAGTCTGTGGAGACAACTATGATAAACCAGTATTTAGTGTTGAAATAAACACTTTTTCTGCTTATAAGTAAAGGAAATAGTTTTCTGTAATATGGTAAACATAATTGTTATCTCTCTAGCAAACAGGGAGCACCAAGGCAAACAATATCAAGGTATATTTAGCTTTGAGTCTGTTTGGTTCATGAGTTTTTATTTTTGTTTTGTTTCTAATGTTCGGGTAACTGCAAGAAAAGCCAGAATATACAGCCAGAATCTTCTCCATCTTCCCAAACTATCTCCTCACTATAGTCTGGGTGATAAGAGTTTGACCAAAATGCTGGCTCCAGTGGAACTTTCTTTTCTCTCCTTGTTTTTGGTGCTGTCCTGTTCAGGCGCGCGCACACACACACACACACACACACACAGACACACACACACACACACACACACACACACACTGCCACCTCAGCCCACAATCTTTCATGGAGTTAGAAGCAATTAAAAGTCTGAAAAGTGGTATATTCTTGGTTGTAAACCCGCTGACAAAGAAGCTCTCATTTTTCACTCTTGTCTGACTCTTTGAATTGATAAATCACTTCTTTCTCACACACATATATTAAAATGAAATGTTTTAAGGAAGGCTTGGGAAAGGAATCAATTCTATAATAAGTAAAACTCATAGTTACTAGGAATGAAAGAATTTAAAATATGTAAAATATAAAATTATAAGATATAACTTTATATAAGATAATTTTATAAAATATAAAATTATAAGATTTTATCTTGTAAGATAAAAGCTTATCTTTATATTGTTTGTATCTACACTGTAGCCATCATATTAACTTAAAAGTTATTCACCTTGTAACAATGCTGCTTATATGAATTGTCAGTATATACTTTTACCCCCCATCACCTCTGCACATCTCAAAATCACTTGCTGAAATCTTCTGCTTCCTGAGCAAATATACCTGTGTGGTAATTGGGATCGTGTTTCTTAGAAGCCAATTTCTCTTCCTTTTAACCCCTTTTCCTGATACTCAATGGATTGACCTTGACAAACTTTGTAACTCTTTATAGTTTTTACTACTCGTAGTGAAATTAAATCCAATTTAGGCATGTTTTAATTCATGTGTTGAGTGAATAACATGCACATAAACATCACTTTTTAGTCTGCGTTTACCTTTACATTTAATTAAAATAATTTTTATTAAGCATCTAAGAGGTGCTCTGTTGAGGAGCCAAAGATAAATTTAAAAAAAAAAACCTTGCATTTTAAAATTTGCAGTTAAATACTCTAGGTGCTTGTGGCAGAAACTATTAGTTGCTCATTACAGTCTTTTCTCCCAACTCTAATAGTAGAACCTAGACACTTCTTCCACATTCATTTGGTGGAAATGATATGATATGCAGTTTCCTGGTCTTCTCCCCTAAAAGATCAACCTAAAATCCTTTGGTTCTTTCTTCCCCACTTCCCTTTTGCTAGCAAATGGAAAACTACAGCTTTGCCATTGGACTTACGGATGGAAACCACATATTGGAGATGGCAAAACTCTCCTATCAGCCCCGACTGCTGATTTGTTACATTAGAGAAAAAGGAAACTTCTATCTTAATGAAAACACTTTACTTTGAATCTTTTTGTTACAGCTACTTAGCTTGTCCTCTAAATAATATAACTCTTTAAAAATATGAGTTGTTTTGTCATTTCAAGTTCCAAATATGTGATTACACATTGAATTTTCAAATATTGATTACACATTAAATTAAAAATCTGTAAGTTGGATTAAAATCTGTAAGTTGGATATCACCTATAACATTGTTAAAATAATTAATTGGGAGGCTATTAGACTGAAGCAGCTCTAGGGCCCTGAGTTCCTATGTAAGCAAACCAAACCCAATTCAGTGTGAATGGTCCTATCCAAGGAAACTGTAACTTTAGTTTTACCAATCAGAAACTGCCAACTAATCTCTAACTAGGAACTTTAAGGCTACTGCTCCATTCTAGTCAATCAATGTTTTCTTTGCCTTGCTTCCGCATGCACCGTTTAAAAGTTTTCCCTGCATGCCCTTTCGGTGGAGCCCTAACCATCTGCACAGTGGCACTCCTCAATTCATGGATTGTTGCCTGTTCAAATAAACTCTTTAAACTTTTAATGTTCCTAAGTTTATCTTTTAACAATATTTTATTATAATTTTTTAGGATAAAAAGTAATGCCAAGTAAGAATAGAGGGTGATTGCAAATGGGCAATCACTGATAAAGAGGAATCTTTTTTGGGTGATAAAAACTAAACTGTGGTATTGATTGAACAATTCTGTAAATTAACTAGAAATCATTGAGTCATATACACTTTAAATGGGTGAAGTTTTGCTATGTAAACTATACTTCCATAAAGCTGTTTTAAAAAGTAAAAAAAGAGAAAAGTTATTCACCTTGGACCTTTGATGTATTTCGCTATCAATGAGCTGCTCAGTTGAAGATTTTTCACCTTTATTAATCTGAAACACAACATAAATAAATCTTTACAGAAATAGACATAATTGTGCTCATAAGTCTTTTGTCCAAAATTTATAAATATCAATACTTTGCAATGTTTTTCTTTTAAAAAGTGTGGTATGTGTACATGAAATATCAGCAGACATACTGAAATGTCATTTATAATTACTATGACCAAATCACCTAGCTCTTCTTGGCTTTAGGTTTGACATTATAAGGATGTTATGAGACAAAAGGAAAATATATATATAGAGAGAGAGAGGAAGACTTTAGGAATTAAGGAGCTATATTAACACTGAATTTCGGCTCTTTTGACAAAGAAAACTTGATTGTGTTAAATGTCTCATTTAAATAGTAAATTTGAAAACAGGAAATTTTAAAAAGCATTACCTTAGAAATTTTTAGCTTTTCTCTCACTTTGCCTCTCAATGTCTTTGCTACATTTTGATTTTCTTCTGCATCTAAATCTATCAGGAAACCAACATAATAAAGAGTTTATGACACTTTATTATAATTAAACAACAATAGCAGCAAAAGTATTTATTAAATTCTTTAATTGCATGCATTTCTAAGCCTCATGACAATTATGAAAACTAGGTTATTATCTTATGAGAGCTTAGAATCTAAGACAAATAGATGTCCTTTCCCCTTTTCCATCTGGAATAAATACTTTCACCCATTCAGGACTGATTTTTGTTTTTCTTTGTGACAACTTTTCTATCCTCTATCACCTTCTTTTTTATTTTTTTTATTTTTTTTGAGACAGAGTTTTGCTCTTGTCACCCAGGCTGGAGTGCAGTGACACCATCTTGGTTCACTGCAACCTCCCCCTCCCGGGTTCAAGCGATTCTCCTACCTCAGCCTCCTGAGTGGCTGGGATTACAGGCGTGCGCCACCACACCCTGCTAACTTTCTTTTTTGTATTTTTAGTAGAGATGGGGTTTCGCCATGTTGGCCAGGCTGGTCTTAAACTCCTGACCTCAGGTGATCCACCCACCTCAGCCTCCCAAAGTCCTGGGATTACAGGCATGAGCCACCGCGCCCAGCCCTCTTTTTTAAATTTTTAATTATCGTGGGTACATAGTAGGTCTCTGTCACCTTCTTTTGTTGCTTCCTCAGCTACTGGCCAGAGCCCTTCTTTGGCCAAAAACAAAACAAAACAAAACAAAAACAAAGCTCAGATTTTAAAAATCTGTGAGACATCTCTGTGAAGTATACTAATACAAAAATATCAAAGCCTGGTTACTTGAATTTTATTAAACTGAAAAGACAGGAATCTAAAAAAGAAGAGTGATAAGTCTCTGGATACCCATTTTAATTATGATAGTTTTGTAAAATCATTATAACACTTCTGACCCCTACTTTTTCCAGCTATTAGAGAAAAGGAAAGTTTTGAGGGTATAAAGGAGGCTTATGCCTGCAATCTCAGCATTTTGGGAGGCCGAGGCAGGAGGACTGCTTGAGGCCAGGAGTTTGAGACCAGCTTGCGCAACATAGCAAGACCCTGTCTCCACACACACACACACACACAAATTTGGGGGCTGGGCACAGTGGCTCACGCCTGTAATCCCAGCACTTTGGGAAGCCGAGGCGGGCAGGTCAGGAGTTCGAGACCAGCCTGACCAACATGGAGAAACCCCATCTCTACTAAAAATACAAAATTAACTGGGCGTGGTGGCACATGCCTGTAATCCCAGCTATTTGGGAGGCTGAGGCAGGAGAATTGCTTGAACCCGGGAGGTGGAGGTTGTGGTGAGCCGAGATCACGCCATTGCACTCCAGTCTGAGCAATAAGAGCAAAACTCCATCTCAAAAAAAAAAAAAAATAACATACATGCCTATAGTCCCAGCTACTTGAGAGGCTGAGGTGGGACCACCGCTTGAGCCCAGAAGTCTGAGGCTGCAGTGAGCTATGATCGCACTACTTCACTCCAGCCTTAGGCAACAGAGCAAGACTCTGTTTCTTAAAAAAGAAAAAAAAAAGTCTCAAGCCCTTGTGTGTACTCCAAGCCATGTGTTATTTTCTGCTCGGTTGCTGGATGGAATGAAAGAGATCATGCAAGATCATGCAATCCTAGGTACAGTAAAAAATTGAGGACCTATTGATCACTTTGCCTTGCTTTTTACTTTTTCTATTCCCTGCCTTTGAGTGCTTAAAGGTTACATAGAAGTTTGTAGAAGTAAAGGGTAAGCATAAAGCTAAATAACTAACTATAGGTCATGAGAATCTTCATGTTTAACCACAGTATTCCTTGGTAAAATTTAAAAATTACTAGTTGGTTTTGTTTATACTCTATTCCCATAACTTAGAATGGCAGATGGCATATAATACATGCTCAATAAATATTTGCTTGATGAATGAACCAGAGCTCAACCATTATTTATGTATTTTCCTCCCTGAGATTTGAAGTTTGCTGAAGCAGGTTCTGCACCTATGTATCTTTGTGGTCTAAAACAGTCTCACCGCCAGTGGAATCTCCATGTTTGCAGTGACAAAAAGAAAATGAAATTCAGGTTTATTACATCCATTGACTTTTCTATTTCCTTATGCCCATCTTGTTTTATTTAGGAAGTTTAATTTCTCTTTAAACTGATTCCTTAGGAAATTTGTGTTCCCAGCTGAAACCCTGGCACAGGATTAATCATTTACATCTTTAAAAATAAAAATGAAGAGTATCAGAGTTATGGTATACTTATTGAGAACCTTTTTGGAGATGCTTGTCTATAATTTCTTCAGCTGTAATATTATCCATCTCTTCTGACATCTGCAAAAAAAGCAGGGAGGGTTAAACTTGCATCTTGTTTTGTCACTGAACATCTTTTATTATTATTATTATTATACTTTAAGTCCTAGGGTACATGTGCACAACATGCAGGTTTGTTACATAGGTATACATGTGCCATGTTGGTTGCTGCACCCATCAACTCGTCATTTACATTAGGTATATCTCCTAATGCTATCCCTCCCCCAGCCCCCCACCCTCTGACAGGCCCTGGCGTGTGATGTGCCCCGCCCCATGTCTATGTGTTCTCGTTATTGAACATCTTTTCAAATATTCGTCAGCCCTTTGAACATCATCTCCTTTAAAATGCCAGTTCACAGATTTTGCTTGTTTTCTTAAATTTCACCTTTTTATCAATTTGTATGAGCTCTTTATATATGGTGAAATTACTCTCTCTTAGGAGGTAAAGCAAGGTGGCTGGATAGAATCCTCCAGCAATCATCTGCACTGCAGGAACAACAAATTGAACAACTATCCACATAAGAAGCACCTTCACAAGAACCAAAAATCAGGTGAGCAATCATAGTGCCTGGTTTTAACATCATGTCAAGGAAAGAGGCACTGAAGAGAGTAGGAAAGACGATCTTGAATTGCCTATACCACCTCTCTCTCATCCCCAGGCAGCATGGCAGGAAGAGAGAATCTGTGCACTTGGAGGAGGGAGAGTTAAGTGATTGGGGGACTTTGCATTGGAACTCACTGCTCCCCTAACATAGCGGAAAGCAACACAGGGCAGAATTTGGCCAGCGCCCACAGAGGGAGCACTTAGACAAGCCCTAGCCAGACGGGAACTGTCCATCCCAGCAGTCAGAACCTGACTTCCAGCTAGCCCCACCACCATTGGCTAAAGCACTCTGGGGTCCTAATAAATTTGAAAGGCAGTCTAGCCCACAAGGACCACAATTCCTGGACAAGTCCTGGTACTGTGCAGGGCTCACAGCCAGTGGACTCAGGGTGACATGATCCAGTGAGACACCAGCTGGGGCAGCCAAGGGAGTGCTTGCATCACCCCTCCCCCAACTTCAGGCAGTACAGCTCACAGCTCCAGGAAAAGAGGGAAGAGCAAAGAGTACTTTGTCTTGCAACTTGGATACCAGCTCAGCCACAGTAAAAGCACCAAGCAGAGTCCTAAAGCCCCCACTCCTGGCACTATCTCCCAGATAATATTTTTAGACGGACACCGGGCCAGAAGAGAACCCACTGCCCTGAAGGAAAGGTTGCAATCCTGGCAGAATTCACCATCTGCTAACTAAAGAACCCTTGGGCCTTGAATAAACATCAGTGGTAGCCAGTCAGTAGTCACCACGACCTTGGGCGAGACCCAGTATTGTGCTGGCTTCAGGTGTGACCCAGTATATTTCCACCTGTGGCGGCCACAGTGAGAGACACCTTCTGCTTGAGGAAAGGAGGAGGAAGAGTAAAATGACTTTGTTTTGCAACTTGGCGATATGATTAGGCTTTGTGTTCCCACCCAAATCTCATCTTGAATTGTAATCCCCAGGTGTTGAGGGCGAGACCGAGTGGGAGGTGACTGGATCATGGGGGTGGTTTCCCCCATGCTGTTCTCATGATAGTGAGTGAGTTTTCACAAGATCTGATGGTTTTACAAGCGTCTGGTATTTGCCTGGCTTGCATTTCTCTCTCCTGCCACCATGTGAAGAAGGTCCTTGCTTCCCCTTCGCCTTCCACCATGATTCTAAGTTTCCTGAGGCCTTCCCAACCATGTGGAACTGTGAGTCAATTAAACCTCTTTCCTTTATAAATTACTTTTTAAAGGGTACTATCTTTATAGCAGTGCGAGAATGGACTACACACTTGGGTATCCAGCTCAGCCACAGTCAAATAAAGTGTATCAAGCAGACTCCTGAAGTCTCTGATTCCAGACCTTAGGTCTTGGTGGGCATTTCTAGACCCATCCTGGGCCAGAAAGGAACCTGCGGCTCTGGCGGGAGAGAACCAGGCTTGGTAGGACTCACCAACTGCTGACTAAAAACCCCTTGGGCCTTGAATAAACATCAGTGGTAGTCAGGGTATAGTCACCACTGGCCTGGTGCAGTGGTGCCCATAAGCAGATAGCCCTTCTGCTTGAGGAAAGAAAAGGGAAAAGCAGAGAGGACTTAGTTTTACAACCTGGGTGCCAGTTCAGCCCCAGTAAAATGAAGCACCAAACAAATTCCTAAAACCCCTGACCCCAGGCCCTCGCACTTCAATGGCATTTCTAAACCCACCCTGGGCCAGAAGGGAACCTGCTTCACTGGAAGGAACCTGCTTCACTGAAGGGGAAGCCCTAGTCCTGGCAGGATTCATCATTTGCTCACTAAATAGCCCTTGGGGCTTGAATAAACATCAAGACTCTCAGGACTCTCACCAACAGGCCTTGGGTGAGACCTAGCACTATGCTGGCTTCAGGTATGACCCAGCACAGTCCCAGTGGTGGTGGCCATGGGAGTGTCTGCATCACTCCTTCCCCAACTCCAGGCAGCTCAGCATGGAGAGAGAAAGACACTTTGTTTGGAGAAAAGGGAATAGAACAAGAAACCCTGCCTGGTAATCCAGGGAATTCTCCCTGATCTCCTTGGTCTTCTCCCAAGACCACCAAGGCAGTACCTCTACAAGTCTGCAAGAGTCAGCACATTACTGGACTTGGGGTGCCCCTTAATGCATTTATGGTTGCATGACCAAATAACTGGATTACAACACTCAAAATTATCTTTGAATACTTACTAATCCTTCTCTAGAAAGTTGGGTACAAACAAACCCAGACTGCAAATATTAGAATAAATATCTAACTATTCAATGCCCTGACATTGATGAACACCCACAAGCTTCAAGACCATCCAGGAAAACATGACTTCTCCAAATAAACTAAATAAGGCACCAGTGACCAATTCTGGAGTAACAGAAATATGTGATCTTTCAAGCGGTGAATTCAAAGTAACTGTTTTGAAGAAGCTCAGTGAAATCCAAGGTAAGACAGAGAAAGAATTCAGAATGTTATGAGACAAATTTAACAAAGAGATAGAAATAATTAAAAAGAATCAAGCAGAAATTCCGGAGCTGAAAAAATCAATTGAAAAAATGAAGAATGCATCAGAGTCTCCCAACATTAGAATTGATCAAGCAGAAGAAAGAATCAGTAAGCTTGAAGACAGGCTATTTGAAAATACACAGTCAGAGGAGACAAAAGAAAAAGAATAGAAAATAATGAAGCATGCCTATGGTAGCTAGAAAAAAAGCCTCAAAAGGGCAAATCTAAGAGTTATTGGCCTTAAAGAAGAGGTAGAGAGAGAGACTGGAGTAGAAAGTTTATTCAAAAGATAATAACACTTTCCAACCTAGAGAAAGATGTTAACATTAAAATACAAGAAGGCTTTAGAAAATTGAGCATATTTAACCCAATGAGACTACCTCAAGATATTTAATAATCAAACTCCCAAAGGTCAAAGATAAAGAAATAATCCTAAAAGCAGCAAGGGAAAAGAAAAGTAATAACATAAATTGGAACTCCAATATATCTGGCAGCACATTTCTCAGTGAAAACCTTACAGGCTAAAAGAAAGTGACAGAATCTATTTAACGTGCTGAAGGAAAAAATTTTTATCCTAGAAAATTGTATCCAGTGAAAATATCGTCAAAGATGAAGGAGAAATTGAGACTTTCCAAGACAAACAAAAGCTGAGGGATTTTGTCAACACCAAATCTGTTCTGCAAGAAATGTTAAAGGGACTTCTTTAATCTGAAAGAAAAGGACATTAATGAGCAGTAAGAAATCATCTGAAGGTACAAAACTCTCTTGTAATTAGGTATACAGACAAATACAGAATATTATAACACCATAATTGTGGTGTGTAAACTACTCATATCTTGAATGGGAATACTGAAAGTTGAACCTATCAAAAATAATAACTACAACAACTTTTAGGCTGGGCACGGTGGCTCATACCTGTAATCCCAGCACTTTGGGAGGCTGAGGTAGGCGGAACACTTGAGGTCAAGAGTTCAAGATCCGCCTGACCAATATGGTGAAACCCCGTCTCTACTTAAAAATACAAAAATTAGCCAGGTGTGGTGGTGTGCGTCTGTAACCCAGCTACTTGGGAGGCTGAGGCAGGAAAATCATCTGAATCCAGAGGTGGAGGCTGCAGTGAGCCGAGACCATGCTGCTGCACTCCAGCCTGGGTGACAGGCTGTCTCAAAATAATACTGTCTCAAAAATAATAACTGCAATAACTTTTTAAGACACAGACAGTATAAGAAGATATAAATAGAAACAAAAAGTTAAAAAGCAGGGGGGATAAAGTTAAAGGGTAGAGTTTTAATTAGTTTTCTCCTTGTTTGTTTGTTTTTGCAATAAGAGTTCAGTTGTCATCAATTTGAAATAATGGGTTGTAAGATGTTGTTTGTAGGCCTCATTGTAACATCAAACAAAAAACCTACCACAGATACACAAAAAATATAAAGCAAGGAGTTAAAACATACCACCAGAGAAAATTGCTTTCACCAAAAACAGAAGACAGACGGACGGATGGACGGACGGATGGAAGGAAGGAAGGAAGGAAGGAAGACAGAACAACCAGAAAACAAACAACAAAATGGCAATAGTAAAGTCCTTGCTTATCAACAACAACATTGAATATAAATGGACTAAACTCTCTAATCAAAAGACATAGAGTGGCTGAACGGATAAAAAAATCAAGACTCAATGACCCATAAGAAACACATTTCACCTATAAAAACACATAAACACTGAAAAGGATGAAAAAAGATAGTCCATGCAAATGGAAACCAAAAAAGAGCAGGAATAGCTATAATTATATCAGATAAAATAAATTTCAAGACAAAAACAGACAAAGAAGGTCATGATATAAAAGGGATCAATTCATCAAGAGGATGTCATAATTGTACATACATATGCTCCCAACACTGAAGCACCCAGATACATAAAACAAATATTATTAGAGCTAAACGGAGAGATAGACAACCAATGCAGCAATAGTTGGAGACTTCAACAGCCCACTTTCAACACTGAACAGATCATCCAGACAGAAAATCAACCAAAAAATATCAGACCTTATCTACACTAAAGACCAAATGGACCTAACAGATATTTATAGAATGTTTCATCTGACAGCTGAAGAATATACATTCTTCTCTTCACCACATGGATCATGCTCAAGAATAGACCATATGTTAGGCCACAAAATACATCTTTAAAAATTCAAAAACTTTGAAATCATATCAAGTATCTTCTCTGATTACAATGGAATAAAATCAAAAGTCAATAACAAGAGGAACTTTGGAAACTATACAAACACATGGAAATTACACAATATGCCTCTGAATGACCAGTGGCTCAATGAAGAAATTAAGAAAATTCCTTGAAACAAATGAAAATTGAAACACAACATACCAAAACCTATGGGATACAGCAAAAGCAGTACTAAGAGGAAAGTTTACAGCAATAAGTGTCTATGTCAAAAAATTTTTTAAAAGAAAAAAAATTAAAATAACCTAATGATGCGTCTTAAAGAACTAGAAAAGCAAGAGCAAATCAAACCCAAAATTCATAGAAGAAATAGTAAAAACAAGAGCAGGAAAT
Organism: Homo sapiens; assembly: GCF_000001405.40. Lineage (NCBI taxonomy): Eukaryota > Metazoa > Chordata > Mammalia > Primates > Hominidae > Homo > Homo sapiens. Next base: position 95,916,398 of record NC_000010.11, on the reverse strand, counting down.
AAATCACATTAAAATAAAAAAATACAAAACACCAATGAAACAAAAAGTTGTTTTTTTGAAAAGTTAAACAAAATTGACAAATCATTAGCCAGACTCACTAAGACAAAGAGAGAGAAAACCCAAATAAATAAAATCAGAAATGAAAAAGGAGACATTATAGCTGATACTGCAGAAATTCAAAGGATCCATTAGAGGCTACTATGAGAAATTATATGCCAATAAATTTAAAAACCTAGAAGAAATGAATAAATTCCTAGACACATACAACCTACCAAGATTGAACCATGAAGAAATCCAAAACTTGAATAGACCAATAATAAGTAACAAGATCAAAGCCATAATAAAAAGTCTCCAAGCAAAGAAAAGCCTGGGACCTGATGGCTTCACTGCTAAATTTTGGCAAACATTTAAAGAACTAATATCAATCCTACTCAAACTGTTCCAAAAAATAGAGGACAAGGGAATACTTCCAAAGTCATTCTACAAGGCCAATATTACCCTGATACTAAAACCAGACAAAGTGACATCAAAAAAAGAAAACTACAGGCCAATGTATCTGATGAACATTGATGCAAAAATCCTCAACAAAATACTAGCAAGCCGAATTCAACATCATATTAAAGAGATCATTCATCGTGACCAAATGAGATTCATCACAGGGATACAAGGGTGGTTCAACATACACAAATCAATCAATGTGATACATCATACCAACAGAATGAGAGACAAAAACCATATGATTATTTCAATTGATGCTGAAAAAGCATTTGATAAAATTCAACATCGCTTCATGAAAAAACCTTCAAAAACTGGGTATATAAGAAACATACCCCAACGCACTAAAAGCCATATGTGACAGACCCACAGCTAATGTTATACCAAACAGGGAAAAACTGAAAGCCTGTCCTCTAAGATCTGGAACAAGACAAGGATGCCTACTTTCACCACTGTTGTTCAACATGTACTGAAAGTCCTAGCTAGAGCAATCAGACGAAAGAAATAAAGGGCATCCAAATTGGAAAGAAAGAACTCAAGTTATCCTTGTTTGGAGATGATATAATTATGTATTTAGAAAAACATAAAGACTTCACAAAAAAAAATTAGAAATGATGAACAAATTCAGCAAAGTTGCAGGACATAAAATTGATATACAAAAGTCAGTAGCATTTCTATATGCCAACAGCAAACAATCTGAAAAAGAAATCTAGAAAATAATCCCACTTACAATAGTTACAAATCAAATTAAATACCCAGGAATTAACTTAAACAAATAAGTAAAAGATGTCCACAATGAGAACTATAAAATGCAAGAAACTGAAGAGGATACACAAAAAATGGAAAGATATTTCATGTTCATAGATTGGAAGAGTCAATATTGTTAAAATGTCCATTCTATTCAAAGCAATCTACGTATTCAATCCAATCCCTATCAAAATACCAAGAACGTTCTTCACAAAAATAGAAAAAGTAATCCTAAAATTTATAGGGAACCTAAAAAGACTCATAATAGCCAGAGCTATCCTGAGCAGGAAAACACAAGACTCGAGAAATCACATTACCTGACTCTATTAGTCCATTCTCACGCTGTTATGAAGAAATACCTGAGACTGGGTAATTTATAAAGGAAAGAAGTTTAATTGACTCACAGTTCCGCATTGCTGGGGAGGCCTCAGGAAACTTGCAATCATGGCAGAAGGCAAAGGAGAAGCAGGCACCTTCTTTACAGGGCAGCAGGACAGAGTGAGTGCAAGCAGGGGAAATGCCAAACACCTATAAAACCATCAGATCTTGTGAGACTCACTCACTCACTATAACAAGAACAGCATGGGGGAAACCACTCCCGTGATCCAATTCCCTCCATCTGGTCCCCCCATTGACACTTGGGGATTATGGGGATTATAATTCCAGATGAGATTTTGGATGGGGACACGGCCAAACCATATCACTGACTTCAAATTGTACTACAAAGCTATACTAAAAGCCAAACCATACCACTGACTTCAAATTGTGCTACAGAGCTGTACTAAACAAAATAGCATGGCACTGGCATTAAAATACACACACACACGCGCACACACATACACATCAATGGAACAAAATAAAGAAACCAAAAATAAATCTATACATCTACAATGAAATCATTTTCAACAAGGTGCCAAAAATGCACATTGGGAAAAGACAATCTCTTTAATAAAGGGGGCTGGGAAAGCTGGATATCCATATGCAGAAGAATGAAACTGGACCCCTATCTCTCACCATATACAAAAATCAAATCAAAATGAATTAAAGACTTAAATCTAAGATCTGAAAGTATAAAACTACTAAAAGAAAAATTGGGGAAACTCTCCAGGACATTGGTCTGGGCAAAGATTTCTTAAGTAATACCCCAAAAGCACAGGCAATCAAAGCAAAAAATGGACAAATGGGATCACATCAAGTTAAAAAGCTTCTGCAAAGTAAAGGAAACAATCAACAAAGAAACAGCCCTTAGAATGGGAGAAAATATATGCAAACTATGTATCTGATTAGGGATTAATAACCAAAATATACAAGGAGCTCAAACAACTCAGTAGGAAAATGTCTAATAATCTGATTTAAAAATGGGCAAAAGATCTACATAGATATTTCTCAAAAGAAGACATACAAATGGCAAACAGGTATATGAAAAGATGCTCAACATCATTGACCATTAGAGAAATGCAAATCAAAACTACAATGAGACATCATCTCACTCACTTAAAATGGCTTTTAACCAAAAGACAGGCAATAATGAATGCTGGCAAAAGCATTGAGAAAGGGCAACCCTAATACACTGTTGGTGGGAATGTAAATTAGTACAGCCACTACGGAGAACAGTATGGGGTTCCTCAAAAAACTGAAGATATAGCTACCATATGATCCAGCAATTCCACTGCTGGGTATATACTCAAAGGAAAGAAAATCAGTATATTGAAGACATACCTGCACTCCCATGTTTGTTGCAGCACTGTTCACAAGAGCCAAGATTTGGAAGCAACCTAAGTGTCCATCAACAGATAAATGGATAAAGAAAATGTGGTATATATATATATGCAATGGAGTACTATTCTGCCATAAAAAAAAGAATGAGATCCTATCACTTGCAACATCTTGGATGGAACTGGAGGTCATTATGTTAAGTGAAATAAGTCAGGCACAGAAAGAAAAACTTTGCATATTCTCACTCATTTGTGAGAACTGAAAATTAAAACAATTGAACTCACGGAAATAGAGAGTATAATGATGGTTTCCAGAGACTGGGAAAGGTATTGGGTGGGGGGCAGGGAATGGGGAAGGTTAATAAGTACAATGCAATGAATACGATCTAGTATTTTACAGCACAAAAGGGTGGCTATGGTCAACAATAATTTATAGTACATTTTAGAATAACTGAAAGAATACAATTGGAATGTTTATAACACAAAGAAATGATAAAAATGCTTGAGGTAATGAATAACCCATTTACCCTGATGTGATTATTACACATGGTATGCCTGTATAAAAATATCTCATGTACCCCATACCTATATATACCTACTGTGTATCCATAAAAATTAAAAATTTCCAAAAAGAAATTGTTCTCTGGAATATAAAAAAGGCCTTTTAATGATAAAATCCAAGAGTTAGTTCTTAGTGTTCATGTATTACCACTTCATGTACCTTTTAAGAAGGTCAAGTGAGATCAGACATATATGAAAATACTTTGAAAATTCAATGCTATACTAGTTTTAGCTATTACTTGATTTATTACCCTGCAGCGTGTGGCAACGTTCAGCAACCTTATTTTTTGAAAACTTTATATATCCTTGCCCTCTACCCTTCTACCTCTGTGGCCACTTATTTCTGTATCCTTCAATGGTCATACCTCTTCATATCCTAAATGTTGGGTACATTCCAAAGCTTTGGAGGGTGCACATATTCCCATGGATTCCCAAATCTGTGTCTCCAGCCTTCACTCTCCTAAGCATCAAAATCATATTTCTAGCTGACTTCTGGTAATTCTAGTTGAATGTTGTATCATCAACAAAAATTCAGTATGTTAAAATAAGCATTTCTTTTCCAGTTTTTATAAACCTCAATATTCTATAGGTAAACTATTCTAGCAATGTTAAACCCTTTTTAGAATGATATGGTTATAAGTTTCTTTTTAATTTTAATGCTAAAAAATATAATAGCAAAGACTCCTGAAATAACAACTGTACATGCTAACCAAACTAATGTGCAGTTGGAAATCTCAAGCTTTCTAATCACAGTAAAAACATGAATTTGTGTCAAAAACCAAAGCAGGCTATTGACATGATCACAGTTAAAATATCATAAAAAGAGCCCAGTCTATAAACTTTCCGAAAAAACTTCAAAATCTACTATTCGTTCTTGTACCACTATTAAAAACTACTGAATAAGGTCAACACAGACTACAATGTTCCCTTACATCTTATTCAACCTTCAGTACCTACCTCAAGACAATAAAAAATACCTAATTCTACTCTTGACCAGGGGATAGCAACCCTTAAGGTATGATGGAACAATTCTGGCAAGTAACTGATAGAGGGTCTCCCTTATTAGTTCCCAAATATCTTGCCCACCATTCCCAGAATCCTGTATACTTTTTCATAAGTTCTCATTTCCATCTAGAAGGTAGGGATAAAATGTGAATCTTAATTGCAGTTACTCTAAGAGACATGTAAATATTGCTCCTATATAGATTTAACTCACTGACAAACATCTTTTTTAACAAAGCAGGGAATGGCTTGTTGGCTAGGTGAGAGAACATATAAACAAATAGATATTGAAGTAAGAGATTAAATAAATACATACATAAATAATTCATCTTATTAAATAACTTACAGACCAAATAAGAATACAATTCATCCCTAAACTCTCCTATTGTTTCTTTTTTTACATATGAATTTATGATTTGTATATAGAAACAAATGTATCACATTTATCAGGATTATCCCCCATTTACAACAGGGCTATTTGGAATAATCAAAATATTATAAACTCCATTAATACCTTACCTTTTTAAAAATATCTTCTCTTTGAGATTTTTTCATGATGGTCCTTTTATTTCAACTTTCTAAATAAATAAGAAATATTATTGAGAATGACATATCATAAGAAAACTGACTTGTGATACTTGAGGTTAAAAGTATGCTTTTTAAATTTTTTAATTTAACAAGAAACAAAACAGATATACTATCACTTTTACTATTTCATATTTGTATTTGGTCACCTTCAGTATTTAATAGAAATCCCGGTTAATGCAATAAGATGTGCAAAAGAAGGAAGTAAGAGGTGTAACTCTTGGAAGAGGAAAACAAAATTATCATTGTTTGTAGATGATAGGTTTTTATACATGAAAAACCCAAAAGACTAAATAAAGTTTAGACATAATTAGAAAATTGGAATTGGCAGAATACAAGAGAATATATGTAAAAGTCAGTATCTTCCCTACATGCTAATGTACTAGAAAAAAATCACTTTCACAAAAAGGGTACTGAAAAAAACTTCAAGATACTAAGGAATTATTTTAATTAAAATATGTATGAATTCCCTTCCCCCCAAAAGTATAAAACTTTGCAGTAAGAAAAAAAAGGATCTGATTAAATATACATTTGATCTTAGCCAAAAGGCCAAGAGGCAATGATTAAATATAGATATTCTATGGAGGCAGGGAAATTGATTAAAAGGCTACTAATAGATACTAGAGATCTATTTGGATGTTTGTCTCCTCCAAATCTCATGTTGAAATGTGATTCCCAATAATGGACATGTGGCCAGGTGGGAAGTGATTGGATTGTGGGGGTGGATACCTCATGGTTGGCTTAGCACCATCCCCTTCATGATGAGTTCTTGCTCAGTTAGTTCACATGAGATCTAGTTGTTTAAAAGAGTCTGTCTAGGACCTCCCCCCTCCTTCCTTTATTTCCTCTCTTGCCATGTGACATGCTGGCTCCCCTTCCCTTCCACCATGATTGTAAGCTCCCTGATGCCCTCACCAGAAGCAGATGTTAGAGCCATGCTTATATAGCCTGCAGAACTGTGAGCCAATTAAAACTCTTTTCTTTATAAATTACCCAGTATTCTTCTATTGCAACGCAAGAATGGCCTAATACAAGAGTATCATTCAACATGACGGTTAAATGCAAGTTCATGCAATTCCCCAGACATTTGTAGAAACTAGAATGCCACACAAGTTTTTGTTTATCTGTTTGTTTTTTAGAGACAGGGTCTCACTCTTTCACCCAGGCTGAAGTGCAGTGGCATGATGACAGCTCATTACAGCCTTGAACTCCTGGGCTCAAGTGATCCACCTGCTTCCACCTCTTGAGTAGCTAGGACTACAGGCATGTGTCTCTAAGGCTCGGCTAATTATTATTATTGTTATTATTAGGTACAGACAGGGTCTCGCTGTGTTGCTCAGGCTGGTCTCAAACTCTTGGCCTCAAGCAATCCTCCTGCCTCAGCCTCTCAAAGCATTGGAATTATAGGCATGAGCCACTGCGCTTTGCCTAAACAAATTTCTAAATCAATTCTGCGGGCACAAGACTATGTGGATCCCTGAATCAGCACAGACTTCTTTTTGGCACAATTTTCAGTCACCTTGGTTACTTCTGTCACAGGCCATTTGGTTTCAGGAGTGCTAGCAAAATAAAACCACAGAAAAACCTCTAGCATGTGGAAATGGTTACACAATGCATATCTTAGTATATAGTAACATATCTTTAATTGTGATCCAATCAGAAAATTGGTTCCCTTTAATCTTCCCCTGGCTCTTGTTAGAAATATTTCTAAATGTATTAATGCACTTTCCTTCCTTAGCAGATCTGAATTCAGACCAAAATCCAATTTTATCTTTATCTCAGTTCATCTATTGTCACATAGTATGATGACACCTTTCTGAACTCTCTTATAGCAATGTTTCCTAAATGATGCCTTCCAGACTTAATTTGAATTAGGATGCTATGTCCAGAATTAAGGTCTCATTCACAGTTATGATGTAATTAAGGCAACAATAGCATTTTGTAAAAATAATCTATTAAATATATAGCACCAGCTACCCTTTATTGTTATTAGGATATGGAAGAAGTGGAATTTAACTTAACAATTCTTTACTTAGTTAAGAGGAATATAGCAGTATTTCACAGTGTTCTACAAAAAACATTATGACTTCCATGTATTGCATTAACTGGCAAGTTTAAAAATTAACTTAACTGTTATCTTGTTTTCCAAAATCAAAACTTAGGAACAAACGGCGTGACAAAAGATTTTCTGATCTGTGAATTTATTTAAGTCTTCGAAAGGCAACAAAACTAAATCACCCACTGCTCTGAGGACCAGTTCCCAAGTCATCATGTCCTGCTCCTGTAGATCAAGAAAGATTTGGGCCCACTTCTCTATCTTGGGACTTCTGGTACATGAAAACTAATGTGGAAACAGGTTACAAAAACTATCATATTATATTTTGAAAATTTACATCTAACACACACCATGCAACGTAGTTTTGCTACTCAAAGGTGAATTACAAGATTTATAAAAATGTATTAATTCTTAGAGCAACCACTGGCCAGGAGGCCCAGAAGCTCTAAACAAGTACTGTAATGTTTTTTATTCAAACCTGAAGATGTATCTCTGTGTCTATACTTATAGCCTCAATTAGAGAGAAAGTCAACCAGGAGGCCCTTTCTGAAAGTGAAGCCAAAAAACTCTCACATCACTTCCCCATCTAAGCCGCAGTGACCACTCTCCAACATTGACCACTCTCCAACATAACCCCTCAACTATAGCTGGATGGAGTTCTTGTTTATTCTCCCTGGCATCTCCAACCTTTAATTTTTACAACTTCCCCGCAAATGGATAGCATTCCGTGTTTCTAAGGCTGATTCAAACTCCACGTCTTTCAGGAAGTTTTTTCTAACTCTGTCTCTTGATCTCCAACAGCATTTGTAGTTCATAATGCGAATTTTTGTTCATTACATTCTACCTTCCAAGTTCATCTTCCTGCTTATCCTAATGTGAAGATCAGGACTAAGGCAAGGTGTTCAGCACACACAGTAGGCACTGAATTAATAATATGCCGACCCGTATTTCTTGCAAATCAAACACTGCTCTCGAGTGATTTTCAATTCTACTCATTCCCAAATTGGCTAACAAACCGGTCGGCCAGGCCCCCGAACTACAAGTCCCAGCGGCCTGCGCGGCCCCGGCTCCGGTTATCCCAGCCCAGCTAGTTCTGCCCATGCAGCAGAGCTCCACAAAAGTGCGGGAATGTCTGACAGGGAAGAATCAGAGAAACCTTCACCAGCAGCCCGACATTCACCTGGACGGACAGTGCACTTTTCTTACGTCTGGGCAGGGAAGGCAGGGCGCACCATCTACCGCAGGCTAGGATGATCACCAACCGCCCCACCGCACCCTGCGCCAGCCCTACGGCGCCCGCGGGCTGCAAGTAGCGGCGACCCAGGAGCATGCGCGCTGCCGCCCCTGGCCTGCCAGGACCCAGAGGGAGCGGAGCACGCGCCTTTGGGAATCTTCGGTGCGCCAAGTCTGTTCGCCGCCGGGGTCTATCACCCCCGCCCCTCGCCTCTGCCCGTGAGCGTGTGAGTTGTAGCGTACCCTGGGGTCTGTTCTGGAGGAGGCCTGAGAGCGGGGTTGCCTGGGGCGTGGGTCTCTCATCCCTCTCGTCCTGGTGAAGAAGAAGAGTATACCCAGCGGGTGAGTACCGGCCGCGAGCTCCCGGCTGAGCGGGCGTCCCCGGGGAGGACGCTGCGGGGCGCCGTTGTGGCAAGAGCGGTCGCCCGCGCAGGGCGTGGAGGCGCGAGGCCGGGGGACGCCAGCCGGCAAGTTGCACGGGTTGCAGCGCCCCGGGACCTACTTTCTCTTTGCCGTCGTCCCTGCCTTGCTAGGAAAAGAGGGGAGCTTTGACTTCAGGTGATTTCCTTTGTGGCTTACAAAAGAGCCCCCTAAATATGCAAGCGGTTCCTTTTATTTCCAGAGCTTGCTGTTAGCGTACTAATGTACTATGTTTAAAGTCTTAAATAGGGCATGCCAGACACGCTCACCCATGTGTCGTCATTCATCGCTTAATAAACAGAGTACGGCTCTCATTGTTTTTCTTTTTCCCATTGCCTCGCTCCGAGTTAAAATAACGAGATAAACTAAACGTGATGCGGTTGGGAACTTGTTCAGGGAAACCGGCTGGGGCGAACTTCGGAAACTTGCTAGTGTAGAGAGCCGCACGGTGGTGGTTTGTATGCTTTCACTCATTCAGGCTTTCCACAGTGTTTAACTGCGTTCTGTGTCAGGCATTATGCCCCAACAGTCGTCTTGTGTAAGACTTCCATGCATTTTTAAGCTTTGCTTTTATTTTCTAAATGTACATGTTAATAGAGAATAAACATTATTGACCTCTTTATTCTGATATTAATTGCCTAAGTTTCGTAGGATTGTCTTTATTTTTTAATAGTATGGTGACCAAAAGTAATACTAGTGTTTAACCTTAGTAAGCAAAATAGAGTCCCAGTGTCTCTGACAGCTTGGCACAGTTTCATTTGAGACCGTAAATCCCACCCTGTCTATAGTCTCTGTCATACTTGGTAACAACCCAGATAATTTATCCCTTCTCGCAGCCTCATTCCCACACCTTCTCCATCTGCTGATCGTCTCACTATCTGCCTTCTTCTGGAAACTGTAAACTCTTTTTCTAGACTCCTCATATGTAAACCCCTCTATATCTTTTTTTAAATTTATATATATATATATTTTATCATACTTTAAGTTCCAGGGTACATGCGCACAACGTGCAGGTTTGTTACATATGTATACATGTGCCATGTTGGTGTGCTGCACCCATTAACTCGTCATTTACATTAGGTATATCTCCTAATGCTATCCCTCCCCCTCCCCCCATTCCACAACAGGCCCTGGTGTGTGATGTTCCCCTTCCTGTGTCCAGGTGTTCTCATTGTTCAATTCTCATATGAAATACTATGCAGCCATAAAAAATGATGAGTTCATGTCATTTGTAGGGACATGGATGAAGCTGGAAACCATCATTCTCAGCAAAGTATCGCAAGGACAAAAAACCAAACACCACATGTTCTCACCCCTCTATGTCTTTATATCTTCTTGTTCACAAAACATTCCTCCTTGTGATATTGGGTACCTGGCTGTCTCCTGAAGACACTGCTTTCCCAGCAATTCACCACAGCGAAAGCCATGCCTGCTGGAGACACTGCTTTCCCAGCAATTCACCACAGCGAAAGCCGTGCCTGCCCGCGCCCCCCGCCCCCCAGAGGTGGTATCTGTATTCGCCATCTCCTCATGGCCATTGCTAGGCCATTCCATCCCACCCCAGGACCCAGAGCTGGTATCTGTATTCGCCATCTCCTCATGGCCATTGCTACGCCATTCCATTCCACCCTTGTAAAACTTACCAGAAACCCTTCTCTAATGAGCCCTTTTCCCTCTCCTCACTGTTATTTACCAGCTGCCTGGTCACTCATGTTCATTAAGGAATTTAGTACCCAACTCAAGTCTTTTTTTTTTTTTTTTTTTTGAGACGGAGTCTCTGTCAGCCCAGTTTGGAGTGCAGTGGTGTGATCTCAACTTACTGCAACCTCTGCCTCCCGGGTTCAGGCGATTCTCCTGCCTCAGCCTCCCGAGTAGCTGGGACTACAGGCGTGCACCACCACGCCCAGCTAATTGTATTTTTAGGAGAGACCGGATTTCACCATGTTGGCCAGGCTGGTCTTGAATTCCTGACCGCAGGTGATCCACCCGCCTCGGCATCCCAAAGTGCTGGGATTACAGGCATGAGCCACTGTGCCTGGCCAGTCTTTCTTTCATACTCAATTGCTACAAGGTTCTGGGGGGACTAAAGCAGTCATGTGTATCACAGGTCCAGCACCCCATATTCCCTTAACTTACTGCCATGACTGACTGACTGCAGGACCATAATATCTAAGACTGTTCCATATTAACAATCACGAACTCTAGTATTCTCTTCTCATCTTCCTGTTTCTTTCATCTCTTCCTCTGCCTTATTCTTCTATACTTAATCCCTGATCTCATGAAGACGCTGTCCCTTGATGACTATTTTGTCATCATCAGCCTCTACCTACATTGACTTTCTTCCTTGTCTAGCCCACACTCCTTGTTTTATTATTTACCCACATCAGTATCCACAATTTCTTTGCCTTTTGTGTTTCTTCCACTTTTGTCCAGCATACCTATTCTAGTTTAGTCTAGCCATTTGCTTTCTCTCCTCATATAGAAAGGTAATTGTATTAGTGAAAATCATGTAACCAGATTATTGCCATGATGATATGGCATGGTCCATAATGTAGCTCAGCCATTCTTTTCCTTTCTCACCCACAGCTACTATTCTAACTTTTATCGTTCCTTAAACCTACTCTACTTTTGACCTTGTACTTTCAGCAGCTGGCTTGGCTTTTTCAGAGGAAACAGAGACTCTCAGACATGAATACTGTGACACTGACCACCAGGCCAACTTAACATCAGCAGATATCCTGTCTCAGATGAAGAGGTATGTTTGATTTATTTCTTTTTTTTTTTTCTATCTACAGATGATCCAATATATGTCCTAGATCCCATTCATTCTGTCTCCTCTGGGGCCTTATTTCATCATTTAACCCTCCCTTTTTATCTTCAGTATACCCTTTCCCCACCTCCCTCCCCTGGCTTTATCTGCCCTATCCAACAAAACAAAAACAAAAAGAAAAACCATCAACTGGGATTATTCTCAGATTTCTTCTCTCTCTCCTTTTTTACAGCCACATTTAGAGAAAAAGGTAATCTTTTTTTCCCTTCCCTTACTTGTTAACTCTTCTACCCACAGAGTTCTGGCTTCCGCCACCTAATCATGCCACCAAGGACTTTGTGATTGCCAAACCCAAAATATCTTCTTAGGCTTCTTTTCTGCACTTGGCTCTGTAGACCATTTCCCAGTCTTGAACTTTCCTTGTTTCATTGTTTTCGCAAACATCAGTTTCTACCATTCTTCTCCCACCTCTTAGGTTATTTTAAATTTGCAGTACCAGTTCCTCTGGGATCTTGCTCTAGTGTGGGGTATCCAATTTTTTGGCATCCCTGGGCCATATTGGAAGAAGAAGAAATGTCTTGGGCCATACATAAAATACACTAACGATAGCTGATGAGCTCAAAAAATAAAAAATTGCAAAGAACTCTCAAAATGTTTTAAGAAAGTTTACAAATTTGTCTTGGGCCACATTCAAAGCAGTCCTGGGCCACATGGAGCCTGTGGGCTGCAGGTTGGACAAGCTTGCTCTAATACCTTTTCTATGCTTTTGTAGTCATTTTCTTCTCCTTGGCATCTAGACATGTTGAAGTTTGTCATAAAAATAAACAAACCTTTCCCTCTGTCCCCCTTCCCGCAGTTGTTGCTCTTTAAGGTTTTGTCCTTGATCTTTTTCTCTTTTCAGTTTCTGTTGTTCCCTATGAGTAATCTCTTAGCTTCAACCACCAGTTTAGGGAAATGACCTCCAAATCTCTCTTTAGCCTGGACTTCTTACCTGAGCTCCTGACGGTGACACCCTTACCCCAGTACCCAAAGTACCCGAAATGTATAGAGTTCAAAACCAACCTTCCCTCCCCAGACTTATTCCCTGTGTTTCCTGTTTCGTGAATGAGGCCAGTATCTGCTCAGTCACCCCAGTGAAAACTAAGAACAATCCTGAAATTCCATTTTTTAAAGTCATTCCACACACATTCAGCAGGTTAATTCTGCTGCCTGAATAGCTGTTCTTTGGAGCCTGTCTTTGTCCTCATGGCTGTGCTTTAGCAGCCAGCATCTCTTGACATTCACTGACTAACTAACTTGTCTCCCAGTTATCTCCTTCTTGTTTCTTTCATTATATTATCACCAGAACTGTGTTCCTAAAGTGCAGACCTGATCCCCTGCTTTCAGTTCCTCCATATAGTAAAATCTGAGCTCTGCCTGACATATATGAACTAGCTCCTTTCTTCCAAAACTTTGTTTTTCTGCGATTCTCCAGCATGCACACTGTGCTAAAACCATGCTAAACCATTAACTGTATCCTGGTCACAGCATGTAGTTTTCTTTGCACGAGCCATTCCTTGCTGGAATCCTGTCAACTTTTCCCCATAAAGTTTCTGCTCAAGCATTACTTTCTTTGTGATGCCACCACTAATTCCTTCTGTATGGCACTGTATAGTAATTACTCATCTGTCTCTCTCTCCACCAGACTAAAAACTGAGGGCTGACACTGAATTTCTTCATTTGTTTGTTGAATAAATGAGTAGCAATTAGCACAGTATCATCTGTGAACAGTGAACCATGATTCCTGTGTACTTTGGGTGATGATCAAATATTAACTTTGGGAAGGACCTCAAAAACAATGTAGGTCAGCTCTTCTTTTATCAGACGCAGAAACTGAGGACCAGCAAAGTTAAGGACCTTAAGCACCTGTTCCTCAGGCACATGATGCACATTGATGCCATCATGCCTTTACTTCTGTTCTCTGCCTAGAATGGACTGTTCCACCTGGCAAAACACTACTCTACTTATCCATGCACCTTGCTTTTCAGTGTTGTTCTTGGACTACCAGCATCAAAGTTATTAGGAGTGTTTATTTAAAATGCAGATTCCTGAACTCCATCACAGAGTTTTTGAACCAATCTCTGGAAGGGAATCCAGGAAGTCCATTTTAAGTGGAGTTTCACTGTATTAACCTAAAAAAAGAAAGGTCTCTACTTCCCCCTCTGCTTTCCCCTGCAAAACAAACACACAAGAAGAGAGAGAAAGATGGGCAGGGATGGGGGCTGGTAGAAAAGAATAAATACTGATTCCAAAATGAGAAAGGAACTGTCTTTGCATCTAGGTTTTAGTATATGCTGCCATAAACAGCTTTCAATAAATCTTTTGTGATTTTCATCTTTGTTACTTACAAAATGAACTAACTCAAAATTATATAGCAATAGCACAAAAAGTAATTGAAGCTTAAATTTATTATTGCTCATTCTTTAGCAAAACCTCACTCCAAAAAAATACTATTCAGTTCAGCATTCATTTTCAAAAGTTGGGGGGTGATTTTCAAAGGGATTCTTTTACATTTAGTGGTTGAGGGTAAGACCACTCTGAGACCCCAAAAGAGAACAAGGCCCAGCTTATTGCTGACATTTTACCATGGAATTGTAGGTGTCCTAAAGGGTAGTTGATGCCCCGTCACCTAACTTAAGACAAAGGTGTGAACAGGGTTGCTGTCTGCTGCATAAGTGAATGTTAGTTTGACTCATTCTTCCAGCTCAAATCGGTAGCAAGCAGCTGAGTTTTCCTTAAACCCAGCTTCTTTCCTGGCAAGAAGAATGTGGCTTAAAGAAATTTATACTGTCACCAATTATTTGGAGTTGAACAAAGTATTTACCTCCCCAATTTTAGCAACTGTATATTCTTGGTAGTACCTGCTTTTGATACATTTTTAAAAGTGTGTGGCTTATAGAGCTTTTATGTTAAGTTGCTCTGTAATTGGATCTTGATTCTCTGCATAAATCTGACTTTTCATATTATGAATAGTTGCAAAATAATCTGAGGAATTTTTATGTTCCTCAGATTAAATTTAGACCCTGATATTTACCAGTGTTGCCCAGTAAAACACTATTTTGCTTGCTTCTCAATTCACTTTTATCTTAATGAAAAGCAAGTGAGATTCAAATATAGCCATACTATTGACCTATAAATCAATCTATAGATCAGTTTTCTTGATCTATAGATTTATAGAGCAGTAGTATACCTATTTTGTGGGAAGGTCTGTCAAATTTAATATTTTGTTATGCACAGCTTACATTGACCTTTGTTTTAGTAGACAGTAACTAGTTATAAGTCGCATAAACTTAATATATACTTCAGTTAACTGATGTTTCTATAAAACCTGCATTTTTCTTCTTTTTTTTTTTAAATTATACTTTTTAAGTTCTGGGATACATGTGCACAATGTGCAGGTTTGTTACATAGGTATACATGTGCCATGTTAGTTTGCTACACCCATCAACTCGTCACTTACATTAGGTATTTCTCCTAATGCTATCCCTCCTCCAGCCCCCACCCCCCCACAGGCCCCGGTGTGTGATGTTCCCCTTCCTGTGTCCATGTGTTCTCATTGTTCAACTCTCACTTACGAGTGAGAACATGCCATGTTTGGTTTTCTCGTCTTGTGTTACTTTGCTGAGAATGATGAAAACCTGCATTTTAATAACACTACAGATAGCAGATATCGTGGCAGATTAAATACATATTTTTAAAAGTGCAAAATAAGACTATCCTGGATTCCTTTCAATGTGAATCTAACCATTTACAGCTTTTAAATGAACTGTGTGCATACTCCTGCGTAATTATCTTCAGTACACTGATAACATACTTTTACTTTGCAAATTAGGAGTGGCCTCAAGGGGCAGTTAGGATTGGTGATATATAAAAGTTCTCTAGTATCAAGTCTTCCTCTAGATGGAACTCTTCTATCTAGGTAAGAGTTCTAGTTTCTTATCTTGCTCAGTAAGATGCCAGCCTTATTGTCTAATTGGCTTTAAGAAAAAATAGTGACTGCTTACCAAGTGCTAGATACTGTGGGTTTGCTCTTCATATCTGTGGGCCTCTAATTTGTATGGATCCATTCTTAAGCAATATAAAACACCAGCACATCAGATTCTTGTGAGAGAGTAGAATCTAGAATTGTCCTTCCTAACTTTTTCTCAGAAGTTTGGCTGAAAGAAGTATTATTGCAGAAGGTCATTTAAAGACTGTGCAGTCCATTCATCACTCCCTATGGATCAAGCTGGACCACTCAGACTTATGTACTTGGACTATATTACATTAATTACTTAAAGCATTAGTTTCAGTGAGTCATGCCAGGGTGATTTTGTCCACCAGGAGACATTTGACAATGTCTGGAGACATGTTTGATTGTCATAACTTGGAGGGTCTGGGGAGGGGGTGCTCTTGGCATTCAGTATGCAGAGGCCAGGGGTGCTGCTAAATGTCCCACGATGCACAGGACAGCCCCACAACAATGTTTCACCCCAAATATTAGTGCCCAGTTGAGAAACCCTGATTTAGATGGTCAAGGAGCCTAAGGAAAGGTACAAGACACAGAAAGAGGAACGAACTTAAGGTATTTGTTGGACTGTAAGGAGAGCTGCCGGACTGGAGAGTGTTTCCAGGTGGGATCTGTGGTGAAAGGTAAGACTCAATATATGGATAAGTCTGTGTGTATACGGCCTTAAAGAATCACAGTAGATTTGAAGTTTATCCTGTAATGACAGTAGCATTTACAGAAAGTTTCTGTTGGAAATAGAAAAAAAATGGAAAACATATGAGTATAGAAGAAAAACAATTGAAATTCCACTTTTAAAAGTGATATATTTTCCTTCTCCTTACCCCTTCAAAAATAAATCAGAATAACACTGTATGTAAAAGTTTTGTGATGTGATCTTTATGTAACATTTTGAGGATTTTTCCTTATTAAATAGTCTTTGTGGCCAGGCATGGTGGCTGGTGCCTGAAATCCAAGGACTTTGGGAGGCCAAGGTGGGAGGATCACTTGAGGCCAGAAGTTTAAGACCAGCCTGGGCAACAACATAGCAAGACCCTATCTCCAAAAAAAAAAAAAAAAAAAAAATTAATACCTGGGTAGGGTATTGCCTACCTGTAGTCCTAGCTACTTGGGAGGCTGAGGAAGGAGGATCCCTTGAGCCCAAGAGTTCAAGAATACAGTGAGCTATGATAGCACCATTACACCACATCCTAGGTGACAGAGTGAGACCTCATTTAAAAAAATAATAATCAATTAGCCAGGCGTGGTGGTGGGCACCTGTAGTCCCAGCTACTCGGGAGGCTGAGGCAGGAGAATGGCGTGAACCCGGGAGGCGGAGCTTGCAGTGAGCCAAGGTTGCGCCACTGCACTCCAGCCTGGGTGACAGAGTGAGACTCTGTCTCATAATAATAATAATAATAATAATAATAATAATTTTGAGAAATGTGATTTTTAACAGCAACATGATATTCCAATGTGTTTCTATTATACATAATGTTGCAGTGAATGTTACGCCCAAACTCTTTTTCCCCAATATTTCTGATACTTGCCTTAGGATAATTTCCAAGACATGAAATCACTGAGGCAAAGGATGTGAATATGTTTAGGCAATTTGTACAGCTCTAGTTAGTTAAAAGCTTGTCAATATTCTTATGCTATGACATTTTCACCAAGTCTTTTTATTGTCTTATGTTTTTTCTCTTCCTTGTTCTATGTTTAATGTTAACATTTTATCTGTATTTTATAACCTTATTTTTCATTTTTCATCATAGACAGTTAATCAGAGACTTACTCCAACCCAGAAGTTTATACCAAAAGACTTGATTAGCGCAATAAAAGCACTAAATGAGGAGCTCGGATTAATTATTGATTTAACATACACCACAAGATATTATGAAGTTAAGGTAAAGTTGCAAATGTATATTGTTATCATGGGTAGGTCTTAAAATAGAAAGTTTGTTTTTTGTTTTGTTGTTATTTTGTTTTTTTAAGACAGAGTCCTGCTCTGTCACTCGGGTTGGAGTGCAGTGGCGTGATCTCGGCCCACTGCAACCTCCGCCTCCTGGGTTCAAGTGATTCTCCTGCCTCAGCCTTCTGAGTAGCTGGGATTACAGGCGCCCGCCACCACGCCTGGCTAATTTTTGTATTTTTAGTAGAGGTGGGGTTTCGCCATGTTGGCCAGGCTAGTCTCAAACTCCTGACCTCAGATGATCTGCCCACCTCGGCGTCCCAAAGTGCTAGGATTACAGGCGTGAGGCACCACATCTGGCAAGAATTTTTTTTTTAATACTGCACTTGGAAAGTGAATTAAGATATTCTCTTGGTTATTTTAATATTAATTTCAGAATTGCCCATGAATAATCTCTTAGCAATGTTTTTAGTCCTTCATATACTCATACAATATTCTTTTTCTAAAAACCATTGGTTGTGCAAAGAGGAAAAAAAACACTGAACTTATCCTTTTAAAAAAGCAAAATAACTAGAAGGAAATATAGTTGCAAATAGGAAAAGTGAAAAAGGGACAGAGAAACAAAAGGAGGGAAAGACAGCAATATGATGAAAACGGAAGAAATAAAAACGTAAGTGAGATGGGTATTACAACAGTAATTTTTGAACTTTAACAGAGAAATCTTTCAATTAAATCTTGCTCCGAAGCCCGTTATATAAAGCAGATATGGTAAGTGGGGAGTTGGGTTGGTTGAAGCAGGGGATTGAGGATCCAGACTTAGTCCACTTGACATGATAATTATTCTCCTTCCTTCACTTTCCACCCACAGACTAAGGGGCAGAAGGACACTTCGAAGAGCAGAATTTTAAAACCCTGCTCTAGAGGAAAATAATTTTTAGACCTTATGAGAAAACTAAAAATTGCAGTGACAAGATATGAAAGCATCTGTCTTAGCAGTTCACATGAAAAAGTGGAATTTTACTAGATGCAGTATGATGCCAGTGATTAAAAAGCTAATGCACTTTTAAAGTCTGATATTTTAAAGTTCCAGATTTAAGTCAAAGGAAATAGTAGTTTTACTATGCATGTGGATGGTTCTACCATTTTTCAAGTGTTGAGTTCAATGGTAATACTAAATTTTCTTTCTTTTTTTTTTTTTTGAGATGGAGTCTCGCACTGTCGCCCCAGTTGGAGTGTAATGGTGCGATCTCGGCTCACTGCAAGCTCCGCCTCCCGGGTTCATGCCATTCTCCTGCCTCAGCCTCCTGAGTAGCTGGAACTACAGGTGCCCGCCACCACGCCCGGCTAATTTTTTGTATGTATTTTTAGTAGAGACAAGGTTTCACTGTGTTAGCCAGGATGGTCTCGATCTTCTGACCTCGTTATCCGCCCGCCTCAGCCTCCCAAAGTGCTGAGATTGCAGGCGTGAGCCACCGCACCCGGCCTATAATACTACATTTTAAATCACTAAAAATTCAAGATGGATAATGACTGAGTCTCATGTCTCCTATAATATAGTAGTAAGACAGTTAAATTCTTTCAAGACTTCAGTTTTTGACCTCCACAAAGACAGCAATTAGAAATTGATTTTCTGAGGTCCCCTTTGGCTCCAAAATGCAATGATTAAAGTTTTCATTGACCCTGCTTACTGCCTTTATAGAAATAATTCCCAATATGTGGAAAGGGAATGCAGAGAATCTTAAATGGGACATAATCACTACAGTTGTTTGTATTTGGAGTATATAGAATTAGAGCCAATGACAACAAGGTGGATTTTTTTTTTATTGTTTAGTTTAATACTTTTACAACCTTAATTTTAAGGGATAAGAGACCATTTTCAGCTTAGGTGTTGATAGTGCTAGAGTTTCAAAGTGTGGAATATGTGATAAAGGATTTTTATGTAAAATTAGACATAGTATTAAAACCAGAGCTAGACAGTAAAGAAAGCAGTAAAAAATAGATTTTACTCAGGAACTATTGGAATAAAGTAAGGGACTTGAGTATAGAACTGTGCTCAGTTCTGAAAAGAAGAAGAATAAGGGGGGATTCATACCAAGGAACAGAGTGGGGTCGGTGGATGGAAAATTCCTAGGAGGAAACATCAAGGTAAGAGGTAATTCTGGTTAAACAGACCTAACAGGATTCTTGCTGAAGGCAGGCCAGGATGATCAGACAACACCTCGGGGGCAATGGAGGATGAGGAATTTGATCAGATATTGAAGGAGGTCAGATATGAGGATGGGATTCTTACAAAACTGACTTAACAGGATTCTTGCTCTTGAGGACAAGGCCCAAGTACCGGGCCTAGTAGAGAATGGGCTCAAAGGAACCTGACTAAATTTTGCTTAAGGAGAGTCTTTGTCAGTAGTCATCATACTTAAATTGTTTATTTTTGCCAAGTACCTCTTACCAAAGCTTTATAAGCATTTAATTGTGCTTCTCATTATGAGAACAGATAAAAGAAAAGGCTATTAAAAGAAAAGGAATTGTTATTAGCCAATTCATAAAGTAGGAGAGAGTTGTTAGACCCAAGATTTCAGAGTAAGAAAAAAAAAATGACGCCACTGGGACTTCTGCTTTCAGATAAGAGGAAGTAACAGGGACCAGATTAACCCTCCCACCTGAAACAACAAAAAAAAAAGTGAAGAAAATATATGAAACAACAATTTCCAAGAAGTTGGATATCAGGCAATGAAGGACAGTGATCTCTGAGAAATGTTCCAGCTTGCTGCCTTGAGAGAGTTTCCAGGTCATGGTGCAGAAAGTGGGAATCATGATGGAGCAAGTCACTGCCAAGTTAAGGGGACAGAACTGAGACGCCTGGGAAACCAAGGCAGCTAGCACTGGACAAGAGAGTACTGCCCAGGGAGAGTATTCTAGGGTACTCTTTACCAACCCTCAGATACTTTCCTGGAATGCAGAAGGTTTCCCTGCATTTCAGGAAAGTACCTGAGGCTGGAGAAAGAGCTACTCTAGAAGATTAGAAGGAACAGTACTTGGAGCTCACTTAGGGCTGGCAATAGGGACTTTTCCCACCAGCCATTATGAGGTTATGGAAAACCTCATAATTCACAGGATACTGGGTAGCATTCAGAAGAGCCTTGTCTCAATAGTGGGAAATAATGAGCCCTAGACTAAACACTACTCTGATCTATGGAAAACCTCATAATAGTAAGGAATAATGAGCTCTAGACTAAACACTACTCTGATCTATGGAAAACCTCATAATTCACAGGATGCTGGGTAGAGTTCAGAAGGGCCTTGTCTCAATAGTGGGGAATGAACTCTAGACTAAACACTACTCTGATCTTACCTAATAAGTCTTAACAGCGAGACCTGAAAGGATCAAACTGTTTCCAAGTAACTGCTTCCTGAAACAAAGCTTAAGAGTATTTGTAGGAATCCAAAAAAGATACAGTCCTATGAGTTTGGGTTACTTTTCTCCTTCTAATTTTTCTGTTTCTGTTCTGAAAATGTGGGAGGTTGCATGGGATAATGAAAAAAGTATTAGATTAGAAATCAGGAGAGCTGAGTTTTTGTCTAGTTCTGCTACCGACTTACCATGTGACCATGGTCAAGGTTTTCTTTTTTCTTGTCACAAGTGACCCCAGTACATGGAGGGATTTGGATCAAACAAATTCTGAAAAATTCTTAAACTCTAAAATGAAATTGTCTTCAGGCCTTCTATATTTGCTCAAAAGAATCAGGAACACTAAAATGCAGAAAAGATTACTTGATTCTACTTAGTTTTACTAATTGTTTTATCAAGCATAAGGGATTCTAATTTGTTACAAAAATTTAAATCATTTAAAATCAATTTGTGAATTTCTCTTAAAGTTAGTCATTTACTGGATAAACCAAATTATATATGATGTTTATTCATTTTAATATTTTTTATTTCAATAGTTTTTGGGGAACAGGTGATGTTTGCTTACGTGCAGAAGTTCTTTAGTGGTGATTTCTGAGATATTGGTGCACCCATCACCCAAGCAGTGTACACTGTACCCAATGTATACTCTTTTATCCCTCATCCCCTCTCCCAGCCTTTCCCCCAAGTCCCCAAAGTTCATTGTATCATTCTTATGCCTTTGTGTCCTCATAGCTTAGCTCCCACTTATGAGTGAGAACATACGATATTTGGTTTTCCATTCCTGAGTTACTTCACTTAGAATAATGGTCTCCAGTTCCATCCAGGTTGCTACAAATGCCATTATTTCATTCCTTGTTGTGGCTGAGTGGTATTCCCTCGTGGGTGTGTGTGTGTGTGTGTGTTTGTGTGTGTGTGTATACACACCACATTTTCTTTATCCACTCGTTGATTGATGGGCATTTGTACTGGTTCCATATTTTTGCAGATTTTGCAATTGTGAATTGTGCTGCTGTAAACAAGTGTGTGTAAGTATCTTTTTTGTATAATGACTTCTTTTCCTCTGGGTAGATACCCAGTAGTGGGATTGCTGGATCAAATGTAGTTCTACTTTTAGTTCTTTAAGGAATCTCCACACTGTTTTTCATAGTGGTTGTACTAATTTACATTCCCACCAGCAGTGTAAAAGTGTTCCCTTTTCACCACATCCACACCAACATCTATTTATTTTTATTTTTTTGATTATGGCTATTCTTGCAGGAGTAAGGTAGTATTGCATTGTGGTTTTGATTTGCATTTCCCTGATAATCAGTGATGTTGAGCATTTTTTCATATGTTCGTTGGCCATTTGTATATCTTATTTTGAGAATTGTCTATTCATGTCCTTAGCCCACTTTTTGATGGGACTGTTTGTTTTTTTCTTGCTAATTTGTTTGAGTTCCTGTAGATTCTGGATATTAGTCCTTCATTGGATGCATAGATTGCAAAGATTTTCTCCCACTCTGTGGGTTGTCTGTTTACTCTGCTGATTACTATTATTATTATTATTATTATTATTATCTTGCTGTGCAGAAGCTTTTTAGCTTAATTAAGTCCCATCTATTTATCTTTGTTACATTTGCTTTTGGGTTCTTGGTTATGAAGTCTTCGCCTAAGCCGATGTCTAAAAGGGTTTTTCCAATGTTATCTTCTAGAATTTTTATGGTTTTAGGTCTTAGATTTAAGTCTTTTATCCATCTTGAATTGATTTTTGTATAAGGTAAGAGATGAGGATCCAGTTTCATTCTTCTACATGTGGCTTGCCAATTATCCCAGCACAATTTGTTGAATAGGGTATCCTTTCCCCACTTTATGTTTTTGTTTGCTTTGTTGAAGATCAGTTGGCTGTAAGTGTTTGACTTTATTTCTGGGTTCTCTCTTCTATTCCATTGGTCTATGTGCCTCTTTTTATACCAGTGCCATGCTGTTTTGGTTATTATGGCCTTATAGTATGAAGTCGGGTAATGTGATATCTCCAGATTTGTTCTTTTTGCTTAGTCTTGCTTTGACTATGTGGGCTCTTTTTTGGTTCCATATGCATCTTAGGATTGTTTTTTCTAGTTCTGTGAAGAATGACAGTGGTATTTTGATGGGAATGCATTGAATTTACAGATTGCTTTTGGCGGTATGGTCATTTTCACAATATTGAATCTACCCATCCATGTACATGGGATGTGTTTCCATTTGTTTGTTGGTTAGGTATTTAACATACCATATAATTCACCCACTTCAAGCATACAATTTAATGATTTTTATTAAATTTACCTATTTATGCATCTATTACTGTACATCAGTTTTAAAACACTTCTATCTCCCTAATAAGAACCTTCATGTTCATGAATTGTTCATTCCTATTCCCCCACCCCAGGCAACAATTAATGTAGTTTCTGTCTCTAGAGATTTGTCTCATGTGGACATTTCATATAAATGGAATCATACAATATTGGTCTCTTGTGTTTGGCTTCTTTCGTTTAGCATAATGTTTTTGAGGTTTGTCCATGATATACAGCATATATCAGTAGTTCATTTGTGTTTTTGCTGAATAATAGTACATTATATGGATATACCACATTTTGTCTACCTATTCATCAGTAGGTGGTGTGAAAGGAAAATTAATCTTGGGGCCCCAAAATCACTAAGCTAAAGGGAAAAGTCAGGCCTGGACTGCTTAGGGCAAACCGGCCTCCCATTGTATTCAAAGTCACCCCTCTACTCACTGAGATAAATGCATATCTGATTGCTTCCTTTGGAGAGGCTAATCAGAAACTCAAAAGAATGCAGCCATTTGTCTCTTATCTACTTATGACCTGGAAGCCCCCTCCCAGCTTTGAGTTGTCCCACCTTTCCAGACAAAACCAGTGTTCATCTTATATATTTGATTTATGTCTCATGTCTCCCTAAAATGTATAAAACCAAACTGTGCTCTATCTTGGCCACATGTCATCAGGACCTCCTGAGGCTGTCTCACAGGCACATGTCCTCAACTTTGGCAAAATAAACTTTCTAAATTAACTGAGACCTATCTCAGATATTCAGGGTTCACAGTGGACATTTCAGTTGTTTCCCATTTTTGGCTACTGTTAATAAGGTTGCTAAGAACATTCATATGGAGGTCTTTGTATGGATATATGTTTTCATTTCTCATGGATTGATATCTAGGAGTGAAATTTCTGGGTCATATGGTAAATTTATATTTAACTTTTAAACAAATTGCCCAACTATTTAAGGTGAGTTTAGCCTTGCCAATATTTGTTATTGTCTATCATTTTTATTTATTATTTTAGTGGGTTTGAAAGGGTATGTCATTGTGCTTTTAATTTGCATTTCCCTATTTATAATTTGCATTTTGTATTCCTGAGTGGCTTTCTGCCATTATCCCATTTAGATTCATTCTTTACAATAAAGCTTAAGATTATTGGCAATAGAATTTAATTATCACTATAAGAATAGATCACTACCCCATTTCCCTTTTTATTAGTCTTTGCCTTATTCTTAGAAAAATTTTCCTTTTTTTTTTAAAGAAAAAAATCTTTCATTTCTACAGAATGTGATTCCTTTTTAGCTCTAGGATCTCACTGTCCCTATCACTTTCCTCTCTGGCATCTTAAATCTCCCTTGCCGCTTTCCTCTTACTTTCAAATATACCTAGAAGTATTCTGTTGGTTTCTATTCTCTTGTATGAACTACTATTCCACTTTCTTGTTGTGCCTATTGTCAAACATTTGAAAACACCTTGGCTGTGATCACCACCTCCATTTCTTTACTGTCCCATTCTCTTCTTAAATGTGTGGTTTGTTTTCACCACTTAATGAAATTGCCTTCTCAGAAATCACCAACAATCTAGCCAAATCCTGCAGCCTTTTCTTTGCAGCATCTGGCATCTACACATACAGATTGAGAATGCCAAATCCAAATATCTGAAAATTGAAATGCTCCGAAATATGGAACTTTTTGAGCACCAAACTGACACTCAAAGGAAATGATCATTAGAGCATTTCAGATTTCAGATTTTGGGATTATGGATGCTCAACTGGCATAGTGCAAATATGCCAAAATCCACAAAAATCTGAAATCTGAAACACTTCTGGGCATTATGGATGAGGGATCCTCAACCTGTACTTATATTTTTTTATTTTGAACACAGTAATTATCCAGGTTTGCCTCTTTTCTGATAGCTCTCAATCACTTTGGTTGTCTCCTATTCTTCTCACTGTAGAGGTTTTATAAAACTCTTTCTTTGGCTTTGCTTTTATTCCCATTCTCTTGTCACTTTGGCTGTCATGTCTGCCAGATGACCCCTAAATGTTTCGCATACCTCAGTTATGTACAAAATCCCCACTTCTCTAAGGAACACTTTCTTTTCAAATCACAGGTCTTTGGGATAGTTTATATAGCTCATAAAAAGAATGAATGTTTTATGTATATTTGTTTCTTTGACACCATATCTGTTTTGTTTGCATTATGATCTTTCAGTGTTTCATAAGCTAAATAAAATCAAACCAGAAACTGAATTTTGCCTGAAAGCTAGGGATTTCCTTCTCAGTATTTATTCAGGTATTCTGGGAGGAAAATTTATTGGTTCCTAATTTCTTATAAGAGCTGCTTGATAAAATGTTCTCTCCTTATAGTCTTCTTCCCTTTGCAACCTTTTACTTGTGCTTGTTTTTAGTCCCTACCTAAAGAAATGTTCTTCCCAATAGATGACATCTGAAAATTAACAATACCAGAAAATTAACTCTGGGGATCTTTTACTAGAATTCATATAAGTCATTTTCTGAGCTCATGTCAACATTAATATCCATCTAAGGTTGTGATTGCTATTTATAGATACTAATATATAATTTTTCCCTGAGAAGATTGCTTTTATAACATGCCTGGATGTCAGTTTTCTACTTTATGAAACTAAGCAACACTGGAACAATTCAAAAATCTTAGTGTCTTTTAGCCTAAACTCAGTGGCATATTCCTAAAGAATACTTTCCATTTAATTTTATCTTCTCTAATGAAGATAATGGTATTCATGCAACATCTTTTATATGCTGTATGGTACTCAAGCAACATCTTTTATATGCTGCTTAGCAACTCTGTTAAGCACCTCTATGTGCCAGGCATACAGCTCAACACTAGACCTACAGAGGTCAGAAGGAGCCCTTGCCTTCAAGGAGATAGGTAAGTAAACCAGCAAATAGACACTTTATCCATTCCACAAGTGTTTATGGAATACCTACTGTGTCCTGGCACTCTGCTTAGCTCTGAGGATTCAGCAATGAATAAGACAGGTGTGAAAATAAGTAATTCAAAATCTAAGCTGTTGGAACTCCAAACTATTTTGATCCTTAAAGAAATGTGATTATGGGGCCTGAGTCACGTTACAAGCAGCTGTAACCTGGGAAGCTGTAATCTTTGTTTCTATGATTATAGATTAACCTTCCTCCTTGCTTACATTGTTGTACAAAATGTTACAAATGACTAAAGGGCTCCAGGAAAGACCCCTTCCCTGTTACTGTTGATTTTTATTATAGATTAACTTCCCTTTTAGTTTCTCACCCAAAGGTTTCATGGCTATCACACCGTGTTAAGATGGAGTGTTAAATACCTCTTTTAAATCAGAAAGGAAATGAAAACCAACTGTAAAGAAAACAAGCCATACAGAAAAGAAACTCATAAACTAGCGTTCTAGAAAATGTTATAAACCTACTAAACTTCTTTGTTTTCTGCCTATATATGCAATAATTTAACTTTGAACTTTGGAACACTGACTCTATTTCTCTGGAGTCTGTGTCTCCCAAATGGCTATTCCCAGCTTTTTACTTGAATAATCTCGACTGGATTTTGATCCTTTTGATTATTTCAGGTTAACCCAGACCAGGCCATGAAGATTGTAAATCTGTGTGGGCTTGCAAGGCCTTATATGATGGGATTTTGCACTTGCTGTTTCCTCTGCCTAGAATGCTTTATCTTTGCATGGCTCGGTTCAAATGTCACCTTCTCAGAGGGCCAGCCTTCCATGACTGTCTTATTTAGTGCTGTTCCTCTCTTCTAGTCACTGTTGATTGTATGATCTTGATTTCCTTCAAAGCACTTATTACTATCAGAGATGATGTGTGTACTTGCTTTTGGTCTGTCCCTCTTGAGGACAGGGACTTTGATTGATTTGGTATCTCTAAGTGTTTAAACGGTATCTGGAATATTTTGGGCACCTAAAACACATTTGATGATGGGATGAAACAACGAATGTGTGGATGGTGCTGGAGAAAGGCATTCAACAAATAAGGCAATTTCAGATAGTGAAAGT
This sequence comes from Homo sapiens, assembly GCF_000001405.40. Classification (NCBI taxonomy): domain Eukaryota; kingdom Metazoa; phylum Chordata; class Mammalia; order Primates; family Hominidae; genus Homo; species Homo sapiens. The sequence goes on along the minus strand of NC_000010.11, from coordinate 95,889,141 downwards.
ATGGGTACTCAGAGAAGGTTAATGGAGAAGTGGAGTCAGTATTCTGATGTCTGAGCAGAAATGTAAAGGAAGAGTTGGCTAGGCAAAGAAAACAATGTAAGCTGGATCACAGAGGTGTGAAAGCATGGCGCATGGGGGATTCACAAGTAGTGAGAATGCCTAGATTATAGGTTCACCTAGGGGCAGATAGCAAGGGTGAGAGCTCCAAGGAGCTGACTTGTCTTACGAAGATTTGAATTGCAACCTAAAGGCAAAATGTAGTCACAGAGGCATTTTATGTAGAAGTCACATAATAAGTTATGTATCTTAGATCATTCTGGCACCAGAGAGTAAGATAGATTCGAATAGATAGGTTACATGTAGGAAAAAAGGTATTTTCCCTGCTCTCACACAGCTACTCAACACTTCTGACTCCAGATGTGTGGGGATTTTCCCACAAACATCAAGCAGTTCTGCTATGTACACCATCTGGGTGTCCGCTAATTCAATTCTGTTGACACTATCTACCTGGAGATAGCATCAGATCCCATAGGTTGAGGACTTAGTCTTACAAAACTGTCCCCCACTTCAGATGCCAATCACAAGCCCCAGGTTGCAGTCTGTACTTCTGACAACTATAAATCAGAGTTCCCACAACCCCTCCTAAATCATTCTATTAATTTCCTAGAGTGACTCACAGTATGCGGGGAAACACTTATGTTTACCCATTCATTAAAAAGGACATTGCAAAGGATACAGAGGAACAACCAGACAAGAGATGCACAGGGCAAAGTACGCGGGAAGGGGAGCCAGGCTTCCATGCCCTTTCCAGGCAAGCCACCTTCTAGGAACCTCCGCATGTTCAGCTATCCAGAAGTTGTCCAAACCCAAGCCTTTTGTATTTTTATGGAAGCTTCGTTAGGTAGGATGATGGATTAAATTACTGGCCATTGGCAAGGAGATTAACCTACAGCCTTTCTCCCCTCCCCAAAGGTTGGGGGATAGAGCTGAAAGTCCCAACACTTTAATCCTGCCTTGGTTTTTCTGAGGACCAGTCCCCGTGCTGAGGCTATCAGGGGCCCCAATCACCAGTCATCTCAGTAGTATACAAAAGGCACTCTTACCACTCTGGAGATTCCAAGGGTTTTGGGAGTTGTATGTCAGGAAATGGACTATGACCAAATATATGTTTCACAGTATCGAAGAATGGAAGTAGGTTGGGGGCACAGAGATTAGTGTGGGAACAATTACAGAAATTAAAGGAAAAATTAATTAGGGGCCTAATCTAAGGCAGTGGCAGAAGAGATGGTGAGGAAAACAGTTGAAGATTTTTAAAGAGAGACTTATTAAAATAATGGCAAAGAGATGTAGGTGAGTGAGTTGGGGGGAAGAATGGGTTGATTCCCAGGTTTCTCACTTGGTACCAATCACCCAGGTTGATGCATTAAGTAGAGAAGAGATAATTAGCTTCACCAGCTCTCAAAGTCATTGAACTGCTGGGGCACAGGTGCCTGCAGTTGTGTACGTAGTCCTTTGGCTAAAATCTGAAGGATAACCCTCGTAATGCTTTAATGAAACACAGCTTTGCTCATCTTGGCAACCTGTGCTGACTGCTGTCTATAAAACTTCTAGCTGTACCAGTTTGGGTGTAAGGATATGGTGTTTGTCTTCTAAGAAATCTTAGCTACTGGCCAGGCACAGTAGCTCACACCTGTGATCCCAGCACTTTGGCTGAGCCAGGAGGATCACTTGAGCCCAGGAGTTCAAGACCAGCTTGGGCAACATAGGAAGATCCCACCTCTACAAAAAATAAAAATTTAGCTGGGTGTGGTAGTGTGTACCTTGGTCCAAGCTACTTGGGAGGTTGAGGCAGGAGGATCACTTGAGCCTGGGAGGTTGAGTGTGCAGTGAGCCATGGTGGTGCCACTGTACTCCAGCCTGGGTGACAGAGTGAGACTCTGTCTCTCAAAAAAAGAAAAAGTCCTGGGTACCTATTAGAGAACAAAGTTATTCCCTCAACAGGCAATTCAGATGCTTATTTTCTTTTGTTCCTAGAATAGAGTTTTGAACTTAATTATACATTAGAATTTATTATGACATTTTTTTAACCTGATGTCTGGTCCCATCCAAGAGCAATTACATCAAAATTAAAAAGTGATCATTTCATGTACCCATGTCTGAGAACCTTCTAGATTCACTGCCCTCATGAATCAGAGTTCTATTTTACATCCCTACTTTTTGGGTTGATACTTGGACCAGAGAGGAAATTGGAAATTTGAGTTTGTGATCAGTGCCAATGGGTTGATTTTCCATTGCTGCTATTACAAATTATCGCAAATTTAGTGGCTTAAAAAACCTTACAGTTCCGTAGGTTAGAAGTCCAACGAGGGTCTCAGTGGGCTAAAATCAGGTGTCACCAGGCCTGCATTCTTTCCTGGAGGCCCTACAGGGGATTTGTTTCCTTGCCTTTTGCAGCTTCTAGATGCCACCCACACTTCATGGATATTGGCCCCCTTCCTTCATCTTCAAAGTCAACAACTTTGCATCTCTGTGTAACTTTCACCCATAGTCACATCTCCACAGCCAGAAAGGTTCTCCAGTTTTAAGAGCCTATGTAATTAGATTGTAAATATGGACCAGCTTTGACTAGCCATTTTAGGTCAAATACTACTTCGGTTCTTCATAAATATTTGTTGGACTGAATTGAAAATATGAGGTTTAAGCGTTTGTCTAGTTTAAAAGGATGACACTGGTCTTGGGGACCCACAAATGACTACTTTTGTTGTTTTCCCACTGTCTAGCTTTAAGTGATCTGTCTTTTCTGGGAGTCATTTTTTTTTTTTTTTTTTTTTTTTTTTTTTTTTGAGACAGAGTCTCACCCTGTCACCCAGGCTGGAGGATAGTGGCACGATTTCGGCTCACTGCAACCTCCACCTCCTGGGTTCAAGCGATTCTCCTGCCTCTGCCTCCCAAGTAGCTGGGACTACAGGCACACACCACCATGCCTGGCAAATGTTTTTTTTGTATTTTTAGTAGAGACAGGGTTTCACCATGTTGGCCAGGCTGGTCTCAACTGCCTCACCTCAGGTGATCTGCCCACCTCGACTTCCCAAAGTGCTGGGATTACAGGCATGAGCCACAACACCTGGCCCACTTTTCTTTTCTATAAAATGAAAAATTTGGATTTGATGATTGCAAGGTCCCATGAACATTTAAAATACGCTTGGGTACTTCTAGGACCCAAATATTGGTTACATACTACTGCTTACATGATTTTGATTTTCTGTGAGGCTGTAGAGCTAACATGAAAATAAACTGCCTGAAAATTTTAAGAAACACCTACCAGGTCTGGGTTCCAACGAATGATAGCTGAAAAGGAAATTCAGGTGTCTAGGTAAGCTACAGCTCAGAAAGAGGAAAGGCTTGTAGAGGGTGAGTATCAAGATATTTCAGACTAGAGGGCTGGATGCAGTGGTTCATGCCTGTAATCCCAGCACTTTGGAAGGCCGAGGTGGGTAGATCACCTGAGGTCAGCAGTTCCAGACTAGCCTGGCCAACGTGGTGAAACCCTGTCTTTACTAAAAATACAAAAATTAGCCGGGCATGGTGGCAGGCGCCTGTAATCCCAGCTACTTGGGAGGCTGAGGCAGGAGAATCGCTTGAAGCTGGGAGGCAGAGCTTGCAGTGAGCCAAGATCATGCCATTTGCACTCCAGCCTGGGCAACAAGAGCGAAACTCTGTCTCAAAAAAAAACAAAAAAACCCAGATATTTCAGACTAAATGTAGTCCTCAGAAAAAGGCAGGTCCTGCTCAAGTAATTTGGAGGTCAGTATTGGAAAGAAAACTAGAGTTATCTGGGAGGATTTATTCAAACTGGCCAGAAATAATTTGAATTAGGAATAGATTAGACTTAAGTAAAATTTTCCTGAACTCATGTTGACTCATGTACTAAATAGAACAGGGCTGGCCACTGCTTTGTACTTAAAATCAATTACCTCGTTGGAAAGAGACAATATAACTTTTTGGCTGTCTTAGTTAAGACTGCTGTTAACAAAAATACCATACACTGGGTAGTGTAAACAACAGAAATTTATTCCTTACAGTTCTGACAGCTGGGAAGTTCAAGATCAAGATGCCAGCTCATTCAGTTCCTGGTGAAGGCTCTCTTCCTGGTTTGCAAACAGACACCTTCTTGCTGTATCCTCACATATCCAAGAAAGAGATCATCTCTTTTATGTCTCTTCTTATAAGAGCACTATTCCCATTCATGAGAGCTCCACCCTCATGACCTAATTACTCCTCAAAGTCTCCACATTTAAATGCCATCACACTTGAGGATTAGGGCTTCAACATATAAATTTTAGGGGCACACAAACATTCAGTCCATAGCATTAACTAAGAACATGGGCTGCACAGCCAGAAAGCCTATGTTTAAATTTCACTGCTTCCACTTTATGATTTTTGTACTGCAGTTTTCTGAACTATAATATGGAGATAATACCTCACAGGTTGTTGTAAGAATTAAATGAGTTAATACAAGTAAAGCTCTTAGCACAGTGCCAAATATGGTAGGAGCTCAATAAGTGTTAGCTATTAGCTCTGAGATTTATACCTCAAATAGTCATTACTTATGTACTAAAGGACTGTACAGGAATCCCTATCCAGCTAAAATTCCTTTTAAACAAAATTATAATATGCATAATTTTTTCTGTAGAATTTCAGATTGATTATATGCATCTTATAAGTGATGAAGTAAAAACATGTTTAAAGTCATGGGATACTTGTGTATTATCTACAACAAGAAAAAAATGGAATTTATAACCATCTATTGAAGCAAGAGTTCTTGAAAAGTCTCTAATGAAGAGAGGAATAGTAAGCAAAATTAGTACTAAATCTCCACTATTAAAGATATTAAAATGCCATTATTATCTTGTATACTGTTTTGATTATATTTTGGTGAAGCTAAAAATACTTATAAGGGCTCATTAGTTAATTCAGTACTTCAGTACCCATAACCTATTTCCCACTTCCTCTCTATCTCTTCCTTTAAACTTTCCTCATAGTGCCTATTCTTTAAACCCTTAATAATTTTTATGCTCTCTTGGCCACAGGAGAAAATGGGTATATCCTAACAATTGAAAATACTCTCTAAAATTGTGCTTGATGATGTATTATTCTTGTTTCCACTACGACAAATGGCAACATATCTATAGATTCCCAAGATATGAATGGTGTGTAGATTTGCCTTTTTCTTATTTTGTGTTCAGCTTATGTTTCTAAAAGCCTGTGACTGTTTCTGATTGAATTTTAAGCTTCTGTTGTTTATTGATATTTTTCTTCTAGTAATCTTGGAATGGGTGTCTGGGGTTCAGATGAAGATGCAAATCCCCCAACCAATAATTCTATGGAAGAATCCAGAGAATAGCCTCCAAATAAAGACTTTCATGGCATTAGTAACATGATTTTAAATGAATATTTTATAAAAATTATGAAACATATTTTTTAAATAATAGCAGAGTAGTGGGGGAAATCCATAGGATTGGGAATCAGGAAATTTGGGTTCAAATCTTAGCTCTGCCACTTGTTAATTGTATGTGACCTAGAGTAAGTGATAACTTTTTTAGGCCACAGATATTTAATTTATAACATACAGGAGATGGACCAGATCAGTTAGCTATTCTTATGCTGTATTCTAAAAACATAGTGTTTCATGAGATATTGTTAGTTTTACAGGAATAAAAAGTATTTTTTTAAGTCAAATAAGTTTGGGAAATGCAGCCCACTATGACCATGAACATTCACTCATTAAAAGCATTAGAAATCCTGAAGGAATTTATTAAATTGTATTTAGCTCAGCATTTTCCCAACTTATTTAAGCACAGAACTCACTTTTTTTCCCCACAGAACAAGCATTATGATATGGGACAGTAATGTTCTCCAAACTGGGAAATGTTGAAATAGATAATCTCTATGCTCTTCAAAATCTAAAATGCTATGATTCTTAGTAATAACTTGTATTTATTCTACCAATATATCAGAAACTGAATTAAGGTTTATCAAATGGTACTAGAATCTCTTCTATGACTTTCACATATAATGTGTGTGTGTGTGTATTTATAAACTGATAGAGACAATAGAAAAAAATCTTGCAATCTTCCCTATCTTTGAAAAGTTTTTGCACTCTGATGGCATTTTTCTCTATAAAACTAATTTCACAATACACAGTACTAGTTTAAATATAAGAAATAGTTTGTGTTTGTCTTTGGTTTGATTTTTTGAGAAAAAAAATGAAATATATAACTTATTTTTTTATTTTATTATTATTATACTTTAAGTTTTAGGGTACATGTGTACAATGTGCAGGTTAGTTACATATGTATACATGTGCCATGCTGGTGTGCTGCACCCATTAACTTGTCATTTAGCATTAGGTATATCTCCTAATGCTATCCCTCCCCCCTCCCCCCACCCCACAACAGTCCCCAGAGTGTGGTGTTCCCCTTCCTGTGTCCATGTGTTCTCAATGTTCAATTCCCATCTATGAGTGAGAACATGCGGTGTTTGGTTTTTTGTCCTTGCGATAGTTTACTGAGAATGATGATTTCCAATTTCATCCATGTCCCTACAAAGGACATGAACTCATCATTTTTTATGGCTGCATAGTATTCCATGGTGTATATGTTGTATATGTGCCACATATATAACTTATTTTGAATACACTGAGACTATCTACTGTGAACTGATTTAATACAAGTTAGAACAGACACAATTCTGAATTTTCTGTTTCCCAGGAGAAGGAGCACTTGAGCAATGCCAGGCACTGTTAGGCATTAGCCTCACAGGACATAACATACAGGAAGGGTGTACAGAGCTCAACTTCCCACAGCACTTCATATTGCCTTGACACAGTTCCTTTCCCTCACACAATCTCTGCTCTCCCATTCCAAGGAAGCATTTATCTTCAACATTGAAAATAACTATTATATTCCTGTTTCTTATAAATCCTTGGGAAAATCCCTCTTAGGAGTTAGTGCCAGAGGCCGGGCGTGGTGGCTCACACCTGTAATCCCAACACTTTGGGTGGCCAAGGAGGGCAGATCACGAGGTCAGGAGATTGAGACCATCCTGGCTAACACGGTGAAACCCTGTCTCTACTAAAAATATAAAAAATTAGCCGGGCGTGGTGGTGGGCACTTGTAGTCCCAGCTACTCGGGAGGCTGAGGCAGGAGAATGGTGTGAACCCAGGAGGCGGAGCTTGCAGTGAGCCGAGATCACACCACTGCACTCCAACCTGGGCAATAGAGCAAGACTCCGTCTCAAAAAAAAAAAAAAAAAAAAGTTAGTGCCAGAAATCGGTGATATTGTGGGGCTTGGAGGGTTATTTTTATTTAGGTTGGGTTTTGTTTTGTTTTTTAATGAAACTTTCCTTTATGTTCCTGTTGCTAGGAAGCACAGTTCTAATTTGTGGTCAATTATAGTATCTTATCCTAGGTCTTTAAAAGTTATCTTTTTTCATTCTAACTGATATCTATTGTTTTTTATCTCTATTTCAAGTTGGAGTGTTTTTTGTTATAAAACAGTTTAGCAGTTCCTTATAAAAATAGAAACAGACTTAGCATATGACCCAACAGTTTCACTCTTGGGCATTTATCCCAGAGAAATGAAAATTTTGTTCACTCATAAATCTGATATGAATGTTCATAGCAGCTTTATTTATAGTAACTAAGAACAAGAAACAGCCCAAATATGTTATTTATATAATAAATATTTTATGTTATCAGCTGAATGTCTTTAGGAGTAAGTTATATTTTGATTGTTTCTTCTGACATGAAGTCAGTACAATAAACCAGCATGTCATCAGCCACATTTGTAAGATTACTTCTTTAATGCATCAAATTACAGTAAAAGTGACCTGGTTATGACACATTCCTTTAAATGAAAAGATGCCGGGAAATGTGTTCACCAGTTTTTACTAAAAATTTATTAACACCAAAACAAGTTTGGAATTTTTAAAGCTTATAGTTACAGTCTGATAGCTGATAGTGATACAGGAGATAGAGATTATTTAGGCAGATAGTGAGGGCAAAAGAGTCCTTGGAAGACCCCTCTCTGTAGCAGAGAACTATTCTTTCACCTGTTAAATTTCTGATCTTAACCTCACTCTTTGTGTGTCTGCATCCTTGATCTCTGTGGCCGTCAGACAGCAAACCTCAGGTGTCACCCCAGACAACGAGGCTGCTTCAGTGGGAGGGTGTTTTGGGCTCACAAGTAGATAAAAAGGAGAAATGAAAATGAGGCACAACCCAATTTAGGAGACATCACACCAAAGTCATCTTGTGTCCTGCTGAATTGGGTAAAGGGAGATATTGCTAATACAATAGCATTTATCTTTTATTTATTGTTAAAATACTGGTAATTTATAGCATATTTCCCCTGCCACACATGGGTCTGGGAAAAAGTCAAGGCTTCTTAATGATCAATACCCTCAAAATGGTGTACAGATAAAGAATTATGATTATGCCAACAATGAACCTGTCCAAAGGCATAGGGATTTTGATGAATACCAGTGTAGTGATAGCATAGCAGAAAAGAGACACTTGAGAGACTGGGATTTTGCTAGCAAGGGACTAGGATCAAGATGTTCATTTTTTTTTTTTTTTTTGCTAATCATCAGTGTTACAATGTCTCCCAAGAGGAGATGGAGATCATTAACTGGGTGCCTAGAACAAAACCAAGACCATTTAATGATCACCAGCCTCACAGTGACCTCCATGAACCAGACCCTGGAGATGATTTTGATTTTGTTAGCAAAGCTTGTAGACAAAAGATGCATACTGTTCATAACCAGGCCTATAGTAACTTTCAGGAACACTTCCAATGAAAGATTTTGGTTTTGTTAACAGAGGCTGGAGATAAAAACAACTCTTCCATATAGCTGTGAGTACTCAACCTCATGGGGATTTTCAGAACCAGTTACCTGGACAAGGTTTTCATTACTTCAGTTGAAGTGGTTTGTAAAGGTAAAGACCTTTCCACCAACACTATTCTTATGATGAAATGAATTTGGAAGATTTAGAATGTACTGATGAAGTATCAGATCATACACTGGGACCTTTATATGATCATTCCAACAGTGATTTTTCAGAGAAAATGCCCTTGAAAAAATGTGTTAATAGAGGTTGTGGACAAAGATTGCCACTTTCTCAAAAATTTCAAAAACAAATGGAGTTAAGAAATTTTGTTTTCAACAATGGAACTGGACCAAGGCAAATATTTTACTATTACCACCCACCTAGTGAGCCACAAGAATAAATGCCATCAGAAGACTTGGACTTTGACCAAGAAACATTCTTTTTTTTTTTTTTTTTTTTTTTGAGACAGAGTCTCGTTCTTTTGCCCAGGCCAGACTGCAGTGGCGCTATCTCGGCTCACTGCAAACTCCACTTCCCGGGTTCACGCCATTCTCCTGCCTCAGCCTCCTGAGTAGCTGGGACTACAGGCACCCGCCACCACGCCCGGCTAATTTTTTGTATTTTTAGTAGAGACTGGGTTTCACCATGTTAGCCAGGATGGTCTCGGATCTCCTGATCTCGTGATCCGCCCACCTCGGCCTCCCAAAGTGCTGGGATTACAGGCGTGAGCCACCACGCCCAGCCCCAAGAAACATTCTTACAAAGACCAAGATCTTTTCAGGACCACCCACTTCCTGTTAACATAAATCCTGATTGGTATTTAAACAAGTCAGTCATTTTGTTCTCTACACTAAGGAATGGTATTTTATTTCAATGAAACACTCAAACTTCTTTCAAATTAGGGCATTTGTATAAACATTCAAAAGTGGTATAAAATTATCACTCAATATTTGTTGCGCTATAGATTCAATTTACAACCGAGGTTATTTCTGATTGCTATGAATTGAAAATACCCCATTAAGTTATTTCTTAGGATTGAAGTAAATATAACTTACATTTAAATAGTTTAATTCTTGACCATAAAGAATATCAGAAACAGGCCAGGTGCAGTGGCTCACATCTGTAATCCCAGCACTTTGGAAGGCCAAGGCGGGTGGATCACCTGAGGTCAGAAGTTTGAGACCAGCCTGGCCAACAATGCAAAACTCTGTCTCTACTAAAAATACAAAAGTTAGCTGGGCGTGGTGGCAGGCGCCCGTAATCCCAGCTACTTGGGAGGCTGAGGCAGGAGAGTCACTTGAACCCGGGAGGCAGAAGTTGCAGTGAGCCAAGATTGCGCCACTGCACTCCGGCCTGGGTAACAGAGTGAGAGACTCCATCTCAAAAAAAAAAAAAAAAAAAAAAAATCAGAAACATAAATGTAAAGGCCATGATTTTTAGACAAGGGTCTTAAAAATATTCCTTATAGATGTGCTACAAAAAATATTTTTGACATACACAACCCAGTAGTCCTTTCTTCTATCATTCAGTAGTTTTTAAATCTGTATCACTGAGGTGAGAGCATTAGCAGATCACTGCCCTCAGAAATTGAAGTGCAAGGCAAGGAGAAAAGTAAAGCATGGCACCCTAAAGGGAAAGAACAAGAGAAGGAAGGATATAAAAAGGTATAGAAATCAAAAGAAAAGTCAGGAAAAGAGAAGTGCTGGAATAGAAAAACTGGAATAGAAAATAAGGCCACAGAAGAGAGAAAAGGTTGAAGGGACACAAAGAGGTGTATAGAGAAAGTCATTATGTGCCTTTCCCCGATTTACAATATATTTTCTCCAGTTATCTATGACATTATTCTGTATATACCTGGTTAGATGTTAACTCCTGCCTGAACCTAGTGTGGGTTATTTTGGTATTTCTTTAGAGACTACTCAGTTTTTCTCTCATAACTTTTCTACTAATATCTCATCTATCTTCCTCACCTTCTTCACTTGACAGGAATCTTGGTACCAATAATTGCAGAGGTAGAAGTCAGAGGTAAATATTGATTTAGCTATGGGATAATCTTTCTCAACCCTATCCCTAATCACTCCCATTGATATGTAAACATGTTAGAAAATAAGTGTTTCATGAATTCACACATATTCAGGGTTTAGATACAACCTCTACAGAGGTTGGCCAGGACCTCTTGAAATGACTGTCACTTCTCCTTCATGGCTTGGGGTTGCAAAACTGATCAGTTTATCTGTACCTAGGTTTCCAGTAGCTAGCAGTTGGTACCAGTTAAACCAGAAATTGTTTCATTTCCCTTATGATAATATAGCTCTATTCCATAATTATAATTCTACACCCTAACTCCAACCCACTGTCTTCCATTGTACAAGATAAAAGACAATGCTGGTCAATAAAAATTCCTTGCTTCTCTTAGGAAAACCTCTCTATTACTGATGGTGGGTTGGGTTAGGAATTTTATAGTATTCCAAAGAGAGCATATAAAAAGGCCTTTTCTCAAAAGCCTTCCTTTTTCTTCCCTCTTGTCACTCAGTACCAGATATGGGGTCGGGGTTACAAGTACACTATATGAAAGAATGAGTTTCAATATAAATGGATATTCCATGTTGAACTAAGCTACTCTATTAAAATCAGATTCAAGTTTTTGTTTCAAATTACCAAGTTTTTCATACTTCCCTAATTTCTTCATCTACTACAGACAGGATTAAAATGACTCAAAGGTATTCCAATCAAGTGGAGAAACCTAAAGGAAAAATTTAGTTATCCTAAAAAGCCTTGGCCTAAGAAAAAATAAGGCAGATGACAGCCAGACAGGATTCCTCCTACCCTCTTCCTTTTAACTGACCCACTACTGACAGATCCATACAATACAGCATGTTATAAATTTGGGTTAAGAAGGGATTGCAGTTGGAAAAAAATAGAGTTCTCTATAAACACTATGAAACAGTTACATTTAAAACATACTAGAATTGTCCCACAAATGTATATTTCAGAAGAAGTTTATTAAGAGGTTTTAGGCTTTAAGCATATGTGAAAAGCAAAAATTACATTTTAAAGTATATAATTTGCATTTTCCACCTTCTCAATGCCAATGAAATATTCTAGGAGACTCTATAAGATAACCAATTGATTTTCTACTACTCCCAAATTTTAACTTTGTAATTTAAAGAGGAATAGGCAAATAGAGCTGCTGTGGTTCTGGTTCTCCCTGCAGGATGAAGGGGGCCTGCAAAATGTCTCCTACTTCCATTCTAGTCATTCAGCAAGGTGCCTTCCTCTGGATGCACTGTCTGTATACTTTTGCCATGTTGCATCACATAATGATTCTGCCCACCTTCACCATTTGACTGTCAGTAAAAGAATGTATGTGCTCATTTCTTCTTTTATTATAGCGCAGTGCTCTTCATGAAGTCTGAATCTTGTTTCATTTGTGATTGTAATTAGCACTTGCTTCTTCAAGACTGGCTAAATGATGATAATCAGTGAAGTTCTGTGATGGGCACATGGATGTGTATTATATTTTTCTACTTTGGTTAATATTTGAATATTCCAATAAGTTTTAAAATAACTTGTTTGTTTCTGTTATTAGAATGGCCTGTCCAGAAGACAGCCAAATACATCCTTCAAACAGACTTCACTGCAGGAGACAGAGTGGATTCATCCTGTATTCTCCATGTAGACTTCCATCTTCATGAGTACTCCAAGAAGATGGTTCAGTTGACTATTGCAAAGGTAAAAATCCAAGAGATACAGATACAGAATAGGACAGAGAGACATATTTTTAAGCTATTGATTACAATTATGGTATGCCTATAGATTGCAGAACCGAGGAGAAAGGGAACATTATGATTTACCATCAAGAAAAACTTAGAATTGGTGCTGAGTAGTTCATTCTAAGAATTACCATTTATCTGTATTTGCCCCCATTTTCATTGTTACTAGGCCAAAAGTCATTTCATAATTAATAAGTTGGATGTCAAAATCAACTTGTGTTATTATAAAATTAGCAATCTACATTATGTGTTTCTTTACATTTTTATAGGAGTATTTATAAATATACCTAAGAAAACTGACAATGTGGAGTACAAATGTTGCATTTTCAAAACTGGGAATCTGTTTATTGAGGCTCTATTTTTAGTTATGTATGATAATAGACTGCATTTCAGGTTTCAAACCTTGTAAAAATAATTTCCTTATGATATGTTTACTCATTTTGCAAATAATTATTGTGTCATATAGCAAGAGATTGTACTTCCATTCAGCTGGTTAAAGTACAAAATCATTGATATGGTTTGGCTGTGTCCCCACCCAAATCTCAACTTGAATTGTACCTTCCAGAATTCCCACAGGACCCAGGGGGAGGTAATTGAATCAAGGGGGCTGGTCTTTCCCATGCTATTCTTGTGATAGTGAATAAGTCTCACGAGATCTGATGGTTTTATCAGGGGTTTCTGCTTTTGCTGCTTCTTCATTTTTCTCTTGCTGCTGCCGTGTAAGAAATGCCTTTCACCTCCTGCCATGATTCTGAGGCCTCCCCAGCCAGGTGGAACTATAAGTCCAATTAAACCTCTTTTTGTTCCCAGTCTCAGGTATGTCTTTATCAGCAGCATGAAAATGGACTAATAGTACCAGTAGAGTGGGGCATTGCTGAAAAGATACCCGAAAATGTGGAAGCAACTTTGGAACTGGGTGTTGAAATAATCTGGAGGGCTCAGAAGAAGATAGGAAAATGTAGGAAAGTTTGGAACCTCCTAGAGACTGTGAATGGCATTGACAAAAATACTGATAGTGATATGAACAATAAGGTCCAGGCTGAGGTGGTCTCAGATGGAGATGAAGACCTTGTTGGGAACTGAAGTAAAGGTGACCCTTGTTATGTTTTAGCAAGGAGACTGGCAGCATTTCACCCTTGCCCTAGAGATTTGTGGAACTTAGAGCTTGAGAGAGATGACTTAGGGTATCTGGTGGAATAAATTTCTAAGCAGCAAAGCATTCAAAAGGTGACTTGGGTGCTGTTAAAAACATTCTGTTTTAAAAGGGAAACAAGAGCATAAATGTGGAAAATCTGCAGCCTGATGATGCAGTAGAAAAGAAAAACCCATTTTTTTTAAGGAGAAATTCAAGCTGGCTGCAGAAATTTGCATAAGCAGCAAGGAGCCTAATGTTAATCCCCAAGACCATGGGGAAAATGTCTCCAGGTCATGTCAGAGACCTTCATGGCAGCCCCTCCCATCACAGGCCCAGAGGCCCAGGAGGAAAAAGTGGTTTTGTGGGCTGGGCCCAGGGTCTCTGTGCTGTGTGCAGCCTAGGGACTTGGTGCCCTGTGTCCCAGCTGCTCCAGCCATGGCTGAAAGGAGCCAACATAGAGCTTGGGCTGTGGCTTCAGAGGGTAGAGGCCCCAAGCATTGGCAGCTTCCATGTGATGTTGAGCCTGTGGGTGCAGAGATGTCAAGAATTGAGATTTGGGAACCTCTGCCTAGATTTCAGAATATATATGGAAACACCTGGATGTCCAGGCAAAAGTTTGCTGCAGGGGCAGAGCCCTCATGGGGAACCTCTCCTAGGGCAGTGTGGAAGGGAAATGTGGGGCAGAGCCCCCACACAGAGTCCCTGTTGGGGCACTGCCTAGTGGAGCTGTGAGAAGAAGGCCACAGTCCCAGAACGGTAGACCCCAGAATGGTAGACCCCAGAATGGTAGATCAACCACCAACTTGCATCTTGTGCCTGGAAAAGCTACAGACACTCAACATCAGCCTGAGAAAGCAGCCAGGAGGGAGGCTGTACTCTGCAAAGCCACAGGGGCGGAGCTGCACAAGACCATGGGAACCTATCTCTTGCATCAGCATGACCTGAATGTGAGACATGGAGTCAAAGGAGATCATTATGGAGCTTTAAAATTTGACTGCCCCACTGGATTTCAGACTTGCATGGACCCTGTAACCCCTTTGTTTTGGCCAATTTCTCTCATTTGGAACAGCTGTATTTACCCAATACCTGTACCCCCCATTGTATCTAGGAGGTAACTAGCTTGCTTTTACAGGCTTGTAAGTGGAAGGGACTTGCCTTGTCTCAGATGAGACTTTGGACTGTGGACTTTTGGGTTAATGCTGAAATGAGTTAAGACTTTGGGGAACTGTTGGGAAGGAATGATTGGTTTTGAAATGTGAGGATTATGAAATTTGGAGGAGCCCAGGGAGGAATGATATGGTTTGGCTGTGTCCCCACCCAAATCTCAACTTGAATTGTATCTCCCAGAATTCCCACATGTTGTGGGAGGGACGCAGTGGGAGGTAATTGAATCATGGAGGCCAGTCTTTTCTGTGCTATTCTCGTGATAATAAGTCCCACAAGATCTGGTGGGTTTATGAAGAGTTTCTGCTTTTGCTTCTTCCTCATTTTGCTCTTGATGCCACCACGTAAGAAGTACCTTTTGCCTCCCACCTGATTTTGAGGCCTCCCCAGCCATGTGGAACTGTAAGTCCAATTAAACCCTTTTTGTTTCCAGTCTCAGATATGTCTTTATCAGCAGCATGGAAACGAACTAATACAATCATAGTTTTTAAAAACCAATCTAAATGTAACTATTGAACATGATTAGCTGTTTCATCCCTAGTAGAGTGACAGAAGGAAACATCCATAGACAGGAGTAATAAGAAACCAGCTAAACTTCTAAACCATTTTTAAAGGATGCGTGTGAGCTGGCATAACCTACCTACTCTTTCCTATGGGCCTCTACTGAGAGCATGGAGGTAATACATCTAATACACTGAAGACCAGGGCAAGAGAGCTGGAAGAAATCCCTCTTAAGCACTCCAGGCCTTCACTGAGTATGAGGTGCTGGTCTCCAAAGGCAGAGGGCAAGGCAAGGCAGAGAGGGATCTCCTGGGGCACAGACAACTGACAAAAGAAACACTTGGATTGTTGTATAAGAGGAGTGAGCTTTGTAAATACCACGTTAGCTGGCCTGCTGTGGAACAGAATGCCTGTGAATGACAGTAGTCAGGTAGTGGATGAACACTGATCTGAGAGCCTGTAAAAGAAACTCTTTGGAATGATAATGTCATCTAGACCTTTGATACGCAAAGTGTGATTCCTGGACAGATGTATTGGCTTTACCTGGCAGCTTGTTGGAAATGTAAAACCTCAGGCCTCACCCCAGACCTACTGAATTATTTATATTAATTAAAATTAAATAATTTTTATTTCAACAAAATCCCTGGGTAATTTGTATGTACATTAAATTTTGAGATGCATGATCTTTTAAGGTTCATTCTAATCCTTAAAATTCTGTTTTAATAATGTGTACAATGAAGTGCTGCATGGCAAACTACACAGAAACTAAAGGCATGTTCCAAAAAGGAAAAGTTCCATGTGGCTAGGGGAATAAAAGCTTCATCAGGGAACCAGGAGTTGGGCTGGTTCTTAAAACCTGGAGAAAGAAGATGGTTACATCAAGAGATAAATAGAGTGAAGCAGAACTAGTGGTGCGGACCAGCTCGCCAGCAACAGAAGGGTTTGTAGTCGGCCTGGCAGTGGACAGGGAGGTTGGCTAGAACTATTACCTTAGGTCCGTGATAATATCCCTGAATCCAACTTTTCAGAAAGAAATAGGTAACATATTTTTCACCAGGAAGCTTCACCCAGACACTGAACAGAATGGTCTCAGTGCACTAATGGAGGCTCAGTTAAAGGGTTGTGGTAGCACAAGGAAGAGACATTCTGACTTGGAAATTTGGAGAAGGCTTCACAAATGAAGGGGCATTTGAAATGAGCTTTGAAGGTGCAAGAGTATTCCAAGTTGAGAAGACAACCTGAGTGGTGTTGGGTGAACAGTCATTCTACCTGGCTGTAGTGTAGTATAGTGTAGTGTAGTGTAGGAAACATCAGAGGAGTGGAGTGGGATATGAGCCTGGAGAGAGCTGGCGGCCATGGATCATTGAAAGCCTTGAATGTCTGATGGGGAGGTTGACTTTATTTTGTAGGCAATGGAAAGCCACCAGTGGTTTTAGTTGAGCAGCAATGAAATTAAGCCTGTGCTTTGCAAAGATTAATCTAGCAGCAACAGATTGGAAGCAACACCACCATTCCTGGTATCAGTCCAGGTAAAATATATTACAGCTCTTTACTGGAGCAATAACAGTAATATTAGAAGGAGAAATAAAAAAGAAAAATATTGCACAGGCAGAATGGGGAGGTCCCAGTGATGGAGCTGATCTTGGTTCATTGAGGCAGGGGTGGCATTAATCATGTAAAACACAGGAGGAGGAACTGGGTTAGGAGTAATGGTAGAGTTCAGTTTAGGTAATTGCAAATACACACTATTCCCTGACTAGCTCCCAAGACTTTTTCTTCCCTCTCTTCTTAGAACTTCATTAGAAGAGGTGATGTTATTTCTTAGATGAGAGTATCTTACTTACCATTGACTAATACATGTTCTCTGATGAACTTTGCTATTCAACATACATGCAAAGGGGTTATAAAAACAAGTCAACTCTAGTGCTGATGAGGGTGATCATCATCACTGATCATGGTGTCAGTTGATTATAGTGTCAATTTATAACTTAATTTATGTAAAATAGAGCAATGCAAAAGACATAGCAATCTTCACTTCAAATGAAGAGTCTTGAATGCCACTTTTCTAAAGAGAAGGCTCATGGAGGCACCTCCTCACTATTGAAAAATCCATTATACCTGTGATAAAACTGATTGTGTTCAGTTGTATTAGATTTGTATGCAAATAAAAAGTTGGGTAATTAGCTATACATTGTCCTAAACGTATAAAATAAGAAAAATACATAGATGTATGGTTTCCTAGGACATCTACCAGTTTAGAATGCGAGGCTAATGTGGGAGCTGCCACAGCATCCTGATTAAGGCTATGGAAAGAAGTTGCAGACTGATGATGTCTTAGAAGTAATGACATTTTTTAAAGATAATATTTCTTTGGTGAGATAAACAGATTATATTTTACAGTAAACACATTTTATATTTCAGTTAATAAGACATTGTATATTAAATAATCGCATTTAATGCTTTACTTTTTTCCTGTGTTAAAATTAATCACTCATGGCCTTGGCCATATGACTTTGCCATTCCTCCCACTGTTTATCTGACTTGTTTATATTTTATTGAGCTTGCTCATATGACTTACAATAGCCTGTGACAGAAGTGACAGGAGACCCCATCCTGACCAAGACCTTAAGAGGCATCCTAGTTTCCTCTCACTTTCACGAGCCTCTGCGGGGTTCATCATGAGAACATATCCCTAGAAACCACTGGACAAGGAGAACAAGAGGTATATGGAATAGGTCTGATCCACCCTTACCACCTGAAGTAGAGCTGCCCAGCTGGCTTGCAGACTCACAAACATGAAAATCAATGTTTACTGCAGCAATTCATGAAACTTTGAGGCTGTTATAAAAAGTAAAGGACCTAATACAAATGGAAAGAAACATGGTTAGTAAGCAAAGCTAGTTATGAGCAGCTGTCATGTTCTAACAGTTGGAATTTGAATCAGAGCAACTATTGGTATTTGAATCAGAGAGGGGCCAGACCAGTTTGGGTGAAACTCAGTTCATCTTTTAAACTGACAATAAAGGGAATATATTTTCATAGTAATTTTATCATTATGTGGCAAACTTTGTTCTGTGAGCTATTAAAATATTCATCTTGGCCAGGTGCAGTGGCTTACGCCTGTAATCTCAACACTTTGGGAGGCCAAGGCAGGAGGATTGCTTGAGGGCAGGAGTTCGAGACCAGCCTGGACAACATAGGAAAACCCTGTCTCTACAGAAAAAAAAATAGCTAGACATGGTGGTGCACACCTGTAGTCCTAGCTACTTAGGTGCACACCTGTAGCCTTGCTTGAGCTTGGGAGGTCGAGGCTGCAGTGAGCCATGATCATGCCACTGCATTCCAGCCTGGGCAACAGAGCAAGACTAGCTCCAAAAAAAAAATCATCTTTATTTTAATATTCAAATTTACATTTTGAGTATGGAATGTAAGCATCAAGAATTAATCTTTAAATCCAGATGAAACTTTCCCAAGGTCTCTTGTCATGCATCTTGGACTGAATAACAGGCATCCCTGCCTTCACATCTTCATGGGAAGGCAACAAAACCTGAGGAATACAACCTAGGATCTCAAAAGCTTTTTTAGGAATAATGTCATATATAATAAATAATAGCAAGAATGTTACAGCATCTATAGCTCTTTAAACTACCTCCCAAGGGAAAGACAATGAGGGCTTAGTTCCTGTGTCTTTTAAACTTTAACTTTACGTGTATTTTTTTGGACATGTGCTGTCCAGTATGGTAGCTACAAGCCACATGTGAGGTGAACACACAGCTAGTCCTAATTAAGATGTGCTGTAAATGTAATAGACACAAAATATTTTGAAAATTTAGTATGAGAAAAATATTAACAATTTTTATATTGATTCCTTGATAGTATTTTGGATTTAGTTGCTTTCTGAAAACTCTCCTGTGTTACCCAGTTTGAGTGTACCATACCATCCATCTCTTGCAGGGACCTTGACTGATACAACATTAAAATGAAGTGTAATTTTAAAAAATTTTATTTACATATTTCTTATTAAGAATTGGATGAATTGAAACTTCTTTATTTTCTTTCTCTTTCTTGTCACACAGAAAGCCTGATTAAGTAGCATTATTCTTTTGTCTACAGAAGTAACCACTTCTGGCCAGGCATGGTGGCTCACTCCTGTAATCCCAGCACTTTGGGAGCCCGAGGCAATAGGATCACCTGAGATTGGGAGTTGGAGACCAGCCTGGCCAACATGGTGAAACCCTGTCTTTACTAAAAATACAAAAATTAGCCGGGTGTGGTGGTGGGCACCTGCAATCCCAGCTACTCGGGAGGCTGAGGCAGGAGAATTGCTTGAACCCAGGAGGCGGAGGTTGCAGTGAGCCGAGATAGCACCACTGCACTCCAGCCTGGGCAATGGAGTGAGACTCTCTCTCAAAAAAAAAAAAAAAAAAAAAAAAAAGTAATGACTTCTGCTGATCTTTTTTCTCCCCTATAGGTTCATAGAAAAAAAACTCCCACCTTATAAAGGAATCTTTAAAAGGTTCCTCATAAAGGAACAGGGTTAGCAGAACCAAGTTTTGAGTCCTGGGTGAAAATCCAGGGGAGAATGGTAATCAGTGATAACCAATGGCCAATCCAATATTAAAATTAGTTAACAGTGACCAATCTTATTTCACCTACCCCACCCAGAGTGGCCCAAAGCAGATTGCTGGATCTGCCTCTAAACCAACCTTCCTGCCAAAATAATTGGGGTTAGGTTGTGTCTGCTGATTGTCTCCATAATTTGAGATTTTAACAAGTTGAGTTTGGCTCCCAAATACCTTAAAGGATTTTTTTTTTGGCATCTCTGGGGAGGGGGAGATTGGACGTAGGCAACCAAACAGGAATGGAATAAGAAAAGATTTGTGTTCTCTGAAGGAGACTTGTGAAGTCTAATTCCAACTTGCTGAGGGAAAGTGTTTAGAAAAGAAAAAGCAATAGGCTTCAACCAGAAGACATGAGTTGGAGTATCTGCTCTGCCATGTAGTAGTTTGTGTGATCCTCATTTGTAAAATGGAAATACTATTTACACCCTTATGGGTTGTTGTGAGGGTCAGAATAGATTGTGTGCATGACAGTGCTTTGTATACGCAGACAGAAGGAAAAAAGCGGCTGTTATTGGCTCAACTTATTTGACCTTTATTTTCATCATCATCGGCCACTATTTGATGTCAATCTACTATGCTGTGAGCAAACATTAAAATTAGGAAGCCAGGGGTATGGGAACCACTGATTAGCATCATATGCCAGATGTGCTTCCATCCAAAGCACATGAACAGAATGATATTAAATTACAAGCCTATCAGGAACAGACCAGCTTTCTGCCTCCCTTTCTATGAATACCAAGTCCCATGAACCTTGTATTCATGTGGAGTTTTAAGTGCATGCTTGGAAGTTATGAGGAGACAGCCTGGTATGTTCGGGAAAGAAAATAAAGGTTAGGTACATGGTAGGCTTTGGCTCAGCCATTTGGGCAAATGACTTAACCTCTCTGAACCTCAGTTTCTGTTTCTATGAAGTGGGAATTGTAATACCTACCTTCTTCAGATTGTTGTGAGGATTAAATGAGAAGATGAATGTAATACCCTTGAGCACACAGCGTGGTACACCACAAATGCTCAACCAACAGCAGCGATGACAGTATAGGCAACTACCACAAGAAAGAATTTGAACATGTCCCAATTCGAATTTTGATTCCTAATCAAGATCTAGTGAATTTAACCTAAGTAGCAGAAAAGAAGATTAAGAGTTCCTTTCCACAGCTTTATTAAGTTTTTATATTCACCTGGATGTTGTCAAAAGTGACTTGATCATTCAAGAGATAGGGGACATTTGGCTTCCGGTTTGTGTGAGAGCTTTTCTTTCCCCATCAGCTCAACAGTCAGTCCCCAGATCTAGAGATGGAGAGCTTGGGACAAGGTCAGAATGAAACATCACCAGTCAATCCTGCTCAACAGGTAACTCTTGCAGCAATCCTTAAGGAAAGGGGTGCAGGGTCTCTTCATGTTTCCATGGTAAGGTCTATAGCTGCTGCTTCATGGAATAAGCAAACAAAGCCCATGTTGTGTGACGGGTGGCAACACTTTCAGACTTGGATCCTGCACATTCTGATGTGTAAATTCCACGATAGGGCAAAAGCATGCCACTCCACACTAATGCTGCCCTCTCACTAAATTAAACCTTGGAAAAATAAGATGTGGCTTGGCTTTAAAACTCAGTGAACTATCTTTATGGTACAGTTGGTTTCCATAGCTGTAAACACAAAAGATCTATGGTTTCTGCCTACCCAGGATAGTCTTGTCTCTAGACAATGTATTGATGATGCAAATGTTCTGGAACTAAATAGTGGTGATGGTGGCACAACACTGTGAATGTACTAAATGTCACTGATTTGTACGTATTTAATATGAATTAAATGTTAAAATGGTGAATTATATTTATGTATATTTTACCATAATAAAAATATGCATTGGAAGATGCATTTTTTGTGACCCTGAGTTGTAACTGTATTTTTATTTGTGACATGTATATACCACCTACCTCATAGTAAGCCCTGATGTTTGAATGCATATATTTACATCTGCTTTTTGCAAATCTCAGGTCTGAGTGTTCCACTCTGTAGCATTTGGGTATCACCTAGGAATATGTGATTTATTGACATACCTGCTTTGGGTGGGATTGAGAACTGTATTGACTGCATGAGCACATATATTTCCTTATAAAACTCTTTGGCTTTAGCACATATTTGCCTACTGTAGAAAATTCTCCTACCCACAGAGCAGGCTGGGAATGGAATGTGTGTCTGCCTTCTCCAAAGGCATCATATGGCTTTCTTAATGGATGGCAAACAGGAGAGAGAAAGGGGTTCTTAAAGAGTACAACTGAACCAGTTCCTGAGATTCTTCTTTCAGCCAGCTCAGCCTCCTATCACAGGACTCAAGACTCTCAGTTCTTCTAGACAAAGTCAATATTGTTCTTTTATAAAGCAAAGATTATGAAAGGTGTCAGGTCTTTAAAACCTATACAAGCACAAAGTACAAAGGAGAAAGGTGTAGCTGGGAAAAACTCATGAAAGAGACAGTATCTGCCGAAGTCCTTGAGGCAAAGGATATTGAATACCTCCAAAAGAAAGGCTTCAGTAAAAGCCAAGGAAGCTTCACACTCGTCAAGACTGGCCCTGGCAGACAGGGAAGGATGGCCTTGAACACTGCGATGGAGGAAAATGCTCCCTGGACGATTTTTTTCCTCACTCCAGCCAGCATATTTCAGCTGCTTTTGCTATACCATATCTTTCCAGAAATATGAAGGCTTGTGAAAGATAAGCAAGCCTATGATGGCCACTGTGAAAAGGACCAGGGAGAATAGAACCATGAGGAAGACATAGGTGGAGTGGGAGAGAGGTGTGGACAATGGTTGCTCAGCTGGGATCATGTTGGTCAGGTTCAGCATGTAGCCCAAAGTCCAGCCGGCGTCGCTGCCCTGGATCTGCAAACAGTGGGGAAAGTCTGTTTGTGGTTGGAGGAGTTAGAAGAGTTATCACCTAGGGCTTAGAATTATTGGATCATGCATTGGAAGAGTTCAAACAATATAAATCACTGGCTGGGCACAGTGGCTCATGCCTGTAATCTCAGCACTTTGGGAGGCCAAGGAGGGAGGATCACTTGAGGCCAGGAGTTTGAGACTAGCCTGGGCAACATAGTGAGACCCTGTCTCTCTAAAAAATAAAATTAGCTGGGCACGGTGGAACATGTCTGTAGTCTCAGCTATTTGGGAGCCTGGGTGGGGAGGATCATTTAATCCCAGGAGTTTGAGGCTTCAGTGAGCTGTGATCATACCACTGCACTCCAGCCTGGGTGACAGCGTGAGACCATGTCTCTTAAAAAAAAAGTATATACACACACATACATCATGACTACCTCGTGTGTCAGTCCTAAATTTGACATAGGTATAATCTTTCAAACAAAATAAACTGCTGGAATTAAAGGAAGTCTGGAATATTATAACAAGGAAAAGATTTAAGTTTGAATTAGCAAGATCAGCACTGACAAGAGTGTAAGGACACTGTTATCCTCAGGCCTGCTACAGCCCTCTGTCTCAATGCTTTGTTTTGCTTGAAATCACCATATTTAATACAGGGGGTAAAATGTTTTCCCCACTAGTGAGCATGGGCTTAAAAAGGTAGAGACACACTGCTCTGGGTATTTTTGGTCAAGCATGAGTCGCTCAGCTGGGTTCTCTATTCCTGGATACCTGCAGGTGGTGCTATGGTAAAGCACAGCATTGAGGTTGCTTCTTCCGGACTCAGGCTAAGCCTGGCTTCTAAACAACGGTCTCATCATTCACAGCCACTCAGTCCCCTTCTTCACACAGAGCTTTCAGATTGGTCAACCTTGAAGTAATAACCAACAAGGATGATGAAACCATGATCATACTTTCCCAGCTTATGGAAGGGGCCTTTCAGAGGGCTGCTGAAGTCAGCACACAGAGTCACTGTAGCTGCTGAAATGCTGTTACTTTAATATATCTCGTTTTGTGTTTTGTTTTGTAAGGAATTAGTCACTGTTATGTGGGAAGGTGCAACTGAAAATGCAAGTAGCTGTCCTTAGCGAGGATGCTCACAGTGGGCCAACAGACCCAGGAGGGCTTGACACAGAATGCCAGGGTTTGAAGCAGAATGGCAGAACAGGACATCAAGCCAAAGCTACACCATGCTGACTCCCCCCTTTTTCAAGCCCCAAACTGCTTCAGTCACTACCACCGAACCCCAACCTCCCCCCAGCCCAACAGGCCCCCAAATTACCTTGCCAATGAAATGGATGTGCTCCCAGGAATCAGCTGTGAAATGATAGCCTTGCAGAAGGAGGGAGAGAATGTAGGTACCAGAAAAGCAGTATTCACTCAGGTACTTCTCCTTTACTCCAGCGTAAGATGTTTTTATCTAGAAGTGAAGTGAGGGGGAGATCATACTCGTATGATAGGCACCTCTCTGTGGCCCTCTTTTTCTCTACTAGCCCTGATGAAGAGAGGGGAAAGCCCCAGCTCCAGTGCACCTGAAGGTTGGCCTCTTCCAGAGGGTTTTGGGGGTGGTGCTGCACTCCTTCAGTGGGAGCAGGGTTTTATAGTTTAGGGTCTCTTAAGGAAGCTTTTCCTGCACAGGCTTCTATGAGATAATAACAGGTCCTCCAGGAAAAAAGTAGTTCCTGTGGTCTAGTAGGTTCTGAAACACTAAATTTCAGTACCTCTGTTCATGCCCTAGACTTTGTTTAATCTGAGTTTTCTATATGCTCTTGACCAGAGCCTTTGGCCCACAGCCATAAAAAGCCTTACCACTCACTTTAGTCCCTGGACTGGCAGCATCAGCATCACTTGGGAGCTGGTTAGTCCTCACCTTAAAACTACCAATTCAGAATCTGCATCCCAATATGATTCCCAGGTGATTCACGTGCACAGTAAAGTTTGAGAAACACAGCTGTGGACACAGTTTAGGCAGCATTTTGCTGAGGACTGCTAGCACTGCCAACATCTCACCTTCTATCTTCTGTCTTAATGTCTTTTTTTGCATCTGAGTCATGCAAAGTGGTTGTTTCCTTGAGTCCTTCCTATGTTTACTCATCCTACTCCCTACTAAAAATATTAAGAGCTGCTTGCCATCCCTTGCCCTTACCTAGCCTAGCTGTTGTGAATATACACCCAGATACCCACAGCCTGCTCTGCAACTCTCCTGCCCTCAATTTGAGGACAACAGGCCAGGACCTCTCTAGTTCAGCCTGGACTTCTGTCTGCTGCCCCATTCCTCAGCCCTTCAGATAGGCATTCCCTCCTGGATACCCTCGGCAGAGAGAGAACATTTGTTATGCATGCATCATGTACCATCTGGAACTATGCCAGATGTTTTATATGTAGTATCTCCTTGATGCCTAAACCACACCCCTCTTTTCCCAGATTTCTCTCCCTTCCGTGGGTCCTAACCCATATGCAAATCCTAACCGCTGGCTGGGGTCTGTTTCTCACTTGGTTCTTGCCTGTCCCCAGTTTCTGGAAGGATAAGTCCATAACTAGACTGCCTTGTCTTGCTCTGATGAAATTCTCAGAATGACCCAGCTTGGAGCTTGTCTTTTCAGCACAGTTCTGGAAATTATCCTTTGATTGATTCCTCTGCATGTGACATCCTCTTGAGACCTTGGTGTGGACATCAGTTGGCATTGCCTGTCCAGGTTCCTACCCCTTCCTTTCAGTCACTGCATTCTGCTTTCCCTTTGTGAAAAGACCTCCTCCCCTATTGAAGTAGTCTTGGGCCTGTCAATTGAAGGATGCCTATGGGACACAAAATCCCAAGAATCTACTTAGGTCCAACTTGAAAGTGCTGAGCCCCTGTAGGTCCTTGAAGGCTGGCCTATCCCTTGTGGGGGGCTGGGAGATGCCATTTTGGCCTAATTTCCCTGAATTCTTTAATACTCCTATTCCCCTCCTCCTTCTGGAAATCTGTACATTGGCTATGCAGTCTGGCCTCCTGAAGGTTATGATAGTAGCCAAAAATATAGAAGCCAAAAAGGCATCCACCTTCTTCATCAATCCAGAATTGATCATGCTCATGCCTGTGGGTGGATCACTATGTGCTCTCCAAATTGGGAGGGGAAGTCTACTCTCCTCTCTCCTCTCTCTCCCACCTTCCCCTCTCTCTTCTCTCCTTTCTATTCCCAGGGCAGTGGAACATGATGAGGTTCTTTTCTCTTCATGGATATCCTCTTTCTGCCCTCCACATAAAGGGGCATTGATGGATCTTCAAGAATGGGATGCCTTTCCCTAGAAAGGCTAAATATTCATGAGGCTGAATGTGAGGATCCAGAGTACACTGAAATATAACTGGTCATCAGTACACATAGAATCTGATCACATTGTTCACTTGGGCTGACCAGATCTTGGATGACCAGATTTTCAGAGTAGAAAATTGGCTGTGTTCTGGCTGCTGAAAGATTCTACTAGCCCTCTAATGAAGCTGCCAGAAGACAACCATGGAGTCTCCCTTCCACTCACTCTCCTGGTCCCTCCACTTCAGAGACCCAATGGCTTCAGGTACCTGACTGAGTGTCAGCAGGTGTGGTTTGCATTTTATTTCCCTTGCCAAAGCAGGGGAAGGCAGCATGATAGGATATGCATAAAGCACAGCAAGCAAATGTCCACCACTGTCAACACATAGTACATGCTTAAACATTGTTAATTATCTCTCTACCAAAGGTGTTTAGGAGGAACATTCCCAAACACAAGCCATACTGGAGTAGCAGTCCATGATGAAGTTAGGAGGGAAAGAAGAAAGAGTCACCTTCTAACAATGTACTTGACAAAACTATGCTTTCTACCTGGGTGGACGATGCAGCTTGGGAAAGTGAACCCTGGGTCATAACATCCACCTCAATGCTGTAGGCTCTGGGTGAAGACAGGGGTCTAACCCTGCAACCCCTTCCCCAAATGCTTCAGGAATTCTCCCAAATGCAGGCCCTTCTTAGCTTACTTCCAGGGCCTCTGAACAACTCCCCACATGACTTACCTGAGCAGAACTACAGGTCTAAATATAAGCATTCCCAGCCTAACATAGTCTTATGAAGTAAAACATGAGATGTGGATAAGAGAGGAAACCTGACAGAACTTTTTTTTTTTTTTTAATTTTTGAGATGGAGTCCTGCTCTGTCACCCAGGCTGGAGTGCAGTGGCACAATCTCAGCTCACTGCAAGCTCCGCCTCCTGGGTTCATGCCATTCTCCTGCTTCAGCCTCCCAAGTAGCTGGGACTACAGGTGCCCACCACCATGCCCGGCTAATTTTTTTTGTATTTTTAGTAGAGACGGGGTTTCACCATGTTAGCCAGGATGAGAACTTTTAATCTAAACCAGAAGTAATTTTTTTTCAAAGAGCAGCCTAAATCTGCTTCCTCAGCAGCCACATGTAGGCCTGGTCTCAAATTGCCTCCACTCTAACATGCTTATCTTCCTCCACAGATCACCGCCAGATGCAAAAAACCACCGCTAAGCATTTTGTAAAATGCTGAGACATATTTGAGCAACTCTTGATGAAGGCCCTGACCACATTTCTTTCATGTTCTAGACAAAATACCTGGAGAGAATGGCAAGCTTCCAGGCTCTTGCTCAGCCTTTCTTCCCCCTTGTCAGTGCAGTCAGGGATAAGCATCTATTTTTAATTAATAGTATTTCTTAAGAATGAAAACACCATTCACTTTTGCAACTGTCAACTTAAGTACAGCTGCTGTTTTGAGCTATGTCTTTTATAATCGGAGTGGATTCCATACCTCTCATCCCTGGATTTTCATCTTGTGGCACTGGATGTTGAATGGCTCAGTGCCTCTGATAAGAAAAAAATTGTGCTTCAAGTTTATGAATAAGTAGGAGATATCTTGGACCTGGGAAATGGAGAGGATTTTACCACAATTGTGTCTGTGTCAGACTCTGCAAATTGCCTGCTTTCTTGCTAACAGAACTCTGATTTGGGGACTGAAGGAGGAGAGTGGGCCACAATGTGCCCAGCTCGAGGCAGTGGCTCATTATAGGTCTAAGCTCTAAGCTGGTCACAAAATTCTGCACCTGGTTTTCCCAGTCAATCCTGGCCATTGAGATATAAGGGGAAGACTGCTGAGTCTGGGATAGCTTTTGCTTTCCTGTAAAAAGGAACAGATGTATCTGGTTCGACCCCTTTTCTGACCTTTCTGAACATGGCTGTGATGCCTGAAGCCACAGCCACCATCTTGTGTCCATGAAGAAACAGGCACAACAGCAGAGCTGAAGAAGCAATGGCTGAGATAGAGCAGAGCTGCTGACCCCATGCCAGCAGCTGCCTACTGCCAGACTTTGTATTAGGTGAGAAAAAAATAAGATCTTATTTAAGCCACTGGATGTCAAGTTATCAAGGAATGCTGATAAATTCATTCCTGAGTCCACCATCTGGTCTTCTCTAACACATTTGCTGGATCTTGGTCAAACCAGCAGGAGTTTCAGAGCAGACTCACATCCTCTGCATCAGCAACGACACAGGGCACTCATGCTGTTAGAGCTGCTGTGCCTAGTCACTTACCTCCTCCCAAGGCTGAGCACAGAACTTTTTCATCATCTCAGTCACCTTTTCCTGAGAGACTTTCTCTGATGTCAAGTTTAAAAACTTCATCACAAAGTAAAAAGCTGAAAATGCCTACAAGAGAAAATCGCAGTTTTAGGCTGTGTTCCACACAGAGGGATGCCAACTTGCTCTCCTAAAGGCCGCATCCCTTGTGCAGGTGCCTGGAAAGTTCTGCTGAGTAAATTAACACACAAAGTGATATTGCAGGCCCAAGAGCTGTTTCCTTCCTGGAAGAGGAGCCACTTTGCTGCTGACACACATTTCTAAGCCACCTGGCAGTTACTTTTCTCCATAATTGTAATAGAAGAGTCAGGGAGAAAGAAAAATGGGGAAAGAGAATAAGAAAAGAGAGAGAAAGGGGTTGCAAAAATCCCATTTAAAAATACTATGTACTACATATGAATGTTTAATAAATATAAACAACTGGAAAATTCTATACAACACTATTGAGTTATCTCTGAGTAGCGAAATTGGTTTTTTCCCCTTGTGCTTATTTTTTGCCTATTTTCTATAATGAATATGTACTGCTTTCCTTTAAAAAATCCATCTTTATTCAACAAATATTTATTACAGGTCTACTATGGGCTAGGTACTATTTTAGACACAACTGAAATTTTTTAAAAATCATTATCATCATCAAACATAAGAACTATAAAAAAAGTTAAAAGTTCAAATCAGTAAAACAAAAAAAAATTCTATTAAAATGACCTCTAAATTCTACTACTTAGTGACAACTGCTATTCAATATAGTATATAGGCTTCTAGCATCTTTCTCATTCTATGATACATATAAAATGTTTATTATACTTCATACCACCCTATAACTGCCTTTTTACTCTTTTAATAGAGCATAATTTAAAGGGGAAAAAATAATTGAGCAGAGCTTGCTAGATGAGGCAATTCAAACCCCAACTCCAGTGCTTTTCCTCTTTCCTACCCAAAAAGGTGCCAGTTTTTAGGGGGAAATCATGTTGGATATTAAAGGAGCACATCATTTGTTCATTCAGCAAACACACTGAGCTCTGTTTGCTAGACACTGTGCTGAGTCATAGTTTACTGAGATTATTTGAGGGGGGCATAAAGTTTTCCCTGTGGCAAACACGGTTAGATTGGGGATTATAATTTGCCTTCTGTAAAATTACTTAACTAGAAGTGAATGTAGAAAGCAAATGTGATTCCCAAAGTGTAATTCGCATAGGCAAAGAAACAGAGTTTTGGTAGGCAAAGAAACAGGAGGTAGCAGAGATCCCATTGGGGGCTCACTGTGACTCAGAGATGAGGAAAAATATCCTCCACCAGGCAATTTCCTGCTGCAAACAGGCCGTATGCCTCAGTTCCAATTGACATAAACCCAGTGCCAGCTTCTTAAAAGTTGCATTTTTCAATATTCTTATACATATATATCTAATAACATAAGTGTGAGCATATTAGTCCTTTTTAATAAATTTTCCTTTTTTTGGCTTGATTTTTTTCTTCCACTTTCAGTCCCAACAGGAGTTCATACTAACAACTTAATATGAAGCCTTCCATTTTTCCCATGCTCCTATAATCATATACAAACACACACATATAAAGGGTTTGTTTTAGAAATGAAATTTTAAACAGATTCTTCATCTTGCTTTTCTTAACAATCCTTTATAGAAATCCCTCCAAGTCAGCTGGGGCCACTCTAATGGCCACATAAGAGTCTACGGTGTAGATGTATCTTAATTTATTCAACAACTCTCTACTGGTAGATATTCTCCTGATTTCCAGCAATTTCCCCTATGAGCAATGGTATAAATACATTTAGCCTCTGAACTG
Organism: Homo sapiens; assembly: GCF_000001405.40. NCBI lineage: Eukaryota > Metazoa > Chordata > Mammalia > Primates > Hominidae > Homo > Homo sapiens. Next base: position 95,858,737 of record NC_000010.11, on the reverse strand, counting down.
GTATGCTCATTCCTCTAGGAAGTCGAGCTCTGCAGAAACTGGAGAGCCTCCATATGCCCTGAACTCAGGAATTCCAGCACTTCCATTATCATTGTATCCCAGGTGCAGAAAAAGATCGTGGTATGGTCCTATTTCTGCCCTCTTAACCCAAGCCACTATCATCTCGTGTGGATACTGCAATGGCCTCTTAATTAGTCTCCACATTAGCTTTCTGGTTCTAGTCCAACCCATCCTACAAACAGCAGTCACAGGAATCTTTTAAAAACAAATCTGATCATATCACTCCCCTGCTTAAAACCTTTGGTGGCTCCTAATTATACTTAGAATAAAAATCAAATCCTACAAGGTCGCTGAAAACCAGGCATGTTCTAGCCCTGCCCCCATGCCCACCATACCCAGCACCCTGGCTTTCAATCCCCGCCAAGCCTTTCCTCCCCTAGAACCTGTACACTTGCTATTCCCTCTGCTGGAATTCCCTGGACTTCCACTTCCCCTCCTTAGAGGGGTCTCTAGGACCCTCTGTTATCTGCTTTCACAGGACTGTCTCTTTCCTCCCAGCAGTTACTTTTTTTTTTTTTTTTGAGATGGAGTCTTGCTCTGTCGCCCAGGCTGGAGTGCAGTGGCGCGATCTCGGCTCACTGCAAGCTCTGCGTCCGGGTTCACGCCATTCTCCTGCCTCAGCCTCCCGAGTAGCTGGGATTACAGGCGCCTGCCACCACGCCCGGCTAATTTGTATTTTTAGTAGAGACGGGGTTTCACCGCATTAGCCAGGATGGTCTCAATCTCCTAACCTCGTGATCCGCCCGCGTCGGCCTCCCAAAGTGCTGGGATTACAGGCGTAAGCCACCGCGACCTGCCCCAGCAGTTCCTTTTGATTTGCAGCAGTCGGATTTGCCTTTGTTTGTGTTTCTGGTCTCATGTCTGCCTGCTTTCTAGAATGCCAACTCTGTGATGGCAGGCGCGGAATTTCCCTTGTTCTTGGTTGAATCTGCCCTCACTAACATGGCACTTGGCATATGTGAGTGCTCCGTAAATAAGTGGCAGAAAACTGCTCTCTCTCTAGTTCCTAAGGCACAACAATCTCTGTTAAATCTGGATAAATTTATATATGCTTGGATTCGCATAGCTAATGCCTGGAAAAGTTCTTCCTGTTTATTACAACTATTCCTCATTTTTCCTCTAGTGAACTGATGGTGGGGTGAGAGGGAGAAGAGACCTTTTAGTCTTTACTTTAAGCTTTTTGTACAGTTTTTTTATAATGAGCATGTAATAAAGCACTAATAAATATTTCCTTAAATTGTTACATTTCAAAAGACTTTCTGAAATTAATCCTAGAGCTTATTCTATTAGCAAAAGTCTCAATGAGGTAAGCATCTAGAAACTCTCTTGCTTTTGCTAAGTAGTGACATTTGCTTTATAAAGTAAGTACAAATTATAAAAAACAGATCAACAAACAACAAATTTCTATGAGGTAGATTTAGCAACATATTGAGCCTTCAGTAGGATACATAGCGATCAAGTCAGCAGGGCCTCCTGGTCCATGCCACCTCCAACCCCCCAAGACACTACATGCCATCGGCTCTTGAAAAATTTCCCATGACCTTCAGAAGCCTCCCTCTGGCATCTCAGAATCTTGCTCTTATTTATTTCTCAAAACATGAAGTTTCCCTATTCATTTCTTTTCCTTCAAAATAGAAATGTCTTTAAAATGCTGGCTTATTAAAAAAAAACACGTTTATTATATAGAATTTAAATAATACAAGTTAAAAATGGAAGTCCCTCCTTAATCTAACCATCCTCTAGAGATGTACACTTTTTAACAATTTACTGTTTAATATCTATAGCAAATAGATATGTAATAGAAAATAGTGAATACATATTTATATAATTATATATGTGTATATGTATATATATAACCTAAATATGATGATACTAGACAAATTTTTTATAATACTGCTTTGTTTTACTTAATACATCATGTGTCCTTGCTGCAAATGCCATGATTTCATTCCTTTTTATGGCTGAGTAGTATTCCATAGTGTGTGTATATACATTTATGTGTGTGTATATATATATATATATATATGCATACATATATATATTTACCACATTTTCTTTGTCCACTTGTTGATTGATGGGCATTTGGACTGGTTCCATATTTTTGCAACTGCGAATTGTGTTGCTGTGAACATGTGTGTGCAAGTGTCTTTTTCATACAATGACTTATTTTCCTCTGGGTAGATATCCAGTAGTGGGATTGCTGGATCAAACAGTAGTTCTACTTTTAGTTCCTTAAGGAGTCTCTATACTGTTTTCCATAGTGGTTGTACTGGTTTACATTCCCACCAGCAGTGCAAAAGTGTTCCCTTTACACCACATCCATGCCAACATCTATTATTTTTTGATTTTTAAATTATGACCATTCTTGCAGGAGAGTAAGGTAGTGTCTCACTGTGGTTTTAATTTGCATTTCCCTGATAATTAGTGATGTTGAGCATTTTTTCATGTTTGTTGGCCATTTGTATATCTTCTTTTAAGAATGGTCTAGCGAAATGAATGAATTGAAGTGAGAAGGGAAGTTTAGAGAAAAAAGAATAAAGAGAAACGGACAAAGCCTCCCAGAAATATGGGATTATGTGAAAAGACCAAATCTACGTCTGATTGGTGTACCTGAAAGTGACGGGGAGAATGGAACCAAGTTGGAAAACACTCTGCGGGATATTATCCAGGAGAACTTCCCCAATCTAGCAAGGCAAGCCAACATTCAAATTAAGGAAATACAGAGAACGCCACAAAGATACTCCTCGAGAAGAGCAACTCCAAGACACATAATTATCAGATTCACCAAAGTTGAAATGAAGGAAAAAATGTTAAGGGCAGCCAGAGAGAAAGGTCGGGTTACCCACAAAGGGAAGCCCATCAGACTAACAGCAGACCTTTTGGCAGAAACTCTATAAGCCAGAAGAGAGTGGTAGCCAATATTCAACATTCTTAAAGAAAAGAATTTTCAACCCAGAATTTCATGTCCAGCCAACCTAAGCTTCATAAGTGAAGGAGAAATAAAATACTTTACAGACAAGCAAACACTGAGAGATTCTGTCACCACCAGGCCTGCCCTAAAAGAGCTCCTGAAGGAAGCACTAAACATGGAAAGGAACAACTGGTACCAGCCACTGCAAAAACATGCCAAATTGTAAAGACCATCAAGGCTAGGAAGAAACTGCATCAACTAACGAGCAAAATAACCAGCTAACATCATAATGACAGGATCAAATTCACACATAACAATATTAACCTTAAATGTAAATGGGCTAAATGCTCCAATTAAAAGACACAGACTGGCAAATTGGATAAAGAGTCAAGACCCATCAGTGTGCTGTATTCAGGAAACCCATCTCGTGTGCAGAGACACACATAGGCTTAAATAAAGGGATGGAGGAAGATCTATCAAGCAAATAGAAAACAAAAAAAGGCAGGGGTTGCAATCCTAGTCTCAGATAAAACAGACTTTAAACCAACAAAGATCAAAAGAGACAAAGAAGGCCATTACATAATGGTAAAGGGATCAATTCAACAAGAAGAGCTAACTATCCTAAATATATATGCACCCAATACAGGAGCACCCAAATTCATAAAGCAAGTCCTTAGTGACCCACAAAGAGACTTAGACTCCCACACAATAATAATGGGAGACTTTAACACCCCACTGTCAACATTAGACAGATCAATGAGACAGAAAGTTAACAAGGATATCCAGGAATTGAACTCAGCTCTGCACCAAGTGGACCTAATAGATAGACATCTACAGAACTCTCCACCCCTAATCAACAGAATATACATTCTTTTCAGCGCCACACCACACTTATTCCAAAATTGACCACATAGTTGGAAGTAAAGCACTCCTCAGCAAATGTAAAAGAACAGAAATTATAACAAACTGTCTCTCAGACCACAGTGCAATCAAACTAGAACTCAGGATTAAGAAACTCACACAAAACTGCTCAACTACATGGAAACTGAACAACCTGCTCCTGAATGACTACTGGGTACGTAACGAAATGAAGGCAGAAATAAAGATGTTCTTTGAAACCAACGAGAACAAAGACACAACATACCAGAATCTCTGGGACACATTCAAAGCAGTATGTAGAGGGAAATTTATGGCACTAAATGCCCACAAGAGAAAGCAGGAAAGATCTAAAATTGACAACCTAACATCACAATTAAAAGAACTAGAGAAGCAAGAGCAAACATATTCAAAAGCTAGCAGAAGGCAAGAAATAACTAAGATCACAGCAGAACTGAAGGAAATAGAGACACAAAAAGCCCTTCAACAAATCAGTGAATCCAGGAGCTGGTTTTTTGAAAAGATCAACAAAATTGATAGACTGCTAGCAAGACTAATAAAGAAGAAAACAGGGAAGAATCAAACAGATGCAATAAAAAATGGTAAAGGGGATATCACCACCGATCCCACAGAAATACAAACTACCATCAGAGAATACTATAAACACCTCTATGCAAATAAACTAGAAAATCTAGAAGAAATAGATAAATTCCTCGACACACACACCCTCCCAAGACTAAACGAGGAAGAAGTTGAATCTCTGAATAGACCAATAACAGGCTCTGAAATTGAGGCAATAATTAATAGCTTACCAACCAAAAAAAGTCCAGGACCAGATGGATTCACAGCCGAATTCTACCAGAGATACAAGGAGAAGCTGGTACCATTCCTTCTGAAACTATTCCAATCAATAGAAAAAGAGGGAATCTGCCCTAACTCATTTTATGAGGCCAGCATCATCCTGATACCAAAGCTTGGCAGAGACACAACAAAAAAAGAGAATTTTAGACCAATATCCTTGATGAACATTGATGCAAAAATCCTCAATAAAATACTGGCAAACCGAATCCAGCAGCACATCAAAAAGCTTATCCACCATGATGAAGTGGGCTTCATCCCTGGGATGGAAGGCTGGATCAACATACGAAAATCAATAAACGTAATCCAGCATATAAACAGAACCAAAGACAAAAGCCACATGATTATCTCAATAGATGCAGAAAAGGCCTTTGACAAAATTCAACAACTCTTCATGCTAAAAACTCTCAATAAATTAGGTAATGATGGGACATATCTCAAAATAATAAGAGCTATCTATGACAAACCCACAGCCAATATCATACTGAATGGGCAAAAACTGGAAGCATTCCCTTTGAAAACTGGCACAAGACAGGGCTACCCTCTCTCACCACTCCTATTCAACATAGTGTTGGAAGTTCTGGCCAGGGCAATCAGGCAGGAGAAGGAAATAAAGGGCATTCAATTAGGAAAAGAGGAAGTCAAATTGTCCCTGTTTGCAGATGACATGATTGTATGTCTAGAAAACCCCATCATCTCAGCCCAAAATCTCCTTAAGCTGATAAACAACTTCAGCAAAGTCTCAGGATACAAAATCAATGTGCAAAAACCACAAGCGTTCTTATACACCAATAACAGACAAACAGAGAGCCAAATTATGAGTGAACTCCCATTCACAATTGCTTCAAAGAGAATAAAATACCTGGGAGTCCAACTTACAAGGGATGTGAAGGACCTCTTCAAGGAGAACTACAAACCACTGCTCAATGAAATAAAAGAGGATACAAACAAATGGAAGAACATTTCATGCTCATGGGTAGGAAGAATCAATGTCATGAAAATGGCCATACTGCCCAAGGTAATTTATAGATTCAATGCCATCCCCATCAAGCTACCAATAACTTTCTTCACAGAATTGGAAAAAAATACTTTAAAGTTCATATGGAACCAAAAAAGAGCCTGCATTGCCAAGTCAATCCTAAGCCAAAAGAACAAAGCTGAAGGCATCACGCTACCTGACTTCAAACTATACTACAAGGCTACAGTAACCAAAACAGCATGATACTGGTACCAAAACAGAGATACAGACCAATGGAACAGAACAGAGCCCTCAGAAATAATGCCACATATCTACAACTATCCGATCTTTGACAAACCTGACAAAAACAAACAATGGGGAAAGGATTCCCTATTTAATAAATGGTGCTGGGAAAACTGGCTAGCCATACGTAGAAAGCTGAAACTGGATCCCTTCCTTACACCTTAGACAAAAATTAATTCAAGATGGATTAAAGACTTACATGTTAGACCCAAAACCATAAAAACCCTAGAAGAAAACCTAGGCAATACTATTCAGGACATGGGCATGGGCAAAGACTTCATGTCTAATACACCAAAAGCAATGGCAACAAAAGCCAAAATTGACAAATGGGATCTAATTAAACTAAAGAGCTTCTGCACAGCAAAAGAAACTACCATCAGAGTGAACAGGCAACCTACAGAATGGGAGAAAATTTTTGCAACCTAATCATCTGACAAAGGGCTAATATCCAGAATCTAAAATGAACTCAAACAAATTTACAAGAAAAAAACAAACAACCCCATCACAAAGTGGGCGAAGGACCTGAATAGACACTTCTCAAAAGAAGACATTTTTGCAGCCAACAGATACATGAAAAAATGCTCATCATCACTGGCCATCAGAGAAATGCAAATCAAAACCACAATGAGATACCATCTCACACCAGTTAGAATGGCAATCATTAAAAAGTCAGGAAACGACAGGTGCTGGAGAGGATGTGGAGAAATAGGAACACTTTTACACTGTTGGTGGGACTGTAAACTAGTTCAACCATTATGGAAGACAGTGTGGCGATTCCTCAAGGATCTAGAACTAGAAATACCATTTGACCCAGCCATCCCATTACTGGGTATATACCCAAAGGATTATAAATCATGCTGCTATAAAGACACATGCACACGTATGTTTACTGCGGCACTATTCACAATAGCAAAGACTTGGAACCAACCCAAATGTCAATCAATGATAGACTGGATTAAGAAAATGTGGCACATATACACCATGGAATACTATGCAGCCATAAAAAATGATGAGTTCATGTCCTTTGCAGGGACATGGATGGAGCTGGAAACCATCATTCTCAGCAAACTATCGCAGGGACAAAAAAACAAACACTGCATGTTCTCACTCATAGGTGGGAATTGAACAATGAGAACACATGGACACAGGAAGGGGAACATCACACACCGGGGACTGTCGTGGGGTGGGGGGAGGGGGGAGGGATAGCATTAGGAGATATACCTAATGTAAATGACGAGTTAATGGGTGCAGCACACCAACATGGCGTATGTATACATATCTAACAAACCTGCATGTTGTGTACATGTACCCTAGAACTTAAAGTATAATTAAAAAAAAAAGATCATCCAACCTAGATTAATGTATTGTTAAGTTTTTGGGGATTTTATTGGTGTTATTTTCTCTCCTTTGTTGAACTTGTGAATATTTATATATTTAGTACTTTTCAAAAAAAATTAAAAAAATAAAATTCATGGTCTGAAACCACAATTACTTTTGTACCAACAAAAATATAAATATAAATAAATATAAATATAAATATACACACATTTATGTATACATATGTAAACAAATGTGTTTTTAATGTTCTTTAATTCCAGTTTCCTATTGAACTTGTTTCTTCCCTTTCTTATTTATATAAACAGCACAATGTGATCTTTAAAAATAATTTCTAAATTACCTCATAAGTAATTCCCTACAGATGTTCCCTCTTTCTTGTTAGTGTTTCTAATTTGCCCACAACATTGGATTCTGTTTAGCAACCAAGGCTACAGTGTAGCCAGACTGACTAAAGCAATGACAATTTTTAATACCATATTTACCAACTAAGAATCAGATCATCAGTGCTGAATGCAACTGTGGCAAAAACTCCCTCCCCAACAAATTCTCTGTGGCTTGAGAACACCCAGGCTAACTAGTTCTGGAAAGAATGGGAATGAAACTGGATTTCTGTGTTGCACATAGCTATGCTTCAAGAGGCAGGACTCGATAACAGGAACTCCCTGCAGGAAGGACAGCATAGAATGAAGACTGCTAGGATAAAGACCTAACCTTTTTAAGGGTGGTGCTGGGGTATGCCCGCTTTTTGCTATTTACAGTGGTGTGCTGGAGCTGACTCTTTCTTATGTACTCACAAGAGCTGATTCTTAAAATTTCCAGATTTTTGTGAGCCAGTTGATATGTTGATATAGCTTGAAATAGGCTGTGGTAGAACTACTTACACCATGGAAACTGGTAAGTGCTACAAATCAGCTCCCCATTCCCCGAGAGTTGGTTGTTGGACATTTCCCAGACCATCACTGCTTGTCTGACTCACAACTATCAATGAGGTAGATATTACTGTCCCCATTGTACAGATGAGGAAACAGACAAAAAAACTTTAGGTCTTAGGGATACATTACAGAGGGCATAAAACAAAACAAAACAAAAAACATCAAAAATCTGAAGCAGAATGAAACTGCCAATGCAGAAATCGGGACAGGACAGTCCTGACCCTGAGGGCTGTATCTAGAGGAGAAAGATCCTACATAGAGGCAGGCAATGCGATAGTCTCAGGAACTGCCAAACTGAGGTTCAGAAGGCTGGGAGAACAATCTCAATGAGGAACTAAGGGATCAAATAGAAAAGCCTCCAGGGGGAGTTCAAGACTCCTCCACCCTTTTCCAGCCCCTATCTCTCCCTGCTTTGGTTGGATGAATCACATTCAAAGGCAAGAAATTTCAGTCCCCTAAGGAGGAAAGGTTTGCTCAAGCTTGAAGGCAGGAATTGGCCATGTTTCCCAGGAAGTGAAACTTTCTGAGAAGTTACAAACTCAAGACACAAGGGTATGTTCATTGACTTTAGATTTACATCCTCGCAGTGACTGGAATGAAAAAGGCCCTTGGCCAAGGTGGCACCCTCCTTCCTCTTCAAGGAGTTCAATCTAAGGCAAGGGCCCTGGCCCAAAAAAAAGTCCAAGGTGAAGAGCCAGTGCCAGCTCAGCCACAGGGCATTCAAGTGAGGTTCAGTTTCTTCTGAATTTGGGTTTGCAGCCAACTAATAACCAAATATTACTCTGCCAGTCATTGTCTTGTCATGTATTTCCCTCAGGAACCTTGAGGGGAGGGTAGACTGTGGTTTGGACCATGGTTAAGGTAAGTCTGGATCTATGGCATTACCTATTGTTTTCTCAGAGACCAAGAAAATGAAGAGCTCATACAGTTCATAAGAAGCCAGAAGTAGAATCAGATCTGATTACGACAGTGCCTATGTTCTCTTCTAGAGCTTTGTCTTGGGCCAAGCCAGGTGACCTTAGGAGAAACTCTCTTGCTGGGGTCCTGGAGGGGAGGAGCTGAACCTCCCTTCTTACATGCTGATCTGTTTTCTGAAAAGGGAGAAAGCATGAAGGCAGGCAAAAGCCTTGTTTCTTTGAATATCTTGAATGAATAAATGAGATAATATACATATAGTGCATAGTCAATAATTGGCATTTGACAGATGGTAGCTAATTTTTCAATATGCTACTAAACTATGATTATAATAATGCTCAGCCTCTGGGACCAAAATAAGAAATTTGAAGACTGAGTCAATTAAGAGCCATCTCTTCTGCCTCTGCTCAAATATTTTATCTTATTCTGGAGTTATTAAGAAAATAAGGAATTTGGAGCTAGGATTCAAATAATCCCCCAACTCTTCAAAACATAATGACAATGATGTTATCTTCAATGTTTCTTTGGGATTTCCTGAGTTTCTACTTCCTAAATGTCTTTATAGAGGAAAACCCTCAGCTGTGTCATCTAACTGCTGCTCCTCCTCCTTCTAACATTTGAGAAGCCACCTATGGCAAACTCTAACAGGCACATACCCCATAGCTAGCCCCCTTCTTCCTCGCTTATGAAGTCCTGATTTTACCCAAGTAGAGGAAAGCAATATCCTCAAAAACGACTCCTCAGGTGATAAACAATAATTAGTCTAAACTAACTATATTAATCCATTTCTCTTTATCACAGATTGGTTTAGAGTATATATTTCACCAAGTTCTGGCCAGCAGGATCTGAAAAGATGTCAGTTGGCACTTCTGCAAAATGTGTGTGCAAGAGATGTGTGCAAGGAAAACCTTAAACATCTTTCCTGCTTTGGCTTTGCATGTGAAAGAAAATATGATGCTTGGATGTCTGATTCCAAAATGGCGGCATGGAAGCAAGCTGGCTTCATGCCCCCCAACCACAGACAACCAGAAACAAATGTACAGCACTGAGATTATCACCAGCAATATCCCAGAAATCAAATATGAAGATGAGACAGTTCCTGGGGCCACAAAGAAGTGAAAAAACTCCAAGCAGACGGGAAGATAATCAAACTTCCACATCCATGTCACCTCTCCCCCGATTCTGCCTGACACCAAGCTTGTGGAAAATTTCCCCCAAACTCACAATTTGTACACTGGAAAAAGTGAGATCAAGGTGGACAATCAGCTTCCCCATCATCCTGGGTTCCCTAGCAGGAAACCTGTCTTTGTCTTAACCCACAGTAAGCATCGTGACATCCTGAAGGGAGATATCCCTGGGGACAGGCAGAGACAAGGAAGAGGCAGATTTAGCATCCCCAGCCCTGGGAAGTCTGCTCTGTCACTTGGCCAAAGGAGATGCCAAATCAGAGTGGCTGTTCTATGGCTGTAGGAGGTCTGTCCCACAAGGTCCCCTGGGCACAACCCCCTAGTCAGTTTTCCCACACTGCTGGGGCTAACCTCTTTGGGACCTCCCCCATTCCGGAAAGGCAGTACTCTTATTGTTGACTAGAAAGGAGATGAACCTGGGCTTAAGGTGCTGCCTAGAGCCAAAAAGGAGGCAGTGACCTAGTGATATGGTGCTTGGAGCAGTAACATACCTTAGCACAAAAAGATCACAACGATAGTGGAAAAAACTGATCCCAAGTTCTGACATAGTTGAGCTGAAGAACCAACCCCTAATCATCTACCTCAAGACATTATGTAAGAGAAAAATGCATCCTATTATTTAAATCTTTTGTAGGCACATATTCTATAACTTGTAAACAAGACATCCTATACCTCATCATTTCACAAACTTACCCCAAAATCCCCCTGGAGTGGTGGCAAGAAAATCCCATTGAAGGCACACTGGGAGTAAGGGCAGTAACTGGTGTTGAAGAGCTCCAGGATGCTTTGATGGCATTGTTGATAGTTTCCAATACCCTGGATTTCAAACTGCTGGAATGGAAGAGTCATCTCAAATCTCTTGGTGCAGGGGGTCTTGTAAAGGTCACTTACGTTCACTACCTTCTTATATCCAGGATGAAAGCATGGGTCCCTGAGAATTTCATTACTTGCAACCTGAATGGAAAAATCACTTGAAAGCATCATGTGTGAACGCTTTGGATACAAAAGGTACAGTCTGACTTAATCAATATGTAGGCACTGTACAACATCCCACCACTTGGTATTGGAATCAATATGTCCTGCCCTGCCTTTTTACCCTTAGGAATAAATATGAAAAATGGATTTGTGTAACAGGCACCAGAAGTGGTATCAGATATAAATGTATTTGGCTAGTCAAAGAATGCTGATGTAGTTAAAACTGGGCCCAGAAATGCCATTAGTTTGAAATGTCCCTGAGTGCTTAGTCCTAATCATCTAGGTCAGGAGCAAATTCACAAGGAAACTCTCAAGGTTGTCAAAAATTTGGGCCTGGGAGTAGTTCTCCAGGAGCCTACATAATTTAAAAATTATTAAAAAAATTTTTTTTCTTCTTCAAGCATTCTCCTATCCAAGAAAAATAATTTTTTTTTTTGAGATGGAGTCTTGCTCTGTCGCCCAGGCTGGAGTAAAATGGCGCAATCTCAGCTCACTGCAACCTCAGCCTCCCAGGTTCAAGCGATTCTCCTGCCTCAGACTCCTTAGTAGCTGGAATTACAGGTGTGTGCCACCACACCCGGCTAATTTTTTGTATTTTTAGTAGAGACGGGGTGTCGCCATGTTGGTCAGGCTGGTCTCGAACTCCGGACCTCAAGTGATCCACCCGCCTCGGCCTCCCAAAGTGCTGGGATTACAGGTGTGAGCCACCACGCCTGGCCCAAAAAAAAGTAATTTCTAACCCACAACCTACTAGGGAAGAAAGGAGGCTGCTGTGGATAAGAAGGTTAGTGGAGCTTTGAGGCTCAGTGGATGTCTCTCAGCGCCCCCTACTCCCAGGACCATCTTATTGGTAGTGGTTTTGAAAACCAGAGAGAATGCTTTGGAGGAGAGCAGAGAACTTGTTATCCTTTCAGTGGAGACAGGGAACAGCTGGATATGACATCCTGGCTTTGTGTTTGCTTGTCAGGGTGTGCCTGGTACTCACATGATGTTGAGTATGTTTAACTTTTGTTTTCTTTTTCTTTTTCTTTTCTTTTTTTTCTTTTTGAGATGGAGTCTCGCTCTGTGGCCCAGGCTGGAGTGTAGTGGCACAATCTCGGCTCACTGCAACCTCCACCTCCCAGTTCAAGTGATTCTCCTTTCTCAGCCTCCCAAGTAGCTGGGATTACAGGTATGTGCCACCATGCCCAGCTAATTTTTTTTCTTTTTTTGTATTTTTAGTAGAGATGGGGTTTCACCATGTTGGCCAGGCTGGTCTCCAACTCCTGACCTCAAGTGATCCACCCACCTCAGCCTCCCAAAGTGTGTTTAACTTTTCTTGTCTTCAAAATGCAGAAGGCATCTGGGGACAAGATGACAAGATTTGAAGTGTCAATTGATACATTTTGTGTTTCTCCTGAAGTGTTTTTTTTTTTTTCCTTCTCCTCTCCAGGTCATTTCTAACAACTCTGTTTTTTTGTAGTTTGTAGGAAAGGGAGCTTTAAAAAGTGGTCTAAAAGAGCTTATAAATTGCAATTCCCCCTCCAACAAACAATATTCTACCACATAATTTTCATTATCAACCCCACGAGGGGGAGAAATTATTTCCTGAGAGAAGATCTCAGTTGTGTCTGTGGAGATAACGCAGTAAACAAACATGGGAGGGGATGTCTGACTGAAACAATTTATAGGGGTCAACCAGATGTAGTTCAATATCCTGCCTAAAAAGGTTTGGAAAGTACAATAACCAAGTTCAGACAAACTACTGAATTTGAAACAGAAAACAACAGGATGTGGGGGCTGGAGGTGCAGATGTGAAGGGGGCAGGTCTGGATTGAGTTATACTTGCCTGAATGTCCTTGGCCAGTTTCTGCCAGAGTGCCTGATCCTTCCCATAGCACAAGAAGCTATGTGTGTAGACATTGTAGTCCTTGCCATAGAGGCGAAATTGCAGAGCATTATCTGGGGACTCGATAGTCTGGTTTTGGGGTACAAAAGTGACTTGTGTAGAGGCTCCCCCAAGGTCCAAAGCTCCAAAGGTTTCCTGATTATTGGTTTCATATGGGACTATGCTGAACCACCTTGTTTTCTGAAAGACAGTACAGTTACCAGTGCTAGAAGTCTCTGGACACCCTGCTTTTCATAGTATCTATTGGAGTCAGGGATTTCCTAAGGCAAAGAAACAGGGGCATAAAGGTGAGGCAAAGCTCACTAGAGGCTCCTGATCTACAACAGATTATCAGCAAGAAAAGAGGGGCTTCAAAGACATAGCTCAGACTGCCGGACATAGAAGCAGTGTAACTGGTGTTTAAAAACAAGAGGTCTGAGGCCAGACACATTCAAGTTCAAATTCTCACTCAGTCGCTTGTTAGCTGTACAGCCATGGGCAGACTAATTACCCTCTCTAGGCATCGATATGGGGCTCTAAAATGGGGATGATGTAGTACCTCATAGTGTTGTTCTAAGGATAAAATCAGAGAAAACATGAAAAGTGCTGAGCACAGCGGGAGACACATAGCAGAAGGCAAATGTTAGCTATTCTAATTTTTAATGATAAATTTTTAATTTCCTTTATGCCTCCCTAAGGTAAAGACATGTCCTTATTCTCCCAATAGTAGAAGGTCTTGTAAGAGAATTATACCTCTGGTGACCCTTACAAATGTGAGAGTAAATTCATTCATCCAGTCATCCATCCATCCATCCATCTATCATTCATTCATTCATTCTGGCTAGCGACCCAAGTACTGCCTGAGATAGCAATGGCATTGGCCTCCAGAGAGCCACCTCCATGGATGCTGTGAGATATTCACCTGACTGAATTTGCCCAGCAGATAGTTGATAGTAATCCAGCCATAGGCACCTTCCTCTTGGCCAGTAATGATCCTGGCACCCTGGAAGTCAAAGGGGTAGTTGCTGAGGCTCCTCTCCACCACATCCAGAACCCTGTCTGCCAACTCTTCACTTTCCATCCTGTACAAAGGAAGAGCTGAGGTTATCATTTTTGTTTTAATAATTATATTACATTACCCATTTCAGCTACAGCATCCACACAGTGCTACTAAGAAGTGAACCATAATGCCCTGGAATAAATGAAGAGATGGGGATCTTCGCACATAGCTGTCCAAGAAACCCCTTTTTTGGATGAGGCAGAATTAATATTTTGTTCATCTCTCTCCAAATCCACATCCTTCCAATCCTTTCATAGGTTGGTTTTCCTTAAAATACCACTTTTGTTCTGAAGTTCCCTGGCTCAAAAAGTTATCAAAGGCTCTTAAAATTACTGTGGTGGTGATAGCTGGGTATGGTTTGATGACCATACCTGAAGCTGATGTGTGCTATATTAACCACTGTGGGTGGCTCCTAGCTGGTTACATGGCCAGACTCTGCTCCAGGTTTTTAATTAGGGTTCTAGTAGAAACCAGGTGGCAAATGACCTGGAATAGATATCCAATCTCCTCTGCTGCCAGACTGGGAAAAATCTTCCTCATATTACAGCTCAGTTCTTGGGTCTGTTTGAGACCTTGAGACCTAAAGAAGGAATCTTCCAGGGTTGTCTTAATGAAGATGGGATGCAATTGCTTCCAAGATCTAGGCTACCCAACACTGGGAGTCTCTGAGCGAGAGGATGCTACCTTCCAGCTGGCATTAGGCCCCTGTCATCTCTCATCTAAATGGCGTCCACACCTACTAACTGCCTTCCTTTTATCCCCAGCTTTTCTCCCCTCCAATCCATCTTCTCTACCAGTGTCACCAGTTGTGTAGCATCCTTTAATGGCTTCCTACTATCTCTAAGATAAACTCCAAACTTCCTAGCATGGCCCCATAGGGCACTTTGTGACCTGGACCCTTCCTTTTCAGAATCCCACTCAGAATCCTGGCTCCACCACTTCCCAGGTGTGTGACCTTGGGTGAGTTACTTAACATTTGTAAGCCACAGCTTCCTTATCTTGTTAATAATTGTTAATTTCATAGAGTTGTTATGACAGTGCAATTAAGTGCTTAGCGTAGTGCTAAGAACATAGGACGGGCTCAATAAATACGAGCTGCTACTATTATTATCATTATTATTTTACACTACTTACCTATCTTCTATCTATGCAGAACTACTTACAGTCCTCTGAATATGCCTCTCACACTTCCCTACCTTTGCACATCCGGTAGAACACAAGCTCCATGAAGTCAGAGACTTTGTCCTGTTCACTGTTGTATCCTCAGTACTTAGAACAGTGCCTGACATATAATAGGTGCTGAATAAACATCAGTTACTGAATGCATGCTGTCTGTTCTGCTGATAAAGCTGTTCCCCGATCCTCCAACTCATTTTTCATGATTCAGTTCAGGCATCCCTTCCTCTAAGTCTTCCTGACCTCCTCTCACCCTGGGCAGGGCCAAATGTGCTCCCATAGCAGCTCTGAGCACTCCTCTATTAAAACACTGATCACCCTGCATTGAAACTGATTTCCTTGAGGGTTGAGTTTTCATATTCTGGATAGAGCAGGCACTATATGCTGAATGAATGAACAAGTGAACAAATAATTCACACAGGTATCAAGTGATATAAAGATGTGCTAGTTGTGAATATTTATGACCTGGGATGTCTATGAGTCTCCTCTTATCCTCTTCCTCCCAGATATTGAATAGTTAAATCTGTAGCCCCAAACCCCAGAGTATACGGGCCCAGTCTTTCTCTCCCTGTGCCCCTTCCCCTTTGAATCCCCCATAGGGAGATGCACAAGGGGGCTTTTTTTTTTAACATACATAAAATCCTACCCCTATATATACTAAGAGTTTGAACATTTTATTCACTTACTAAAATATCCTTTCTTAAGTATGGACTTGGGTGTGTAGAACTTGGGGTATTAGGGAGTGTGGCCCTTTCCCATAACTTCAGAGGCTCTTTCACTGCCAAGCCTAACTCCCAGATACTCTTGGTCCCTACATGCTGCTATACCTGAGCAACCGCATGCCTGCCGTGGCTCCCAGGTAAACGGGTGTCTCTTGGTGCTGGGACCTTGGAATCACTTCCCTAGCTCTTTCCATGCAATCAGTCAGGTAAATGCCTATTTCATTTACTTTCTGAACAAATTTTGAGATTCCAGGACCTAGGAAAAAATGTAGAAGATAACAATCTTTTAAAAAAAAATTATAAAACATACCTTGACAATAGTAGATCAAAATATGGTGTTTTGAAAAAAATACAAGAAAACAATTTCCTGATGTACTATACATTAGGTTATTGTACTTAGAGGGTAATTCACTGGACCTAGCCTTGAGAGGATTTAATTTCCAGACTTTAAGTTGGGTCTGTTCAGTGTTCAATAATTCTGCCACTGGATGGCGCAATTTCATATTCAATTGCATAACATTCTCAGACTTTAATGGGGATATTATAGATAGCTACTCTGTTAGCTGCTTTTTGATATTTCCTCCAGAACACTGTAATTAATGACACTAGTTCCTAAAAGACCTAAAGATAACACTTGGAATAAAAATTAAGCGTCAGACAAATTGGCTTTTACTAAAAAGATGGAAGCTGCCACTAACTAGTTATCTGATCCTGGCCAGCACCTTAAAGTTTCTGAGGTGGAGTTGCTTCCTGTTACAAGAAAGAGGAACAGAATCTATGTCTCTTCAGTGACTTTTCCACTCCGATATCCTGCCTCCCTAGCAAAACTGTTTTTCCAGTTTTAGAGCAAAACCGACTGTTGCTATGGAGGATTAGAGCCAAGATTCCTTAAGCTTTTTGAAGTTATAACAACACTTTCATCTCACATTAAGATAAATATCTACACTATCAGTGCTTCATAGCAGAGTAATTGCTTTAAGGATAATTATTCAAATAAGTTATCCAGATCATTCACAGGTTTTCAAACAGCCTAATAACCATGAGAAAATCAGCTCTAAGTTACCAGCTAATTGTTTTGATTCAGAAAATTTGGTGTTAAATATTTGATTAACTAGAGAACTCTCTCTTTTGAGAGGGAAGAATCCTTCATTGTTAGGCCAAACGCTCATGGGATAAGTCTCAGAAGAAGGACATCTGCTAGATTTTTTTTTTTGAGACGGAGTCTTGCTCTGTCGCCCAGGCTGGAGTGTAGTGGCGCGATCTCGGCTAACTGCAACCTCCGCCTCCCGGGTTCAAGTGATTCTCCTGCCTCAGCCACCCTAGTAGCTGGGACTACAGGCACGCACCACCATGCCTAGCTAATTTTTTTGTATTTTTAGTAGATACAGGGTTTCACCGTGTTAGCCAGGATGGTCTCCATCTCCTGACCTTGTGATCCGCCCACCTCAGCCTCCCAAAGTGCTGGGATTACAGGCATGAGCCACCGTGCTTGGCCATTAAAATAACTTTTAAAAATGGAAGGCAGTGTGTCAAATAAAAGCCAATAAAATGAGGGATTTGGGCTTTAAGAAAGGCCAGAAGTACTGTCTCAGATGGGGCCAAAGTGTCAGTATTGATGGGGCTACTGGGTAGAATGACTTGCTCTCTTGGAAATATCTCCTCTCTACTACTTTCTTGACGACCTGTGAAAATTAGTGGATTCCACAGGCTGTCAAACTGAAAATCAATTATCTTCTAGGATCTAGGCTATCAGTCTGACTAAAAATAAACAGTGGGTTCCCAGCTCAAAAGGCTAAGAGAGATAAAAGTCAGAGAGACTGTGGTATAATGGTGCATGGTAGGGTACTGGGTAAAGGGATTGAAAGCTGAATGTCAACCACTCTAACATATTATGACCTTAAAAGAAAAAAATTATTGATATATAATGCAGCAGCTCAGAGTAGCAGGAAACCTAGAGTGTAATTAGGAGACCTAGATTCTTGTCTCTATTCTGTTGCTACTTTCAAGGCACTAATCCTCCAGGTTTTTGTTTCCTTCTCTGTGAAACAAAATTTAAACGATCTGTAAGTTCCTTTTCCCAGCCCTAAGAGCCTATAATTTGGTCTTTCCTGCCTACACAGAAGCTGAAAGCTTTGAAAAATGTCTTCCAAGCTGTAGATCAGGGTACAAAGATTAAGAGAGCAATAAATCTCTGAACCAGACAGATTAGCATCACCTAGGAACTTCTTAGAAATACAGATTATCAGGCTTCATTCCAGATCTGCTGACTCAGAAACTCTAGGGGATGGGACCCATCATCTGTGTTTTTAACAAGCTCATGCAAGTTTGAGAAGCACTGGCTAAGATGCAGACTTGAAGTCGGGCAGAACTTGGTTTGAACCGCAGCTCCATCACTTACTAGCTTGAGTAACAAACAAGTGGTATAACCTCTCTCAACCTCAGTGCCCTCATTTTTAAAAAATTAGTATAATAATGCATACCTCAAAGGGAGATTATGAGGGTATACTGAAGTAACACATGTTCAGTACTAAGTACATAGCATGCAGAAGTGTTCTGTTGATGGGAGCTACTATTAATTATATTTATGTGTGTTTATTCTTAGGTTTTGATCATTAACGACTGATTTCAATATGTTTTCTGTAACGATAACATAACAACAGCAGCTGCACTGTTTTCTTCACTTGGCTTCCTATGCGTGGGACTCCTTTTTCTCTTGTGTTCTACTGGTCATACACCTCTCATGTTCTCATGCCCCACTGTTGGCCTCCCCTTCCCTTGGTCTTCATCTTACCTTTAACCCTGCATTCTTCTACTTGATGCACCACGCCTGTGTCATTCTCCTTTTCTGCTGGCCACTTATAGATGTATAAACTTGTGTGAGAAGAACCCGCATCCAGCACAATCCCATACTGAAAGCAACACAGACCAAAAACTTATCAGTATCACATCACTCATCTCCATATTAGGCTTGCAAAAGAAAGGACTGGAATTTTCAAAAACATGAGGAGAAAGTATTTGAGAGGAACATTGAGGGGATGGCACTGGAGTCACTCCGATCACAAGATCTACCAGGACAACAACCCTGCTAGAACGGGGCTCTTCATGCTGTTTGCATGTTAGAAATATTCAGACCTTATGCAGAACAGGGCCCAAGAAGCAGTATTGTTTAGAAGCTTCTTAGGTGATTCTAATGTGCAGCCAAGATTCAGAACCACATGCTGAAGTAGCTGAGACACTATGGAAGGAATAGAAAGCCATTAATCTATAGTCCCCAAACTTGTCTACACATTGGAATCATACGGGAATCACCTGGAAAGCTTCAATGGCTACTGATGCTTGTGTCCTAGACCCAGGTATTGTGATCTAATTGATGTGGTATTGTGTCCTGGGCTTTGGAATTTTTATAAGGTCCCACATGATTCTAATGTGCAGATAAGTTTGGGAACCACTGAGTTACTCCATTGAATGCCAGTAAGACGTAATAAATATGTTCATCTAATTTTAGTTCAATAAATGCAGAGTTTGTTTTAAGGAGAGGTGTAAAAACACTAAATACACTCACTTTTAAATTATGAATATAACTGTAAAATTGTATTTAATATATTTTACAATATATGTACTTAAACTTCATGTTTTTAGCTTTACGAGTAGGGGGAGATGAAAAGAAGAAAAAAAGGAGGAAAGAAAGTCAGCAGAGGAGAAGAAGGACAGATGACAGCAGGAGAAAGAACTAGAAACAGAAACTATACACAGAAACATAGAAGCAAGGGCTGGGCAATAATTTTCAAATTGGTGCCCCCTTTTAAGGACATTAAATGAGGGGTAGCTACAGTAAAGTGTGCAAATACTAGGCATACACCTCAATAAATTTTTGCATATGTGCACATCCATATAACCACCACCCAGATCAAGATACAGAACACATTCTAGCCCTCATAAGGCTTCCCAGTGCCCCTCTCAGTCAGTTACCACTGTCTTAACTTCTACCACCATGTATGAGTTCTGCCTGTTTTTGAACTGCAATGTATGAACTCACATAGTATGCCT
Source organism: Homo sapiens (assembly GCF_000001405.40). Taxonomy (NCBI): domain Eukaryota; kingdom Metazoa; phylum Chordata; class Mammalia; order Primates; family Hominidae; genus Homo; species Homo sapiens. Next base: position 95,838,552 of record NC_000010.11, on the reverse strand, counting down.
CCTTTATGTCTAACTTCTTTCACTTTACACTATGTAAGATGAACTCAAACTGTGTGTATCAGTAGTTCATCTTTTTCCATCACTGCAAAGTATTTCATTATATGGATATACTATATTTTTATCCATTCAACTGTTGATGGACATTCGGGTTATTTCCAGTTTGGGGCTACTGGAAATATAGCTGCCAGAAACATTCATATGCATTTCATTTTGTTGAAATAAGCTCTCATTTCTTTGGGGGTATCTATCCAGGAGTAAACTGCTCAATGCCCATTTTGATCAACTGATAGTCATCTTTGGTTATATCTCTGGGCTTACTCAGGATTAAAAAATTCCATGATTGATTAATGACATCTGATATGAACTTGGGAGAAGAGCATGATGGCACATGTGCTTTTAAATCTTCCTTAGAGAAGAAACATAGAGGGAAGTAAATGGGGAAGCGAAAGGAAGAGAAGAAGGAGACGCTTGTCACGTGGCTGCTTATTTAAGCTGCAGACCTCAAAGTATGGTCTGCCACTTTAAAAATGCTTAATTTAGCTGTGTGTGTGGGTGTGTGTGGGTGTGTGGTGTGTGTGTGTGTGTGTGTGTGTGTGAATCTCCCTACATATATAAGCTAGGTTGCATGAACAGAAGCAGTGGTCTGGAAAGAGGAACAGTAGAAATGACCTTGTTTGGTTCATGGAGACACCAATGTAGGGGCCCCAGTGAAGACCTGAAAATGTAGGTGGCAATGGGTATATATATCATCTGCTATGAATCTAAGAGACTCCAGGGAGAAAAGAAGACAAGAAATAGGATTTAAGAGACCTCCCTGGACCACTAGGAAAAGCTAAAAGTAGAGCCTATTGAGTGTCAAACTCTACTCCATTTCACTAGACCAGGGAGTACCACCGTGCAGACCTTGCAAGGACCCTTGACCTGCCATAACCTCCACAGTGTTCTCTTCCTAGTTACACACAGTGGGGATTCCCTCCAGTAATTAGCATTATGCCTTTAGAAAGAAAAGGGCCTGTATGCTGGCTTTGGGCACAGCAAGGAAGCAAGCTGGACAGACTCCTCTGCAGCTAGGCTTGCAGTGAAAGGAATCCAAGAAATGGCTTAGGTGGTGGCCATTGTGGGCAGAGAGGAACACTGACTAAGGTCTGGGGCCACTGGACCCTTGAGAAACCTCCCAGAGTGGAGAAAGAGGCTCAGGAATTACACATGGCAGAAAATTCTGTTGTTTCCTAACAGAGCCCCTGATTTCTTCCTGCCAGAAAATGTTCCAACCACAGCAGCATACGACAGAAACTGGTGAGGTAGAAGCAGCAAGCAGCATTTATCTGGGATCAGATTTTATTCTAACATTGTTGATACGAAAGTCATTCTTCCCATAGAGCCAAAGAACCAGGCTTGCTTCTGTCAGCTTGTTTTCTCTAAGGCCTTACTTACACAGTGAGGTAGTTGAGAAACAAAAACTTTTACTACGTTTCATTTGACAAGTGTTTGAGAAGGGGGTAAAGCATATTTTAACACAAATTGAAGACATTTCATCTTGTGTACACAGTACACTAGCATGCTAACCTGTGCAACTGTGCCAAACATTTTGTCTTCTAAAATGGCTTGCAGAATAAAAAACTGGCATTGTTTGCTGCTTGAGAGACAGATAAAGCTTGACTGAAAGTTCAATTTGAGCATTTGGGGAGCTTGCCTTTCTTTGTTACAACATCCATCAGAGCCCAGGTAGCCACAACGTTTTGTTCTCTTTCCACCACACCAGCATTTTCCAATGCATGTTCCAGAGAGTACGAGGCCTACAGGGGCTTCAGTAAATAAAGCTTCCCAGAAGTCTGGAGAATGTTCATGTTCTCTCTGCCTCCTGGGCTCAAAAGTCCATTAGCTAGTGAATGCCTCAAAGTCTGGCAGTGGAGAAACCCAACATTTCTCTGTAGCTTATATTTAAATATTTCCAAAAGTCCCTATGAGTATATCCTTTAAAGAAAGCAGTAAGATTTAGGTGGTAAGGAAGAGATCTGACACTCCCTCGGGATCATTTCAATATTATTTTCTATTTTAAGAGTACTAAAAGTTTCTTAAATATCACTTATAAAATGAAGTAAAAAAAGATGTTTAAGATTCTACTAATTAGATATCACTTTTATTTTTATTTATTTCCTTCCAAGTCTTTTTTGAATGCGTCGTATTGCCCAAAGAAATCAAAGAATTAGAAAAAAATCTACTCTAAAATTCATACAGACCAAAAAAGAGCCCAAATAGCCAAGGCAATCCTAAGCAAAAAGGATAAAGCCAGAGGCATCACATAACCTAACTTTAAACCACAAAGCTATGATAACTAAAACAGCATGGTACTGGTACAGAAATAGATACATAGATCAATGGAACAGAATAGAGACCCTGAAATAAAGCCATACACTTACAGCCAACTGATCTTTGACAAAGCTGACAAAAATAAACAATGGGAAAAGGACTTCCTATTTAATAAATGGTGGTTGGAAAACTGGCTAACCATATGTAGAAGTATGAAACTACACCCCTACCTCTCACAATATACAAAAATTAACTCAAGGTAGAATAAACACATAACTGTAAGACCCTCAAACTATAAAAGTCATAAAAGAAACCTAGGAAATACCCTTCCAGACATTGGCCTCAGGAAAGAATTTATGACTAAGTCCTCAAAAGCAAATGCAGTTAAAACAAAAAGTGACAATTGGGACCTAATTAAACTAAAGAGCTTCTGCACAGCAAAAAAAACCAGTGACAGAGTAAACACACAAAAAGTGGGTCAAAGACATAAATAGACACTTCTCAAGAGAAGACATACAAGTGGCCAATACACTTTTGAAAAAATGCTCATCATCACTGGTCATCAGAGAGATGAATGTTAAAACCACAATGAGATACCATCTTATACCAGTCAGAATGGCTATTAAGAAGTCAGAAAATAACAGATGCTGGCAAGATTGTGCATACAAGAGAATGCTTACACACTGTTGGTGGGAATGCAAATTTATTCAGCCCTGTGAAAAGAAGGTTAGAGATTTCTCAAAGAACTAAAAATAGAATTGCCATTTGACCCAGCAATCCCATTACTAGGTATATACCCAAAGGAAAACAAATTATTCCACCAAAAAGACACCTGCACTTGTATATTTATCACAGCACTATTCATAATAGCAAAGACATAGAATCAACCCAGGTGTCCATCAATGATGAATTGTATAAAGAAAATGTGGTACATATGCACCATGGAATACTATGCAGCCATAAAAAAGAATGAAATCATGTCCTTTGCAGCAACATGAATGCAGCTGGAGGCCACTACCCTAAGCGAATTAACACAGGAACAGAAAACCAAATACTGCATATTCTTATAAGTGGAAGCTAAACGTTGGGTACACATGAACACAAAGACGGGAACAATAAACACTAGGGATTCCAAAAGAGGGGAGGTGGGGAGGAGGTCAAAGGTTGAAAAACTACCTGTCAGGTTCTATGTTCACTACTTGGGTGACAGGATCATTAGAAGCCCAAACCTCAGCATCATGCAATATACCCATGAAACAAATATGCACATGTGCCCCATGAGTCTAAAAATAAATTAAATTTTTAAATTTTTTTTTTTTTGAGACGGAGTCTCGCTCTGTCACCCAGGCTGGAGTGCAGTGATCACATGAAGATCATAACCGATCTTCATGAGCTAGGTTGCATGGATAGAAGTGCTGGTCCAGAAAGAGGAACAGTAGAAGTGACCTTGCTTGGTTCATGGAAACACCAATGCAGGGGCCTTGGTGAAGACCTGGAAATGTAGGCGCAACAGACCCTAAGCTCACTGAGACTGGAGGCCGTATAGATATGGGGCAGATATCTCCTTAGGATGGAAACAATTCTACCTACACAAATGTCATAGTACCAGGCTTCTGGGTAAGTCTATTTAGAAGCAGAAAGAAAGAGAAACTAGAGCATCAGACAGCCTGCTTCCTGGCTCCACAGAAGTAGAATATTTCACCCTCTTCTCATTCAGAAAACACCTCTGGTGGAACTGGCCTGCTTGCAGTTGCCCATAGGTCTCATGGTTTCTGCTCCAGGGCCTTTACCGAGAAAGCCCTTCACTTGACATCTCAGCCTTCTCTGACCTCCTGAGTTTAGATCCTACCCTCCTGATCAGAATGCCTGTATTTTCCCTCTAAAGACGGTACTGGCCACATGGTGTAATTACATATTTATGCAGCTATTTGATTAATATCTATCTTTATTATTAGATTGTAAGCTACATGAGGGCAGGTCTACTTTGTTTACCACAGTATATACAGCATCCACGATGGTATATCCTACTATACATTAGGCACAGAGAAAGAATTCAACAGATCATTATTGAATCAAATGGATAAATGAGGGGGTTGGAACTGGATGGTTCCTAAATTCCTTCCAGCCCTAAAAGAGGTTAATATTCATTGTCTAATATAAAGTAGTACCACTGGAGTTGTCCTACACCATCCCCAAAAAGCTCATAAGACAGATGCTGTGGTTTGACTGTTTTCCCCTCCAAAACTCATGTGTTGAAAACTTCATCACCAATGCATCAGCATCAGGAGGTGAGCCCTAGTGGGAGGTATTTAGGTATTCAAGTACTCTGCCCTCTTAAATGGATTAATGCCACAATTAAATGGGGTTTGGGGAGTGAGTTTGCTATCTCCTACTCTTTTGCCATTGTGAGGAACAGCATTCCTCCCTCCAGAGGATGCAGAGTTCAAGGCATCATCTTGGAAGCAGAGACCAGGCCCTTACCAGACACCAAGCCTGCCAGCACCTTGATCTTGGGCTTCTTGGCCTCCAGAACTGTGAGAAAAGTAATTTCTGTTCTTTATATTATAAATTACCAAGTTTGTCACATTCTGTTACAGCCACACAAAACAGACTAAGACATCTGGTAACACAGGCAAGTATGATCATTAACTTTTCATGGTCCCTTCAGACACAGTGTGTCTTCAAAAACTTTCTTAAAAGTTCCTGTAGCTTTAATGGTAACTTCAGCAGCCTCATCAGTCTGTCTCAGTGAGCTTGGGTTTATAAACAAAGCTTATAATTTTGAGTAAGACTCTAGTACTCTATAAACAAACCAGATTAGCTACAGAGATGCTAGTAGGGCCTATAAACATTTAGAGACCATTTTCTTCCTTTCCTTTTTCTTTAATTAGAGTTACTAGATCTTTAATACAAACCACAGTTCTGTTATTGTCTTATTTTTTAATTGCTGTAAAACACACATAACATAAAAGTTACCATTGTAACCATTTTTAAGTGCAGTTTTGTGGTATTAAGGATATTCACATTGTTGTGCAACACCATCTATCTGCAGATGTTGTTTTCTAAAACACACATTAAAATCCAATAGAGTAAAAATAATACAGATATTTTCCAAGAGTATTCGAGGTTGGAAATCAGAGCAAATCTTTCCAAAGTCTCCATAAAAAGATAAAATCACAAATGCTTATCTAAGAACAGCACTTTTGTTCATTTTGAAAAAGCAGATGCATGAGGAAAGGTCATTACCCTTTAACAGAAGCTGGAAATCCTGCAGAGTACTGGTTCAGTGACCATAATACACTAATAGCTAAGGGCCTTCCATAGGACATATCTTCATTAAAGCAGGTAGTCTCCATTGAGGACCTCTGATGTGCTCATCGCTCTGACAATTAAGTCACTTGTATTATTCCATTTAATTCTCACAACCATATTCTAAGTAGGTACTGTTACTATCTTGATTTTACATATAAGGGGAGGCATAGAGAGAATTTCTTGCCCAAAGTCTCGGCTAGAAAGTAGCATATCTGGGATTAAAATCAAAGTGGTCTGGTCCCTGAGCCTGCATTCACAGAAGAGGCAGCGTTTAATGAAGGCTAGTTGTTTGGCATTGGGTCAGTCTGGTGCTTGTGTGACAGAGACTCAGTGTGTGCCAAAATGTGGAATGTTTGTGCTAAAAGAATATCTGACAACCACTAACTGCCAGTGTTCAGTTACGAGTAGACAAGGAAGTGGGGAACCAAGCAGACGTCAAAGCTACCGCCCCACCTAGGTCCACCAGAACAAAGGTACTTTCCCAGGGGGAGTCTTGGGTACAGCTAATGACTCTTCAGTTCATTAAGGCTATTTTTTTTTAAGTTCTCATTGTGTCTCACAGGCAGTGGTTCACAGACTTCAGTGGCATGAGAACACCCCAGGATGCCTGCTAACACATGTAGCTTCTGAGGCCCTGCACTCTGGAGGTTCAAACTGAGAAGGCTCTGAGGGTAAGAGTGGGGAACTAGGATCTCTAGAGAACTCTGAGGCAGAGGTCTGCTTCCCTCACTGACACTGCCTGGCTACCAGGTTGGTCCTGGGTTCTTCACATACAAGGAGGGAACGGTTTTATCTGTTCAAGGTGCTTTCTCTATTCAGAGTCAGCAAACTTCTCTGGAGCAACTACCCAAATCAGATGTTGTGCTGGCTGTAATTTAACATTTATTTTATGATTATTTGATTAATGATTATCTCCCTCATTATACTATAAGTTCAAAACAAGGGTATAATAAATTTGCCCATCTTGCTCACTAATATATGCCAGGGCCTACAATAGAGTTGATATTCAATGGCTATTTGTTAAATGAATGAATGGAGTCAATGAATAAATAAAATGCAAACAAAGACAAATGAAATCCATTCCCTGTCCTCAATGTGCTTATAACCTTTTAGGTAGCTGGGCAAGTAAACATTTCAGAACAATAAAGAGTTCTTGCTGTGTTATGCCACATGTGGCCCAGGCATGAGGGCACTATCTCCCCAGCAGGGCTGAACCCAAACTAGGTCAGGCAGGAAGATGACAAGACTGGATCATCAGCATGGGTGGGCTGACCTGAAATGGGCTAGACAAGGGCAAGTCAGATGGGGAACAGTGGGAATAAAATAAAGATAACTGTCAATTTGTCACTAAGGCAGGTAAGCTGCAAAAATGATAAGACATGAGTTATCAATCACTGAGTGTCTGCAGTGGGCCAGGCCTTCTGCTCTGGACTCATATTTGCATGTACTTTATCCCACTGAATTCTCACAGTAATCTTACAAGAGAAGAAGCATCAGTTCCATCATACAAGTGGAGAAACTAAGGCTTAGAGAGGTTAACTCCTGTGACCCTAAGAGCACAGCGAAGATTCAAACCCAAGGCAATGTGAGTCCATGGCCCATGTTGTGTTGTACTCTAGGCAGGCAGAATAATGATCCCTGCAAGAGGACAGGGATGACAAATCAGAGGAAGTGAGTACAGGACAGCTGAAAGTCTTTCCATGTATGAAGTTGCACCAACAGAGGCTTGTGGCCACCACCCTCTTTAAACAGAAGCATTCGGAGTTTTCTCTCAGCATTAACCGTCCCAAGGTACCTGTTCCATCTTAATCTTAAAAGGTCCTCAAAGGAATTTTGTCACAAAGATCTGGTCAACCCAAGTGTCTTTCACATTATCCCCTCCCCTTACCCCACAGACAATGCCTTAATTCTGGCCTCGCCTGCCTTGCCTAGACCATGGCAGGAGCATGCTAACTGGTCTCTCCTCTAATCTGCTCTCCAGCCAAAAGGAATCTTGGGAACACAAATCTGGGCATCACTTCCTTGTATGAAACCCTTCAAAGCAGTGGTCTTCAATCAAAACTACTCATTAGAATCACATGGAAGATTTTAGAACGTATCAGTCCCTGGGCTTTTTTTTCTTTTTTTTGAGACAGAGTCTCGCTCTGTTGCCCAGGCTGGAGTACAGTGGCGTGATCTCAGCTCACTGCAACCTCTGCCTCCTGGGTTCAAGCAATTCTCCTGCCTCAGCCTCCCGAGTAGCTGGGATTACAGGTACCTGACAACATGCCCAGCTAATTTTTGTATTTTTAGTAGAGACAGTTCACCATGTTGGCCAGGCTGGTGTCGAACTCCTGACCTCAAGTGATCTGCCGGCCTCAGCCTCCCAAAATGCTGGGATTACAGGAGTGAGCCACCACGCCCGGTGATCTACAATATTTTGAACCATTTTTATTTAACTGTAACCTCCAAAGATGATTTAATTGACCTGAGATGGGGCCCAGCCATATTTTTGAAAAGCTCCTCAGGTGCTTCTAACATGGATCCAAGCTTGAACACCACTGCAGTTTAATGGATGAGATGCCCACTTTTAAGCCAAAAATACTAAGCTCAGACTTGGACCTCCTCTTCCACCTCTCCTTCCTGCCCCCATATTCAACAATCTAACCATACTGAGCTGCTGATTCCCCAGGGATTGCATATGATTTCAAGCTGTCACTCTTCAACACATGATATAATCTTTGTCTGGAACATGTCCTATCCCACTTTCTAGAAAACTCCTTACCATTTGTCTTAGTCCATTCTCTGTTGCTATCACTGAATACTTGATACTGGGTAATTTATTTAAAAAATAAATGTATTTCTTACAGTTCTAGAAGCTATGAAGTCCAAGGTCAAGAGGCAACATCTCAGGAGGGCCTTCTTGCTGGTGGGGACTCTCTGCAGAGTCCCGAGGTGGCACAGGGCATCACATGGCAAAGGGGGCATACTGAGAGCCAAACTAGCTTTTAATACAGACCTACTCTAATAATAACTAACCCACCCTGTGATAACTCAATCCATTTATCCATGAATGGATTAATCCATTCATGAGGTCAGAGCCCTCATGACCCACCACCTCTTAAAGGCCCTGCCTCTTAATACTATTATACTGGGGATTAAGTTTCAACATGAGTTTTGGAGGGATCAAACATTCAAGCCATAGCACTTAAGACTCAGCTCCAAGGCTACCTTCTCTGTGAAGCCTCCATGTAAACAGGCACAATTAGCAGCTTCTTTCTCTGGGCTTCCATAGCACTGTCTCTGCATGAATATATCTCTATTATATTGAAATTATTTGTACGAAGAACCCTCACCTCCACAAAAATCAGGAGGTGCAATGATACTTCAGATACCTCTTGTGACCATTTTACATCTTGGCCAACTTTTTACTCCAGCCCCAGCAGTATCTCCTTATCTCTCTATTTCTGCCCAGCAGCTTCTCTCCTGCTGCCTAAGTTGTCACCTGTGGTACCCACATGACCCCTCTGACACACGTGCAAACCTGGAAGTGACAGGGACTTAACACCAGATGGGAGCAACCCTTGACCAACAGATAATGAGAACCAGGGGATAAATCCCCAGGGCAGACAATTCTAAAGTTCACTCTCCACAGCTCTTGAGAGGGTCCCTGGGAGGATCAAGCCTCAGTGGCCCAATGTGGTAATTTGCTCCTAACTCTCTCTTTCCCTTCTTCCTTGTTTCCTTGGAATCACTTCCCAAAATAAACATCCTGCATGCAATTTCTGTTAATAGGATGTGCTGTTTGGAAAAACTCACTAAGACAAATGGAAAGAACATTAGTCTTTGGATCAGAAAACTGGATTCTAGTTTTAGCTCCCCCTCTGCCTTGGGTGAGAGAACATCTAAGGCTTTGATTTTGTTATCTATAAAATGGGCATGGCCAGGTGCGATGGCTCATGCCTGTAATCCCAGCACTTTGGGAGGCCGAGGCGGGCAGATCAACTGAGGTCGGGAGTTCAAGACCAGCCTGACCAACATGGAGAAACCCCGTCTCTAGTAAAAATACAAAAATTAGCCGGGTGTGGTGGCGTGTGCCTATAATCCTAGCTACTCAGCAGGCTGAGGCAGGAGAATTGCTTGAACCTGGGAGGCAGAGATTGCGGTGAGCCGAGATCATGCCACTGCGCTCCAGCCTGGGCAACAAGAGCAAAACTCCGTCTCAAAAAAAAAAAAAAAAAATGGGGATAACCTTCTATTCTTCACAGTATTCACGGGAAGAAAAAATGGAAATGCATGTGGAAATGATTTATAACTGCAAAGCACTAAATAATGTTATCATTATGCCTTAGGAGGAATTCTTTCCCTATTCACCCTTTAAATCAGTGGTCTCCAACCTTTTTGACACCAGGGACCAGTTTCTTGGAGGACAATTTTTCCACAGACCCAGAGGTGGTGAGGAGGGGGAAATGGTTTTGGGATGATTCAAGTGCATTACACTTATTGTGAACTACCTTATTTCTATTTTTATTACATTGTAATACATAATGAAATAATTACACAACTCACCATAATGTAGAATCAATAGGAGGCCTGAGCTTGTTTTCCTGCAACTAGACAGTCCCATACGGGGGTAACGGGAGACAGTGACAGATCATCCGGCATTAGATTCTCACAAGGAGCACGCAATCCCGATCCTACATATGTGCAGTTCACAATAGGGTTCGCGGTCCTATAAGAATCTAATGCTGCCACTGATCTGACAGGAGATGGAGCTCAGGCAGTAATGTGGGCGATGGGGAGCAACTGTAAATACAGATGAAGCTTTGCTCGCTCGCGTGTTCCTCACCTCCTGCTGTACTGGTCCATGGCCTGGGGGTTGGGGACCCCTGCTTTAAATGATAGAGCTTCTCAGGACTTGGACCTTGACTCTCTTCTCATTTTATAACCCCATCCTAGATGACCTCATCCATTTCTAAGGCTTCAGTCAATCAATGCCATCAGAGACATAGCTTTAATCTAGGCCTGTGCTATTTAACCAGGGTAACAAATAGCTGGCAATTGAGCACTTGAAATGTGACTAGTTGGAATTGAGATATGCCATAAGTTAAAATTTGAAGATAGTATGAAAAAAGAATGTAACATATCTCATTAACAATTTTTTTTTGGCCGGGCATGGTGGTGGCTCATGCCTGTAATCCCAACACTTTGGGAGGCCAAGGTGGGCAGATCATGAGGTCAAGAGATGGAGACCATCCTGGCCAACAAGGTGAAACCCCGTCTCTACTAAATACAAAAATTAGCTGGGCATGGTGGCACGTGCCTGTAGTCCCAGCTACTCAGGAGGCTGAGGCAGGAGAATTGCTTGAACCCGAGAGGCAGAGGTTGTAGTGAGCTGAGATCGCACCACTGCACTCCAGCCTGTGCTACAGAGCGAAACTCCGTCTCAAAAAACAAACAAAACAAAACAAAACAAAAACGAAATTTTTTTTTTTTTGAGACAGAGTCTTGCTCTGTCACCCAGGCTAGAGTGTAGTGGCGTGATCTTGGCTCACTGCAACCTTCACCTCCCAGGTTCAAGGGATTCTCCTGCCTCAGCCTCCCAAGTAGTTGGGACTATAGGTGCCTACCACCACGCCCGGCTAATTTTTTTTGTATTTTTAGTAGAGACGGGATTTCACTATGTTGGCCAGGCTGGTCTTGAACTCCTGACCTCGTGATCCACCCACCTCAGCCTCCCAAAGTGCTGGGATTACAAGTGTGAGCCACCGCGCCCAGCCAACAATTATTTATTTTGATGAAATGTTGAGGTAATATTTTGGATGCATTGGGCCACATAAATTATATTATTAAAATTAATTTCACCTCTTTTCTTCTACTTTCTAAAATGTAGCTCTTTGAAAATTTAAAATTTGGCTTGTTTTATATTTTTATTGAGCACAGCAGTAGATATCTGCTTAGAAAAGAAAGGTCCAAATCTGATTATCCAACTGCTTTCTTGACATTTCCCATTGGCTTTCCAACACTCAAAACAATTCTTCAAAAATTGAACCCAAAGGCTCCCCCTCCTTCCACATTTTTCTTGTAGCCTCTTCCTGGTATCCTCCTATATCTCATCCTCCTCTAATTCATTGAAATCAGAGTGATCTTTGCAAAAACAAATCTGATCATACCACTAGCTTCCCACTACTCTTAGGATTAAAACTGAAATCCTCAACCTGTCTTGCAGGGCCTGCACCACGTACCTCCCCATCTTTATATAACACGTGGCCCACTCCTGCTCTCCAACTAGTTCCTAGGAGATATCCAACTCCTTCTTGTTTCAGGACTCTTGCACCTGCTTTCCTTCTGCCTGGAATTTTTTTTTTTTTTTTTTTTTTGAGTTGGCGTCTCACTCTGTAGCCCAAGCTAGAGTGCAGTGGCAGATCTTGGCTCACTGCAACCTCCGCCTCTGGGGCCCAAGTGATTCTCGCACCTCAGCTTCCTGAGTAGCTAGGATTACAAGTACGCGCCACCATACCAAGCTAATTTTTTGTATTTTAGTAGAGATTGGGTTTCACCATGTTGCCCAGGGTGGTCTCAAGCTCCTGAGCTCAGGCAATCTGCCCACCTCGGCCTCCCAAACTGCTTCGATTACAGGCATGAGCCACCGTGCTCGGCCCTGCCTGGACTACCCTTTACCTATGTCTTTCCCAGCTAACTTCCAATCATTCTTCAGATATTATTTTAGTATCATTTTTTCAGGGAAGACTTGCCTGGCCCCAAAACTTTCATTTGGTGGCAATTTATCATAATTACAATTAATAATTTGTGTTATTAAATATGTTTGCTTCCCCAGATGGTAAGCTCAGTCATATCTATATACTGCCTTCCCTATTGTGTAGCCCAGTGCCTAACACAGACAATGAATATTTTTTATTTTACTTTTTTTGAGACAGAGTCTTACTCTGTCAGCCAGACTGGAGTGTAATAAATAATTGTCGATGCATAAATTTATAAAAAATGAATGAAGAACTGCTGAATGAAGTATGGTCATAAAGTCATGTCATTGTGTGCTCTCAAAACACATGTATCAGCCGGGCACGGTGGCTCACGCCTGTAATCCCAGCATTTTGGGAGGCTGAGGCAGGCAGATCACAAGGTCAGGAGATCAAGACCATCCTGGCTAACATGGTGAAACCCCGTCTCTACTAAAAATACAAAAAAATTAGCCGGGCGTGATGGCGGGCACCTGTAGTCCCAGCTACTTGGGAGGCTGAGGCAGGAGAACGACGTGAACCCAGGAGGTGGAGCTTTCAGTGAGCCGAGATCGTGCCACTGCACTCCAGCCTGGGCGACAGAGCGAGACTCCATCTTGAAAAAGAAACAAACAAAAACCCCAAACAAAGAAACAAAAAACAAACAAACAAACAAAAAACATGTATCAGTACAAATATCCAAATAAGTGTTATCTTTTAAATGGTCATTTTTGGAAGCAAATACATTTATTTCAATAAACTACTCAAACCAGTTTAGTAGCCCATGATATTTGGGATGATCCTGGTACTAGTTTACAAACCATGCAAGAAAAAAAGTTTTTTTGTTTCTTATTCTAGATTTTATAAAATGTTTTATCATACACCCTATTCATTAAACTTAGTTTTGAATGACTTCAGAGTTATCATTCAAGAGTATGCTTTAAAGTGGCAATGTCCAATAGAACTTTCTACAGCAAGGCAATATTCTATATCTGTGTTGTCCAATACAGTAGCCACCAGCCATGTATGGCTATTGAGCACTTGAAATGTGGCTAGTGCAACAGAGGGACAGAATTTTTAATTTTATTTAATTTTAATTGACAAGCTTAAAGAGCTGCATGTGGCTAGTGGCTATCAAATTGGACAGCACATCTGGTTTAAAGCCATCACCAGAATACAAGTTCCTGAAATATTTTGCCCCCAATATATGCCAGGAATCTTACTAAAATTATTATATAACCTCAACAAATGGCTAGTTTGCATATATAAAACTATCTTTGTATAAAATAAATCAGTGATGTTATTAAAAAGATTCACTTCAGATGCCAATGACTGCTCTTCAATACTCCTACCTTTTATTTAAAGAATGCCAAAGACCTTGTTCCATTTTGCCAGGCCCATATAACAATGCAGAAGCACAAGAGACTTAAAGGAGACCACTGTGAATGAGGGAAGGTCGTCCATGACCACACATATTCTTGGGAACATAACTCAAGTTTGTCATGGATTTTGCCTCCTAGGCATCCCCCTCTCCAATGATGCAATACTGAACATGTAAAAAGGTCAAATTAAGAAGGCAACCATGTATTTTTGGAGCTGGTAAACAAATAATGGAACCAAGATGTCATGAGGCTTCAACTGTGAGTGAAGTTTTGCCAAGGAAACAACATCAGTCAACATTAAAAGGCAAGCGACCCTTAACAATGAGATAGTATCAGCCTTCTGTCTTGACAAAGGGACTGCTGTACACAGCACCACTGGGTTGAACTTGACAAAAAGATGCCAGTGTGACACCCACGCCTCTGCTATACAGTGATTTGGGTGGATGGCAAAAGTTTCAGAGGCCTGGCATACACAACCATCCTTCCAGGCTCCCAGTTCAACATCTTCAAATACAAGAGAATATACTTCTACACATGTATTCCCAGGCCTCCATGGTCAAGTTAACTTCTAGATATATTACTGCCCATGTGTACATACATGCATATTAGCATATTGGTATCATCTGGGCCCTTATATATTTGTTTACTATAATTTCAGTGAAAGTTTAAAATGGTGTATTTATAGTATAAATTTTTATTTACCACATGCTTTTTAATTAACAGATTAAAAAATATAATGACCATATTACAAAGTACTTGTGAGATATTCATGTCTGAAATTTTACTTTGATGAACTGGAAAGAAAACATAAATACATTAAAGTTAATGATCCTAATGATCTTTAATGATATTAACTAGTTGTTCAAATGTAGAAATGTCACAAGAAATCTGCCTATCCATGAATTCATTTCAAATGACTATACCTGATACACGTATATGTTTTCTGATTTGCTTTTATTGATTTTGATTCTTTACTATATCTGGAGATAAGAAACATGTCTTCTCCTCAATCTCTGACTTCCAAAGTACTTTATACAGAGTTGTATAATAAACGTTATTGTTTTGGTGATAGTGATAATAATGAAGTAAAAAGAACAGAGTGCAGTATTGTGATTCACCCATGATGAAGAAGTGGAAATATACTAGAATATAGAATCTTGGCATAGTATTACACAGATCTGGATAAGGTGAATAAAGCATTCATCTCTGCTAGAGTATCAATTTAATGAGTTTACTAAACAATCATAAAGGCAGTTAACTTCCCACCACTAATGATTCAAGGCATTTACTCTTCTAGAATGAGCACCTATTTCCATTTTACTCCCCTAATCCAGTGGAAATTGACTTGTTCCTGGGCTGTTAGAACCTCAACTCGTCCCCTATGCTCTACATACCTTATCCCTCCTCCCCCTGTCCCACCCAGATCTCCTCTTACATACACACAAACACACAGATATATTTGACTTACCTTAACGTTTTCTGGCAATGCTTTGTTCTGGGTCAACCCCACAGCAAGCAAAGCTATCACAGCTATGATAGAGGAGAAGCCAAGGATGGCTAGGATATTCTTGGAGCAAAATGTCTTCACGTTAGACTCTAAAACCAAAAGCAGAAGAAAAAAATACCAACAAGAAATCAAAAACACTGATTTTCCTCCCCTTTCTGTCTGGTCTTGTAATGGCTACCTGGAGACATCAGAGACAGATTAAAAGCCAATCTTTTTTATCAATGAGGTACTTACAGAGTAATTGGGAAATAATTCAAGAACAAAAGGATTTGTTTGTACTTTGACAAAGGCCAAGACTGAGTTAGTGGCTGTGGCAAGGACAAAACTAGGTCAGTGATCAGATATGGAATGAGGAGTGAGAAGAGCCCCAAATTGGCTGTTTAACAGTTCACACAGATCTATCAAGGTAGAAGTAACAAATAACAAAAAACAAGAATACCCCTCCTCATTTTTGAAATCTACCACAAAATGTTTATGATGTTAAAAAGTATTAAGAATGTATCATCAAACAACAAATCCCACTATTCCATGACATTTCCTGGCTTGACATACATACCCCTTGCATTTAAACCACCCTTACATAGTAAGCAATTGGTAATGGCATAGAGGCTGAGGAGTCTTGAACATTTTGGATCATAATTCATATTATCTTATTTATTTTGTCTTTAGTCTCATTCTGTCATGGGACATTAGAAAAGCTCCAATAGTAGAATTATATAAAAGGCAAAAGTGGCCGGACACGGCAGCTCACACCTGTAGTCCCAGCACTTTGGGAGGCTGAGGCAGGTGGATCTCAAGGCCAGCAGTTCAAGACCAGCCAGGTCAATATGGTGAAACCCCATCTCTACTAAAAATACAAAAATTAGCCAGGCATGGTGGTGGGCACCTGTAATCCCAGCTACTCGGGAGGCTGAGGCAGGAGAATCGCTTGAACCCCGGAGGCAGAGGTTTCGGTGAGCCAAGATCGCACCACTGCACTCCAGGCTGGGCGACAGAACAAGACTCCATCTCAAAAAAATAATAACCAAAAACGGGTGCCGTGGCTCACGCTTGTAATCCCAGCACTTTGGGAGGCTGAGGCAGGTGGATCACGAGGTCAACAGATCAAGACTATCCTGGCCAACATGGTGAAACCCCGTCTCTACTGAAAATACAAAAATTAGATGGGCATGGTGGCGTGCACCTGCCATCCCAGCTACTCAGGAGGCTGAGGCAGGAGAATCACTTGAACCCAGGAGGCAGAGGTTGCTGTGAGCCAAGATTGCACCACTGTGCTCTAGCCTGGAGACAGAGTGAAACTCCCTCTCAAAAAAAAAAAAAAAAAAAAAAGGCAAAAGCTACTTTGGTCAGATGTAAACAGATTGCATAGAGGAAGTGAACAGGAAATGAAATGGTTGCACCATTCCCTCCATTTTGACAACTCAACCTCCTCCTCTCTCAACTCCCCAAACTATTCCCAAACGTAGAAGCTGGCTGGGCACTGAAATGGGAGCTCTCTCTGAAGCTCTTGAGCAGAAGCTTGAACTTAATCCAAGTCTAAGCTTGGATTAAGGTATGGGTCTCCAATCCACCTCAATCCCCAGAATCTTGAGGCAGTCTTTACCCATCAGACCAAACAATACAAAATTTAGGAGAAAAAGTTTTAGCAACATCATTATCTATTGCTTCCAAACAAGGAAGAGCAGGTGAAATACACAGCACTTCCCTGCTTCTCCCTTCCCAAAAGAAACTCCATTTTGTTCAGATGCTTGCCTTTCCCCCAAGCTCAGGGATGGACTTGTCTGTGTAATTTCATTCCCTCACCAGTGACTGGTTTAATAATGGGTATGCCACCTAATTATGGCCCATGTGACCGTGGAGGAAGTCTTCTGGGGCAAGTCTAGGGAAAAAAGAAAACATTCTCTCTTCATCCTCAAACATTGTCCTGCCTGGAAGGGATGGCATTCAATGATGGCAGAGCAGAGAGATGTAGAGAACGTGAGTCCTTGATGGCATTTTAAGCTGCTAAATCAACAAATGCTGAGCCCATCCTTCCATAAAACTTATGCTTTGACCCAATTAGAGTCAGGATTTTAACTACTTGAAGCTAAAACATCTGGATAAAACTGGTATGGGAGAGATGTCCTCTTTGATGCCAGTGTTCTGGAATCTGGAAAAGAACCCTCTAAGGGCACCCCACTTTGGTTCCCAACGTTGTGATGTTGACAAACACAGCCCTAAGCAGCATGTCCTTTAGATAAGCAATTATAAATAAAACAACCAATTATAAATATAACAACAAACAAACTGTAGCAATGTTTCTACCATAATAAAATTTTGAATGTTTTACTCCCTCAAGCTATTCAACAAGGTCTACTTGTTAACTTCTTTTGTTTTTGTAAATATGACAATCTTGCAATCTCATTTTCCTTCCATGGCCATTTCAGGCACTATTCTTAGCATCCAAGTTACTACAATAAAAAAAGAAAAACTGATAAGGCCCCTGCTCTTTGGAATTTACAATCTAGTTAGCAAGACAGATAAACCAGAAAAGAAGCACATAAATAGGTGATTTCAGGTCACAATATGTGCTAAGAAGAAATTCAAACCAAGGAACTTGATAGAGTGACTTGCGGTAGAATTGGGAATGAAGGGAAAGGTATCAGATTGAGGGTCAAGAAAGCCTCTCTCAGAAGATGACATTTGAGCCGAGACCTTGAAGGTGACATTTGAGGAGAAAACACCAGCCTGGAGAGGGAGTAAGAACATAAGAGGAAGAAGGAACAGAAACTGCAAGAACCCAGAGGTGGGAACCAACTTGATGTGACTATAATTATTTCTTCCTTTTCCTAACGAGAAAATTTACTAACTTCTTCTTGTCATTGAGGAGTTAGATGTACACTTTTCCACATTTTCCCAGCTTTTGCAATGATATCCAGGTTACCAGAATATATGCAAGCCTTTCATCCTACTCTTATTTCTTATTAAAGATATAATAAGAAAAAGATTTTTAGGTCAGAGAGAAAATTTAGGAATTTTTCATACATGATTTTTCAAATGTTTTTATTACCAAAAGAACCCACAATGGTTAAGTTTGTTTTTCATGTAACTGACTACATTACCCAGAGAGCAGTAATTAAAATGCTATCTTCCATGGACTATATGTCAGCCAGTTTTCAAAAGCCCTGATCACATCCAGGAAGCAGGAGAGTCATCTCAGAAGTGGTGCCAAAGAAGAGGTGCTAGAGGTGGGGTGCAGGTTGACATATCTTGGATGTGTTCATAAAAAGAGAATTACTTAGGTAACTGCCCCTTCTTCTTAGACCCCCAGAGTGCTTTCAGATCCCATGACTGCCACAGTCAAGCTCTATTATGGAAAATTCACATTGATTGTCTTCCCCCTGAAAAGCCCTTAATTTGCCTTGTGGATAACAGAAATGTGGTTTCTGTCATACAATGTGAAATGGTATTTCGAAACAGAATTTCAACAAATGATTTTACCAAAATATCCAATGGCAAAGTGTTGTCATTGTTTTCCCTTTGAATTGGCTTACTGTACTGGAGAATTTAAGACGGCCACTTCCTTTGCATTTTTTTCTTTTCATGTGATGTGACAAGGGAGGGGAATTTTCAGCTTAAAGTGAGAGAGCAAGGTAATATTAACTTCAACTCTTCACCTGACAGAGAGATAAAACTGAAGGAAACCCAAGCTTTGAAAAAACACAGGCTGATTTCAAGCCAATTAGCTGTGTCAGAGGAAAAATACCTTCAAGACTTTTATAAGAATCAAAGGAAGCAAAGGTTCTTTTGATTCTTATAGAAACAGCCATCATGATGTCCAGTTATAATCATACTAAGGTGAAAATCAAAATTATTTAATCTCGGCAGGGTGCAGTGGCTCACACCTGTAATCTCAGCACTTTGGGAGGCAAAGGTGGGCGGATCACTTGAGTCCAGGAGTTTGAGACTGGGGGGTAACATGGTGAAAATCTGTCTCTACAAAAAAAATACAAAAATTAGCCAGGCGTGGTGGCATATGCCTGTAGTCCCAGCTATTTGGGAGGCTGAGGTGAGAGGATCGCTTGAGCCCAGGACACCGAGGTTGTAGTGAGCCAAGATCACACCACTGCACTCTAGCCTGGGCAACAGAGTGAGACCCTGTCTCCAAAACAAACAAACAAATTATTTAATTTTGTCCATAGTCAAAATTCTGTTGTATAGAGAAATCCCAGCATTGCTACTCTGTGATAACAAAAATATAACAGCTTAAAATTTTACTCCATTAATAAACAGATTTGGGGTGTTGACAGATGTGGTGGATTTCAGGCAAAAAAAAGTTTTGCTTTGCAGATCCAATGTGACTGACTAGATTCAAATTGTTTCCAATTTGTTATGAGTCACATCTGGACTAAACTTTTCTTGTCATATAGAGAACAAAACAGCAAATGTGGACAAGCATTGGTGAGCAAACATTCAAGGAATGTTGTGGTCCTTCCTGTGTTTACATAGCCTAATGATGGAACAATCACTGAAGCTCAGAAGACTGGTCCTAATCTGGCGTTGTCGTTCCTCCAACTCACAGAGTCAAAGTCTCCACACCACCCCTGCTACCTTCCTTCTTCTCCATCAGGGAACTCTTCTTGAGGACACATATGTAGGTTGTTCTCACACTCAGGGGCTTGAAGATCCTCTCTCAGTTATTTCATCCCAAGCCCCTTAGACCCACCTTCTTCTATAGTGATATCCACATCCCCTGATTCCAGTCACCCTTACCTCATATCTGATCTTCTACAATGGCCCTTTCTGGTGACTCCCACACTTCCTAATTATCTTCTCTATCAGAATCCCTCCTTCATGTGGCTATAGAAATCTTCCACAATTGACGTTCCTAAGACTCTACCTTATCAAGAACCTATGTCCTGCTGTGTGCCAGATGAAAGCTACACTGGTCTACCTAGACCTCCAAGCCCTTCAGAAATTTCAGCCCTTCCCATTTTACCATTCCAACCAACAGATCTGTTTGGGTCCAAGATGAGAATTCCTGACATTATGACTACTAGAATGTAAGCTCCTTAGGGCAGGGACTTTTTTCTGGCTTGTTCATTGGTATATCCCATGTTGTATGAATGAATGAATGAATGAATGAATTTTGGATTCTCTGAACTTTTCTCAGTGTGGGACGCCTTCATTTGTAATTCCATTCCCCTCATTCTCCAAGTCTTTTTGTCTCCTTCAAAATCAAGCTCAGTTGGAAGCTATGCTCCCCCTATACTCTACAAAGCTCAGTTATGTCAGTAGTCCTCTCTTCATGTGCTACCTCTAGATATAGCTTGAACCATTTCAGTTTGGGAGTTCTATAGTTGTTGGAGAGGGGACTATGCCTCATTCATTTTTTCAGTTGGTCACTCAATAATTACTTATTGAACACATTATTACTATGAACTAGACCTGCCCTAGGCTCTGAGCTACAGCAATAACCCAAAGTGAGAAATGTCCCTATCCTCATGGTGCTTATATTCTAGTTGGGAGAAAAATACAATAAGCAAGATAAACAAAATTTACAGTGTATTACATAATTTTAAGTGCTGAGGAGGAAGAAAAAGCAAGGAAGGTAAAAAGGAAGGATGCAGTGATTAGGACTGGCCTGAGAAGGTGATTTCTATCACAGGGAGAAAGCCTGCATACCTCTGAGGCAAGAGCTTTACAGCATCTGGAACTGTACACAGAAAGGCCCTGAGGGGAGAGTAGTAGGAACTGGTCAGAGGATCAATGGGGTCCCCTGCTCATAAGGCCTTGAGGGCACTAGTGAGGGCTTTGCCTTATTCTGAGTGATGTGACTTACTTCTAAAGTCATTCATATAATCTATGCTTAGCAACTTAGGGGTGAACAAGGAACCATTGGGGGCTGTTGAAGTCACTGGAGAGAGAGGGTGTGGCCTTTTAGGGTGGCACATCCCTGCCTCTTGTGGTAATGATGTGCTGAGGCTACTCAAATGAGGTCAGGCCACACAGCCAAGTGTGGACAGAGCCTGGCTCCATCAGAGCAGAGCTTGTGCCAAAACCAGGTCTGGGCAGACGCATCCAGGAGGAGTAAACATAATCACATGTGACAGCCTTCTCAATGCCTTCTAGACTTCTTGATGGCTCAGCACTGGAGAGTCTTTTCTGAGAGACCATCATCAGGAAGGGTCACCGAGCCAACAATCATCAGGATCCATCAGCAGTTAGTCAAACTCCACAGACTTCTGGGGGATGGTTCAAGCTAGAGCAGAGTTCAGATAAGCTTACCTTTGCTTAGTCTCTGTAAGCCTCCATTTCCTCATGGGCAGAATGGGAGTCACAATAGTATCTGCTTCATAGGGTTGCTATGTAAGGTTCAATGAGCTAACAACACGTAATAGCCTATACTAAAGAGTTCTTACTATATTCCAGATTCTACTCTTAGCACTTTAAATGCAGCCATCAATTTAGCCTTCACTACAATCCTATAAGGTGCACGTAATACTATCATCTTCTCTATAAAATCTGTATTAGTTTTTTAGGGCTGCCACAACAAGTTACCATGAACTTGCTGGCTTCAAACAGAAATGTATTCTTTCATAAATCTGGAGGCCAGAAGTCCAAAAGTTAAGGTATCAGCAGGGGCATGCTCCCTTTGAAGGTTCTGGAGGAGATGTCTTTCTTGTCTTTTTCAGCTTCTTAGCATTCCTTGGCTTGTGGCTGCATCACTCCAATCTCCACCTCTGTCTTCACATGGCCTTTCCCCCTGTTGCTCTTTGTGTCACGTTTCCTTCTCCTTTCTCTCATAAGGACACCAGTCATCAGATTTAGGGCCCACCCTAAATTCAAGATGATTTCATCTCAAGATCCTTAGCTTAATTACATCTCTGAACACCCTACTATATTTCCAAATAAAGTCACACTCACAGTCACTATTATAATTATCATTATTGTTAGTTTACAGATGAGGAAACTGAGTCACAGAGAGATTAAGTAACTTCCCAAAGTTACACTGATGTAAATGTTGCGCTGTTACATGTAGTTAGACAGACATGGCAGGAAAGGGCTCTTCTCCCCCACCAACTAGAAATATCAGGTGATGGTTTGACAGTTATCACATTGCCTCTCTAAAAATGATAATTTGGCAGCTGGAGCCAGGGAGAGAAAATCTGCTGATCCACAGCTGTAACATTAAAGTGTTAATTGAATTCAAGCACCAGGGAGAAGCAACTTCCTGGGCATGCACATTAAGAGACAAAAGGTGGAAGATGACTTGCCGGGAGCACTCCACCGGAAAAGGAAAGAAAGCCTCAGATGAGCATGCACACAACTTCCTAAACACACTGTGTGCTCAAGGAGGTAAGGAGGGCACTGTGCGTGCAGGCAGCCCACCCTAAGGGAAGAATCACGGGAAAAGGGCTCAAGATGGCCGCCTATAAAGTCCTAGGATCACAGCTAAACACGTTGTTTGTTCTCCAAGTTGCCCACTTGGATCTCTTCCAAGGGTTCTCTCCTTTCTTTCCTGTTCTAAAGCCTTTTCAATAAACTTCCAGTCCTGCTCTGAAACTTGACTCAGTCTCTTTTTCTACTTTATATCCCTCACATTCTTTCTTCTGATGAGGCAAGAATTGAGGTTACTGCAGACCCGTATGGATACACTGCCAGTAACTCAGATAGCTGCCACCGGTAACAGGGCCAGGAATTAAACACGGGCATTCTGGCTTCAAGGTCCAGGCTTTTAACCAGCACCCTACCCTACAATACATGACTGAGGCTCATACAGTGTCTGGGCTGTGCTACCAGTACTGTTATGTGGTAGCCAATCTCATTATCCAGAAATAAAAAGTGACCAACATTGAGGATTTGGCTGGAAGGGTTGTCTGGACTGTTCTCACTGAGGATACCAATGTCCTACCTTTTGAAATCATGAATCTCATCCCTGACAGTCAGAAGCTTACAGTTAAGTGACAAAAGGCTGAGACTGTGTTTCTCAGGAAGCTTAAGGGACTTGCCCAAGTCATGCACCTTGCACGTGGCAGAACAGGGATTTGATCCAAGTGTCTCAGTTCCACTTCAATGCCTTAAATCATTGTCCTGCATTAGAGATGCGTAGAAATTTTTCAGTTTTATTCTTTCTCAGCTGACCCAATGCAAAAGCACTAGTCCAAAATTCTATCTAAATGGAAAGGTCTTATTCTACCCCAACCCCATATTTCTCCAATTAACCAATCCAGAGTCACATTCAAGGATAAAGCAGTTTAATTTAGCGGGTTTTTTCCTGCCTATATTTTACTTAAAGAAGTCAGCACAAACATCAATAGAAACACAACTGCTAAAGACAAACTTTGATCCTAAAGATCTCAATGATAACCAGTTAGTTAAAGGGCAAAAGGCAAAAAAGAAGGAGGAAAAATGAGATGGACATTGGGTTGGGAGACACAGGTAAGAAAATAGAGCCAGGAAATAAGAAGGAAGGGAAGGGGTGGGGGTGAGAATGAAAAGAAAGGTAGAAAGACAAGGTAATTGAGTAAATAACCCATGTCCTGTTCCACTGATCTCTTGAACCACAGACGTCAGAGGAAGTTACTGGCTCTTTTTAATGCTATTTTATTTCCACTCTTTGAACTTTTAATTAGCCAATTATTCTCGGTTCACAGCTTCTTAGTTAGAAAACAATTGCATTTATCTTAACAACGTAGCCTGGCTGATACTGAGTGGACCCCTTGAGACTCAGCTTTGGGTGGGGAGAGCCTATTTGGTGACATCCAGATAGTGTAGATGTGGGTGGGGGTGCAGAACAAGCTCTTCCTGCAAATCAGATTCAGCCAACCTGAGGCTCCCCACCCACAGTTCTTGGGCAACACACTCTTCTCAGATTAGCAGCATGTAACTAACATAACTGGTTTGCACTTGGTTATACCTGACTCTAAAAATGTTAATGATCGCAAAAATCAAATGGTGACAGAGGCTCTATGTATGGGAAATGAGGAAGCAAAAGAGTCCTCTTCCCTGATTCTTCTCACTTCCTCCAACCAAACCATCCATTCTCTCTTGCCCCCACCCCTTCTAGCCTCCCTCAAATTCTTTTGCCCATAGATTGCATTGAGAATAATAGGCCTTTGTGGTCAGTGTGGAATCCCATGTTTAAGTGTAGGGTTGGCAGGGAGGAAGGCTGTTTCCGGCAAAGTGATGTCACTGACTCTGCAGACAGGAATTCCCTGTGTCCCAGCCAAAAGGCGTAACAATCTGGTATATTGATGGCCTCAGCAATAAGCGCATTGCTTCCACTAAACGAGTCTTCTTCCACATCTGAAATTGAAAAATTGTGCCCTGGGGACTCTACCCTTTCTCAAAGCAGCTGCATTTGTCAACAAGCCTTGGTTATTTGCAGATGGTGAGAATAAGCAAGAAAATCTGTATTGGCCATGCATCTCTAGTGCTGGATAATAGTGGAAGCAGGGTGAACTGACTCAACCAGGGTGCCTAGCCTTATAGTCTTGTCTTGTATACCTTGCCTTTATAAACTCTCTCATTTATACCGCCTTATTTTTGCACCAATGAGGTACAAAATTTAGAGGTTACATACAAATATTACTATAGAAAAATGTGCTATAAGCTATACAAAATAAAATTCTAAGCCCCCCAACTGACCAGACCATCTTTTGGCCAAGGGGACCCCAGAGAAACCTTGAAAACTGCGTTCTCGGCCAAGATGGAATGGAGGGTGGGAGGGGCTCAGACCCTCTCCCTTGCTAACCAGGAGTAGGCTTTCCTTCTCAAGGGCCTAACAGAAACCAGCCCTTTCAAAAGGCTCCACCACTGATATCAACCGACTCCCTGATGCTGCCCCATCTTTTCTGCCTGATAAGAGACCACTAACTATGGGGTGGTTCTGGCCAGTCTATGAAGAATAGGCAGCTAGTGTTTTCACATCCTCTGCTTCATGTTTTGATGTCAGAGGGCCAAAAACTCCACCTAAGGTCACCACCATTTTTTGAACATGGAGAAGCAGAAGGCTCAATTACACATGCAGATGGTTCTCCCTTCATAAATATTCATGACTCCTTCTATAGCTTATTGAATATGTATATTTGGCCACCAGCTCTGTGTAAATTCCTGTTCCCTTTGCCCCTCCCTCCAGATATGTTTCTGGCTTCTGACTGGAGGCTATACTTCCCAACCTGTCAAAATGGCCATCCTGCAGGCTGTAACCTTTTATAAGAAATAAAGTCTCCTCTTCTCTTCAAAATTTGTAAATTGTATTTCTGTAAGTTAACAAATCAAAGTAAAAAATGACAAAAGTTTGCAACAATTATGAAATAGTTGGATTCACTAATATATAAGCGTCATTTTAAAATCATTAAGAAAATGATCAGCTCACCTAATAGAAAAATGGCAAAGAAGATGAATAGGCAATTCAAAGAAAAAGAAATATGTGTTATCAACATATTAAATGTATTCTAACTACCCTTAATTAAAGAAATGTAAATGAAAAAAATAATTTTCAGAATAGCAACATTTTTAAAGTTTGATAAATACATAATATTCACTATACACTTATTAGAATGGCCAAAATTTTTTAAATATTGACAATATGAAATGTTGGTAAGAATGCAGAGCAACTGAAACACTTGTGCCTTGCTGCTAGGGATGGGAAATAACAAAGCCACTTTGAGAAAGTGTTTGGCAGTTTCTTATAAAGTTAAATAAAAACTCACCATAAAATTGAGCAATCCCACACTGAGGTATTTACCTGAGAAAAGCAAAGACCTATGTCCACACAAAGACATGTACCTAGATATTTCCAACTGCTTTATTCATAATTGCCAAAACCTCAAAACAATCCAAATGCTAGCAACTGGCAAATGTATACAAATTGGGAACAATCATACAATGAAATTCTACTCAGCAATAAGGAAAAGGAATAAACTACTGATAAATGTAACAATATGTATGAATCTCAAAAGCATTATGCTAAGTAAAAGAAACCAGACTCAAACAGGCTATTTACTTTGTGCTTTCATTGATATGATATTTTGGAAAAGGCAAAACTAAGAACAGAAATTAGATCAGTAGGCAAAGGCTCAGGATGGGCACAGAGGATTGACTACAAAGGGCCACAAAGGAGCTTTTGGAAATAATAGAAATATTCTAGATTTTGATTGTGATGGTGGTTAAATGACTTTATATGTTTGTCAAAATTCATAGAACTTTACACCTTAAAAAGTGAATTTTACTGTAAATTCAGTAAAGAAATTATATATGTTGACAAAGATGTGGGAAAACAGATACTTCTTGTATGTTTGTAGGAGTAAAAATTTGTAGAACCTCTTTGATGGGGAGGCAATTGAGTAACATCTATCAAAGGGTAAAGCACATATATCCTTTGACTGAAGAATTCTAATTCTAGAAATTTAACCTGCTGATATACTTATGAATATGTGAAAAAATGGTGCATAGACAGCGACATTCAGTGCAGCATTGTTTGTAATGGCAAAAGACTAAAAATGACTAAAAGTCCATCAACTGATGTCTGGATATATAAATTCTACCACATTCATAATACATAATTCTATGCAGACATGAAAAAGACTGAGCTAGATCTATGAATGTTGACACAAACTGTCTTCAAAACATTTCATTATGTGAAAAACAAGATGTGGGGCCAGGCGTGGTGGGTCATAACCCCAGTGCTTTGGGAGGCCGAGGCAGAATAATCACTTGAGCCCAGGAGTTCGAGACTAATCTGGGCAACATAGGGAGAGACCCTATCTCTACAAAAAATTTAAAAATTATCCAGGTATGGTGGCGTGTGCTTGTGGTCCCAGCTACTCAGGAGGCTGAGGCAGGAGGGGACTGCTTGAGCTCGAGAGTTCTAAAGGCTTTGAGTTAAAGAGGAAAAAATGTACAGAGGGTTTCCAGTTCAGAGTAAAGTGGCAAAGATGATAGGAGCTGGGAAGGTGAACATTGGGTACATAGGAAGTTGTGCGCTGGTGGTTTAATGTTGACTTTGCCCACTCTAGCACCCTGTCAGCCACTCACCAACCTGATTAACTCAAGCAGCTACCTTTGGGTTCCCATTCATTCTTTCTTGCCAGATCAATGTAATTTCTGTACTCTTTGGGCAGAATTGTAAAGTCTCACTTGGTAGACTTTGGGTGGACTCAAAGTTCTATTTTGAGGGAAATTTGACATCTCTCCCTCTGCCCCTCTGGGGTTATGTATCTGTGTAAGCGAGAAATGCCATCTGGATAAGATATGGTCATGCAATTAAATGTCTATGGTAACACTGTCAGAGATCATCTGACACCTAACCAGCTGGCTTTCTCTTTAACCATCAACACAGAGTATCTGCACTTTAGAAACATGAAAACTCAATCTTATAAATTGATTAGTATCTAGTTCCTGTCAAAATGTGACAGATACTACTGATATTTCAGAATGACAATATCAGGGTCCTCTGCGTTTTTTTCTAAGCATATTTTCTGTACCCATTTAGTGAGGAGGAAGGTAGGTGGAGTTAGAGAAAGGTTCCTTTACCTTGGAAACAGGAACTTCCTCTGAGAGCAAAACTAGTAAGATGAATATATAATAGATGAGAGTAGCTTTTAGCCAAATCACCCACAGTTTAAAAGTTATTTCAGTCTTGTGGCTTCAGTATCTCCTCAAATCCAGCATATGACTCAGAAAGTCGTGTCCTACTGAATTTTGTACCTGAGTGAAGAAGGAATATGTGAATATGGTGGGGATGGGGTCATCTACATAGAATAAAAAAGGCAACTAAACCCTGTCTGGGAAGTGAGGAGCGCCTCTGCCCGGCCACCACCCCATCTGGGATGTGAGGAGCGTCTCTGCCTGGCCGCCCTGTCCGGGAAGTGAGGAGCGCCTCTGCCCGGCTGCCCTATCCGGGAAGTGAGGAGCGCCTCTGCCCAGCCGCCCTGTCCAGGAAGTGAGGAGCACCTCTGCCCGGCCGCCCTGTCTGGGAGGTGAGGAGTGCCTCTGCCCAGCCGCCCCATCTGGGAACTGAGGAGCACCTCTGCCCAGCCACCGCCCCATCTGGGAGGTGAGGAGCGTCTCTGCCTGGCCGCCACCCCGTCTGGGAGGTGAGGAGTGCCTCTGCCTGGCCACCACCCCGTCTGGGATGTGAGGAGCGCCTCTGCCCGGCCAACCCGTCCGGGAGGTGAGGAGCGCCTCTGCCCGGCCGCCCCGTCCGGGAGGTGAGGAGCGCCTCTGCCCGGCCGCCCTGTCCGGGAGGTGAGGAGTGCCTCTGCCCGACCGCGACCCTGTCTGGGAAGTGAGGAGTGCCTCTGCCCGACTGCGACCCTGTCTGGGAAGTGAGAAGCGCCTCTGCCCGGCCGCCCTTTCTGGGAGGTGAGGAGCGCCTCTGCCCGGCCGCCCCGTCTGAGAAGTGAGGAGCACCTCTGCCCGGCAGCTGCCCCGTCTGGGAAGTGAGGAGCACCTCTGCCTGGCCACTGCCCCATCTGGGAAGTGAGGAGCATCTCAGCCCGGCCGCTGCCCCGTCTGGGAAGTGGGGAGCACTTCTGCCCCGCCGCCCCGTCTGGGAGGTGGGGAGTGCCTCTGCCCAGCCGCCCCATCTGGGAGGTGGGGAGCGCCTCTGCCCGGCGGCCACCCCGTCTGGGGGGTGGGGAGCGCCTCTGCCCGGCGGCCACCCCGTCTGGGAGGTGGGGAGCACCTCTGCCCGGCATCCGCCCCGTCTGGGAGGTGGGGAGCGCCTCTGCCTGGCATCCGCCCCGTCTGGGAGGTGGGGGGGCGCCTCTGCCCAGCATCCGCCCCATCTGGGAGGTGGGGGGCGCCTCTGCCCAGCATCTGCCCCGTCTGGGAGGTGGGGGGTGCCTCTGCCCGGCCGCCCCGTCTGGGAGGTGGGGGGCGCCTCTGCCCGGCCGCCCCGTCTGGGAGGTGGGGGACGCCTCTGCCCGGCCTCCCCGTCTGGGGGGTGGGGGGCGCCTCTGCCCGGCCGCCCCGTCTTGGGGGTGGGGGGCGCCTCTGCCCGGCCACCCCATCTGGGATGTGGGGGGCGCCTCTGCCTGGCCACCCTGTCTGGGATGTGGGGGGTGCCTCTGCCCGGCTGCCACCCTGTCTGGGAGGTGTACCCAATAACTCATTGAGAACGGGCCATGATGACGATGGTGGTTTTGTCGAAAAGAAAAGGGGGAAATGTGGGGAAAAGAAAGAGAGATCAGATTGTTACTGTGTCTGTGTAGAAAGAAGTAGGCATAGGAGACTCCATTTTGTTCTGTACTAAGAAAAATTCTTCTGCCTTGGGATGCTGTTAATCTATAACCTTACCCCCAACCCCGTGCTCTCTGAAACATGTGCTGTGTCAACTCAGGGTTAAATGGATTAAGGGTGGTGCAAGATGTGCTTTGTTAAACAGATGCTTGAAGGCAGCATGCTAGTTAAGAGTCATCACCACTCCCTAATCTCAAGTACCCAAGGACACAAACACTGCGGAAGGCTGCAGGGTCCTCTGCCTAGGAAAACCAGAGACCTTTGTTCACGTGTTTATCTGCTGACCTTCTCTCCACTATTGTCCTATTACCCTGCCACATCCCCCTCTCCGAGAAACACCCAAGAATGATCAACAAAATTATTAAAAAAAAAAAAAGCAACTAAAATAATCTGTCAAAGTATCTCTAGCATGGTCTGGGGAAAGAAGGTGCCTTGGCATGTGGACTCAAGTACACCATTTCCTTGAAAGTTTTTTCCCCTACAGTGATGAAGAATGCCTCCTCTAAGATAATCAAACTAACTCCCCCACTTCTGATTTCATGTCTACCAAGCTGTCTTGCCATGTCAATTTTTCTACAAGGTAAAAAATGAAGACCTGGTATCATTCCTGCTGAAACTATTCCCAGAATAGGGAAGAGGGACTTCACCCTAACTCATTCTACGAGGCATATGAGCATCATCCTGATACCAAAACCTGGCAGAGATGCAACAAAAAATGAAAACTTCAGGCCAATATCCTTGATAAACATGGATGCAAATATCCTCAACAAAATACTGGCAAACCAAATCCAGGAGCACATCAAAAAGCTTATCCACCACAATCAAGTAGCCTTTATCCCTGCGATGTAAGGTTGGTTCAACATAAGCAAATCAATAAATGTGATTCATCCTGCAAACAGAATTAAAGACAAAAACCACATGGTTATCTCAATAGACACAGAAAAGGATTTCTATAAAATTCAACGCCTCTTCATGTTAAAAACTCCCTGTAAATTAGGTATTGAGGGAACATCCCTCAAAATAATAAGAGCCATCTATGACAAACCCACAGCCAACATCATACTAAATGGCAAGACCTGGAAGCATTCCCCTTGAAAACTGGCACAAGGCAAGGATGTCCTCTGTCACCACTCCTATTTAACATAGTATTGGATGTCCTGGTTAGGGCAATCAGGCAAGAGAAGGAAATAAAGGGCATCCAAATAGGAAGAGAAGAAGTCAAACTATCCCTGTTTGCAGACAACATGATCCTATACCTAGAAAACCCCATGGTCTCAGCCCCAAAGCTCCTTAAGCTGATTAACAACTTCAACAAAGTCTCAGAATACAAAATCAATGTGCAAAGCTCCCTAACACTCCATACACCAACATCAGTCAAGCTGAGAGCCAAAGCAGGAAGAGCTCTCCAAGGAGAACTACAAAACACTGCTCAAAAAAGTCAGAGAAGGATCCATTCCAAGATGGCTGAATAGGAACAGCTCCAGTCTGCAGCTCCCAGTGTGATTGACCCAGAAGATGGGTGATTTCTGCATTTCCAATTGAGGTACCTGGTTCAACTCATTGGAACTGGTTGGACAACGGGTGCAGCCCACAGAGGGTGAGCTGAAGCAGGGCGGGGCATCGCCTCACCTGGGAAGCACAAGGGGTTGGGGGATTTCCCTTTCCTAGCCAAGGGAAGCTGTGACATATTACACCTGGAAAACGGGACACTCCCACCCAAATACTGTGCTTTTCTCAAGGTCTTGGCAACTGGCAGACAAGGAGATTCTCTCCCGTGCCTGGCTTGGCGGGTCACACACCCACGGAGCCTTGTTCACTGAAAGTGCAGCAGTCTGAGATTGAACCGCAAGGTGGAAGCCTGGCTGGGGGAGGGGCATCCACTATTGCTGAGGCTTGAGTAGGTAAACAAAGTGGCCTGGAAGTGCGAACTGGGCAGAGCCCACCGCAGCTCAGCAAGCCCTACTACCTCTACACTCCATCTCTGTGGGCAGGACTTAGCTGAACAAAAGGCAGCAGACAACTTCGGCAGACTTAAACATCCCTGTCTGACAGCTCTGAAGAGAGCAGTGGTTCTCCCAGCATGGTGTTTGAGCTCTGAAAACGGACAGATTGCCCCCTCAAGTGGGTCCCTGACCCCCATGTAGCCTAACTGGGAGACACCTCCCAGTAGGGGCCAGCAGACACCTCATATAGGCGGGTCCCCTTTTGGGACGAAGCTTCCAGAGGAAGGATCAGGCAGCAATATTTGCTGTTGTGCAATATTTGCTGTTCTGCAGCCTCCGCTGGTGATACCCAGACAAACAGGGTCTGGAGTGGACCTCCAGCAAACTCCAACAGACCTGCAGCAGAGGGGCCTGACTGTTAGAAGGAAAACTAACAAACAGAAGGAAATAGCATCAACATCAACAAAAAGGACACCTACACCAGAACCCCATCTGTAGGTCACCAATATCAAAGACCAAAAGTAGATAAAACCACAAAGATGGGGTGAAACCAGAGCAGGAAAGCTGAAAATTCTAAAAACCAGAGCACCTCTTCTCCTCCAAAGGATTGCAGCTCCTTGCCAGCAATGGAACAAAGCTGGATGGAGAATGACTTTGACGAGTTGACAGAAGTAGGCTTCAGAAGGTTAGTAATAACAAACTTCTCTGAACTAAAGGAGCATGTTCAAACCCATCACAAGAAAGCTAAAAACCTTAGGTTAGATAAATGGCTAACTAGAATAAACAGTGTAGAAAAGACCTTAAATGACCTGATGGAGCTGAAAACCATGGCACAAGAACTATGTGACACATGCACAACCTTCATTAGCCGATTCGATCAAGTGGAAGAAAGGGTATCAATGATTGAAGATCAAATTAATGAAATAAAGTGAGAAGAGAAGTTTAAAGAAAAAAGAGTAAAAAGAAATGAACAAAGCCTCCAAGAAATGTGGGACTATGTGAAAAGACCAAATCTATGTCTGATTGGTGTACCTGAAAGTGACAGGGAGAATGGAACCAAGTTGGAAAACACTCTTCAGGATATTATCCAGGAGAACTTCCCCAACCTAGCAAGGCAGGCCAACATTCAAATTCAGGAAATACAGAGAACACCACAAAGATATTCCTCGAGAAGAGCAACCCCAAGATACATAATTGTCAGATTCACCAAGGTTGAAATGAAGGAAAAAATGTTAAGGGCAGCCAGAGAGAAAGTTCGGGTTACCCACAAAGGGAAGCCCATCAGTCTTACAGCGGATCTCTGGGCAGAAACTCTACAAGCCAGAAGAGAATGGGGGCCAATATTCAACATTCTTAAAGAAAAGAATTTTCGACCTAGAATTTCCTATCCAGCCAAACTAAGCTTCATAAGTGAAGGAGAAATAAAATCCTTTACAGACAAGCAAACACTGAGAGATTTTGTCACCACAAGGCTTGCCTTACAAGAGCTCCTGAAGGAAGCACTAAACATGGAAAGGAACAACCAGTACCAGCCACTGCAAAAACATGCCAAATTGTAAAGACCATCGATACGAGAAAGAAACTGCATCAGCTAGCGGGCAAAATAACCAGCTAACATCATAATGACAGGATCAAATTCACACATAACAATATTAACCTTAAAAATAAATGGGCTAAATGTCCCAATTAAAAGACATAGACTGGCAAATTGGATAAAGAGTCAAGACCCATCAGTGTGCTATATTCAGGAGACCCATCTCATGTGAAACGAATGCACATAGGCTCAAAATAAATGGATGGAGGAAGATCTAACAAGCAAATGGAAAGCAAAAAAAAGGAGGGGTTGCAATCCTAGTCTCTTGTAAAACAGACTTTAAACCAACAAAGATCAAAAGAGACAAAGAAGGCCATTACATAATGATAAAGGGATCAATTCAACAAGAAGAGCTAACTATCCTAAGTATATATGCACCCAATACAGGAGCACCCAGATTCATAAAGCAAGTCCTTAGAGACCTACAAAGAGACTTAGACTCCCACACAATGATAATGGGAGACTTTTACACCCCACTGTCAATATTAGACAGATCAACGAGACAGAAGGTTAACAAGGATATCCAGGACTTGAACTCAGCTCTGCACCAAGCAGACCTAATAGACATCTACAGAACTCTCCATCCCAAATCAACAGACTATACCAAAGACAAAAACCACACGATTATCTCAATAGATGCAGAAAAAGCCTTTGACAAAATTCAACAGACCTTCATGCTGAAAACTCTCAATAAACTAGGTATTGATGGAACATATCTCAAAATAATAAGAGCTATTTATGACAAACCCACAGCCAATATCATACTGAATGTGCAAAAACTGGAAGCATTCCCTTTGAAAACTGGCACAAGACAGGGATGCCCTCTCTCACCACTCCTATTCAACATAGTGTTGGAAGTTCTGGACAGGGCAATCAGGCCAGAGAAAGAAGTATCAATTAGGAAAAGACAAAGTCAAATTGTCCCTGTTTGCAGATGACATGATTGTATATTTAGAAAACCCCATTGTCTCAGCCCAAAATCTCCTTAAGCTGATAAGCAACTTCAGCAAAGTCACAGGAAACAAATTTAATGTGCAAAAATCATAAGCATTCTTATACACCAGTAACAGACAAACAGAGAGCCAAATCATGAGTGAACTCCTATTCACAATTGCTTCAAAGAGAATAAAATACCTAGGAATCCAACTTACAAGGGATGTGAAGGACCTCTTCAAGAGAACTACAATCCACTGCTCAATGAAATAAAAGAGGACACAAACAAATGGAAGAGCATTCCATGCTCATGGATAGGAAGAATCAATGCTGCCCAAGGTAATTTGTAGATTCAAAGCCATCCCCACCAAGCTACCAATGACTTTCTTCACAGAATTGGAAGAAAACTACTTTAAAGCTCCTATGGAACCAAAAGAGAGCCCACATTGCCAAGACAATCCTAAGCAAGAAGAACAAAGCTGGAGGCATCACGCTACCTGACTTCAAACTATACTACAAGGCTACAGTAACCAAAACAGCATGGTACTGGTACCAAAACAGAGAGACAGACCAATGGAACAGAACAGTGGCCTCAGAAATAACACCACACATCTACAATCACCTGATCTTTGACAAACCTGACAAAAACAAGAAATGAGGAAAGGATTCCCTATTTAATGAATGGTCCTGGGAAAACTGGCTAGCCATATGTAGAAAGCTGAAACTGGATCCCTTCCTTACACCTTATACAAAAATTAATTCAAGAAGGATTAAAGACTTAAATGTTAGACCTAAAACCTTAAAAACCCTAGAAGAAAACCTAGGCAATGCCATTCAGGACATAGGTATGGGCAAGGACTTCATGACTAAAACACCAAAAGCAATGGCAACAAAAGCCAAAATGGACAAATGGGATCTAATTAAACTAAAAAGTTTGCACAGCAAAAGAAACTACCATCAGAGTGAACAGGCAACCTACAGAATGGGAGGAAATTTTTGCGATCTACCCATCTGACAAAGAGCTAATATTCAGAATCTACAAAGAACTTAAACAAATTTACAAGAAAAAAACAACCCCATCAAAAAGTGGGCAAAGGATATGAACAGACACTTCTCAAAAGAGGACATCTATGCAGCCAACAGACACATTAAAAAATGCTCATCATCACTGGTCATCAGAGAAATGCAAATCAAAACCACAATGAGATATCACCTCACATCAGTTAGAATGGCAATTATTAAAAAGTCAGGAAACGACAGATGCTGACGAGGCTGTGGAGAAACAGGAATGCTTTTACACTGTTGGTGGGAGTGTAAACTAGCTCAACCATTGTGGAAGACAGTGTGGTGATCCAAGGATCTAGAACTAGAAATACCATTTGACCCAGCAATCTAAAAAGCCAAAGATGACACAAACAAATGGAAAAACATTCCATGCTCATGGACAGGAAGATTCCATATCGTTAAAATGGCCATACCGCCCAAAGCAATTTATAGATTCAATGCTATTCCTATTAAGCTACCATTGAGATTCTTCACAGAACTAGAACAAACTATTTTAAAATTCATATGGAACCAAGAAAGAGCCCAGATAACCAAGGCAATCCTAAGCAAAAAGAACAAAGCTGGAGGCATCATGCTATCTGACCTCAAACTATACCAGCAATACCCAAAGGATTATAAAGCATGCTACTATAAAGACGTATGCATACGTATGTTTATTGCGGCACTATTCACAATAGCAAAGACTTGGAACCAACCCAAATGTCCATCAGTGATGGATTAAAAAAATGTGGCACATATACACCATGGAATACTATGCAGCCATAAAAAAGGATGAGTTCATGTCCTTTGCGGAGACATGGATGAAGATGGAAACCATCATCCTCAGCAAACTATCACAAGGACAAAAAACCAAACACCACATGTTCTCACTCATAGGTGGGAATTGAACAATGAGATCACTTGGACACAGGGCGGGGAACATCACACACCGGGGCCTGTCATGGTGTGGGGGGTTTGGAGAGGGATAGCATTAGGAGAAATACCTAATGTGAATGATGAGTTGATGGGTGCAGCAAACCAACATGGCACATGTATACCTATGTATCAAACCTGCATGTTCTGCACATGTACCCTAGAACTTAACGCATAATTTTAAAAAAAGAAGGTGGGAAATAAATCATTCAAAACAGAAAAAAAAAATTCATGGATATGCTAATTACCCTGAAAAAAGAAAAGAAAAGAAACATTTTACAACCTGCTCTCTCTCTCTGAGGTGTGCTATCTGAGAGCTTCCTCTGCAAAATAAAACTTGGTCTCCACAATCATTTATCTTTAACCTGAACATTCCTTTTTATAGATCTCAGGTCTTTTGACAAACTCAAGCAATTGTCAAACAGAAAACATTTAAATTTACCTATAGCCTGGTAGCCCTCACTTGGAGTTCTCCTACCTTTCTGAAACAAACCAATGTATTTCTTAAATGTATTTGATTAATGTCTCATGCCTCTCTAAAATATATAAAACCAAGCTGTACCCCGATCACCTTGGGCACATGTTCTCAGGACCTCCCGAGGGCTGACAGGCCATGGTCACTCACATTTGGATCAGAATAAATCTAAAAAGTCAGAGATGACACAAACAAATGGAAAAACATTCTATGCTCATGGATAGGAAGAATCCATATCATTAAAATGGCCATACCGCCCAAAGCAATTTATAGATTCAATGCTATTCCTATTAAACTACCATTGAGATTCTTCACAGAACTAGAACAAACTATTTTAAAATTCATATGGAACCAAGAAAGAGCCCAAATAACCAAGGCAATCCTAAGCAAAAAGAACAAAGCTGGAGGCATCACGCTATCTGACCTCAAACTATACTACAGGGTTACAGTAACCAAAACAGCTTGGTTCTGGTACAAAATCAGACACATAGACCAATGGAACAGAATAGAGAACCCAGAGGCAGAGGTTACAATAAGCAGAGATCACGCCATTGCACTCCAGCCTGGGCAACAAAAGCAAATCTCTGCCTCAAAAATAAATAAATAAAAATAAAAAATAAATAAAAATAAAAAGAATAGAGGACCCAGAAATAAGGCCACACATCTACAACCACCTGATCTTGGATAAACCTGACAAAAACAAACAATGGGGAAAGGATTCCCTATTCAATAAATGGTGCTGGGATAACTGGCTAGACATATGCATAAGACTGAAGCTGGACTCCTTCCTTATACCATATACAAAAGTTAACTCAGGATGGATTAAAGACCTAAATGTAAAACCCAAAACCATAAAAATCCTGGAAGACAACCTAGACAATACCATTCCAGACATAGGAATGGGCAAAGATTTCATGAGGAAGACACCAAAAGCAATAGCAACAAAAGCAAAAATTGACAAATGGTATCTAATGGAACTAAAAAGCTTCGGCACAGCTGTTGCAGGAAGTCAGGGACCCCAAACAGAGGGACCAGCTGGAGCCAAGGCAGAAGAAAATAAATTGTGAAGATTTCATGGACATTTATCAGTTCCCAAAATTAATACTTTTATAATTTCTTATGCCTGTCTTTACTGCAATCTCTGAACATAAATTGTGAAGATTTCATGGACATTTACCACTTCCCCAATCAATACTCTTATAATTTCTTATGCCTGTCTTTAATCTCTTAATCCTGTCATCTTCTTAAGCTGAGGATGTATGTCACCTCAGGACCCTGTGATGATTGTGTTAACTGTACAAATTGTTTGTAAAACATGTGTGTTTAAACAATATAAAATCAGTGCACCCTGAAAAATAACAGAATAACAGCTATTTTCAGGGAACGAGGAAAGATAACCATAAGGTCTGACTGCCTGTGGGGTCGGGCAGAATACAGCCATATTTTTCTTCTTGCAGAAAGCCTATAGATAGATGTGTGAGTAGGAGAAATATCGCTGAATTCTTTTCCCAGCAAGGAGTAACCCTGGGGAAGGAATGCATTCCTGGGGATAGGTCTATAGACAGCCACTCTGGGAATGTCTGTCTTATGCAGTTGAGATAAGGACTGAAATACGCCCTGGTCTCCTGCAGTACCCTCAGGCTTACTAGGATTGGGAAATTCCAGCCTGGTAAATTCTAGTCATACTGGTTGTCTGCTCTCAAACCCTGTTTCCTGTTAAGATGTTTATCAAGACAATGCATGCACAGTGGGACATAGGCCCTCATCAGTAATTCTAATTTTGCCTTGCCTTGTGACCTTTATTGCTCTTTGAAGCATGTGATCTTTGTGACTTACTCCCTGTTCATACACCCCCTCCCCTTTCAAAATCCCTAATAAAAACTTGCTGGTTTTGCGGCTCAGGGTCGTCATCACAGTCCTACCAATACGTGATGACATCCCCGGAAGACCAGCTGTAAAATTTCTCTCTTTGTACTCTTTCTCTTTATTTCTCAGACCGGCCAACACTTAGGGAAAATAGAAAGAACGTATGTTGAAATATTGGGGGCTGGTTCCCCCGATACACAGCAAAATAAACTATCAACAGAGTAAGCAGACAACCTACAGAATGGGAGAAAATTTTTGCAACTTATGCATCCAACAAAGATCTAATATCTGACATCCATAAGAAATTTAAACAAATGTACAAGAAAAAACAACCCCATTAAAAAGTGGGCAAAGGACATGAACAGACACTCTTCAGAATAAAGCATACATGTGGCCAACAATCATATAAAAAAAGCTCAACATCACTGATCATTAGAGGAATGCAAAACCACAATAAGATACCATCTCACACCAGTCAGAATGGCTATCATTAAAAAGTAAAAAAATAACGGATGCTGGCAAGGTTGTGGAGAAAAAAGAACGCTTATACACAATTGGTGGTAGTGTAAATTAGTTTAACCATTTTGGAAGACAGTGCAGTGATTCCTCAAAGACCTAAAAACAGAAATAACATTTGACCCAGAAATCCCATTACTGGATATATACCCAAAGGAATATAAATCATTCTATCATAAAGACACATATGTTCACTGCAGCACTATTCACAATAGCAGAGACACGGAATCAACTTAAATGCCCATCAATCATAGACCAGATAAAGAAAATGTGGTACATATACACCACAGAATACTATACAGCCATAAAAAAGAATGAGATCATGTCCTTTGCAGGAACAGGCATGGAGCTGGAGGCCATTATCCTTAGTAAATTAATGCAGGAACAAAAAACCAAATGCCACATATTCTCACTTATAAGTGAGAGCCAAATGATGAGAATACATGGATATATAAAGTGGCATAACACACACTAGGGCCTATTGGAGGGTGGAAGGTGGGAGGAGAGAGAGGATAAGGAAAAATAACCAATGGGAGCTAGGCTTAATACCTGGGTGATGAAATAATCTGTACAATAAACTCCCATGACACAAGTTTGCCTATATAACAGACCTGCACATGTACCCCTGAGCTTAAAAGTTTAAAAAATGAGCTGATATTGTTAATCCCTAAATGGGTATTATGCCTTACACATCCATCTCTTATGTGTTTGGTTTCACATGATTCTTATCCTTTTCATTCCATCAGGTGAAATAGATTGTCTGTCTGTATAAAACCGGGCTACCTATAGAACACAGAAGCAACGTGAAGACCACTGAAGCCACATATTCAGCAAAATCTGTGTGCTTCTTGCTCACATGCAGGTGGTCTGTTTTCTTATTTGCTCAGATTCACAGAAGTAGGAGTGGTGCAGCCACAGAAGGAAGGCCAATGCAGACAATAGTAATTCCACATGCCTTTTCTCCTTCAGAGTTACAACAATGTTCTGAGTGAAGGAAAATGTGTCTCTACCTTAACAAAAGCTTGAGATACCAAACTGAAGGAAGAATATATTATGGTACTTGGAAATGACTTGTAAAATATTTGAAATTCTTTGTAGAAATTCCTAAAAACCCAAAGACTCTGGGGAACACATGAGTTAATGAGGAAAATTTTACCCCACCTTCTGGGAAGGTCATGTTGCCTGGAACTGACCTCTGGGAATGGCTTGTCCCATCTTTAGGGAAAGGATAGCTGGTAAAGACAATATTTGGATAACAAGACAATATTAGGCCTACCCTCCACCCATTCTCTCAGGATTGGGTGGGGTGAAGCCACATCCTCTCTTCTCAGAGCTTTTTATAGTGTTTATTCCACTTCTCTCCCCTTCAGTTCTCTCCCTCCAGCATTCCCAGAGAGCTGATCCATGCCACACTAGTTCTTATTACTTGACTTTCTCTAACTTGCTTTTTTTTAAAATTCTCCTGGCAATAAGTGCCTTTCTAAACTCCACCTCCCTACTTGCTGAACCCACTGTATCTGGCTCCTGATCCCATTCCACTAAAGCTGTTCACACAAATATCACCAACAACCTCATAGTGCCAAATCCAGTGGACACATCTCAGTATCTACATTTCTTGTGCAATCTGACATTTGACATCTTAGTACATAAGCACTCTCCTTTCCTGGCTCCCATGACACCAGGTTTTTCCAATAACCATCCTACTTCCCCTACTTTGCCAGCTTCTCTTTTACACCATACCCTTTAAATATGAATGATCCACAGCGTTCCATCTTGGGATGTTGGTTCATCTCATTTTATCTACATATGCCAACTGAATGGTGATAACTCCCTACTCACTATGAGGATGGCAAGTCCTTAATCTCTATGAGGATAACTCCCCAACCTCTATAGGAATGACATCCTACTCTCTATGGCGATGATGCACAGTCTGGATGTTTTCCTCCTCCAAATCTCATGTTAAAATGTGACCTTCAATGTTGAAGGTGGGCCTAGTGGCAAGTTTTTGCGTCACAGGGGTGGATCCCTCATGAATGGCATGGTGTCCTCTCCATAGTAATGAGCGAGTTCTCGTTCTGTTAGTTCACACAAGAGCTGGTTGTTTAAAAGAGCCTGGCACCTCCTCCTTTCTCTCTTGCTCCATCACCATGTGATATGCCCATTGCCTTCTGCCACAATTGTAAGCTTCCTGAGGCCCTCACCAGAAGCAGATGTTGGCACTATACTGCTTGTGTACAAGCACCATGTTACAGGCTGAACCTGCAGGACCATAAGACAAATAAACCTCTTTTCTTTATAAATTACCCAGTCTCAGGCATTCCTTTAAAGAATGCAAACAGACTAACACAATGCCCTAGTCTCTATGAGGATAACTTCCTAATCTCTATGATGACAAGTCCCCAGTCTTTATGGCCGTGATTCCCTGATCTGTATTTCCAGCCCAGGCCTTTCTCTTGAGCTCAAAATTTATAATGCTAGTCACCTACTGGACATATCTGCTTGGATGTTCTATGGCCAAACTCACCATGTCTAAAATTTAACTTTTTACCCACTCTAAATTAATCTTTTCGCATAATTGGCTAAGTAAAGATCACCACTTTCCCTCTAAGTCCCCCTATATTCCCACTTCTCCCTCTAATCTCCAAGTTTTGTTGATTCCACCCACTAAATACCTCTCAAATCTATTTGTTTATCTCCTTATTTTGTTTTTGTGTTTTTTTCAGATAGAGTCTTGCTCTGTAACCCAGGCTGGAGTGCAGTGGCATAATTATAGCTCACTACAGCCTTGAACTCCTGGACTCAAGTGATTCTCCTGTCTCAGCCTCCTGAGTAGCTAGGGACTACGGGCGTGCACCACCGCACCTGGCTAATTTTTTTGTAGAGACAGGGTCTCAATATGTTGCCCAGGCTGGTCTCAAACTCCTGGCCTCAAGTGACCCTCCTTCCATAGCCTCCCAAATAATTGGGATTACCAGTATGAGCCACCATGCCCAGGCCATTTCTCTCTGTATTTCTTCCCTGGACTCCTACAATAACTTCTGTAGAGTCCTCCCCACCTCTAGGTACTTCCCCTTCCAACACATCATCTACTTAAAAGCTAACATAGTCATCCTAAAAATGCAAACCTCAGTATGTGGCCCTAACTAGTATGAAGTTCTTCAGTTATGCCTTTATGTCCCTCAAAAGCCAAACTCCAGCAACAATTTTAAGGCCATGCTAACCATCTAACCACACAACCCATGTGTATTAAGGTGTTGGTCTCTAAATGGGGTCTTTTTTTCCTATCCTCCTGCCTTATAGTAAAATGTTCCTGTTTCTTTCTTGTACCTGAAACAGTATTCTTTCCTCTCTTATTTATCTAACTAACTCTACCTTATGAAGAAATTGAGGCTCAAATTGTTAGTTTATGTGTTATCACTTCCAGGAAGTCTTTCTGAGAAAGGCTTTCCCCTTCTCTAATGATGGACGAAATACCCTCCTTTGCAATCCTCTCATAGCACCCTTCTCACAATGCTATAATAGCCTTTAACTTGTGTCAGTCTCCCCTATGAGACAGAGCACCTTAAGAACAAGGAGTGCCTCTCCAGAGCCCAGCAAAGGGTTTGGCCTATAGCAGTGTTACATATGTCAGTTGAATGAGTGAAATGGATTTAGACTTTTAGTACACAACGTTTTCCATCAAAAAAGTGGAGGTATATATTTGACTACTTCAAACATGTTTTAACTTCTCAATTCCATGGTTCTCACTATTTTTAGTAAGCTTCCAGGCAACCTCAACTTCAGTTTCCATGTTTTCTAGGAAGCAAGGGGACAGATGTTTGGGCAGTAAACCCAAAATCTGGATCTCAGAGCTTAATCATAAACTCCATGGGATATTTTTTCACTGACTTTCCAAGAATAGTAGACTCAAATGCCATGTTTATAATGGAAGAAAATATACACTCAGCTGGTCATTGGTCGTTCCTTAGCAAACATGGTTAACTCTCCATTGTATCTGAGAATCAGTCATTCTGATTAAGGAAATGCAGTATGACTAGGTACTGATGCATCTCCTATGAAATGGGATCTCAACCCTGCCTCTTACTAGCTGCATGACCTGGGGAAGTTATTTAACCTGTCTAAATTTTCATGTTCTAGATAAAATTTTAAAGACGTAACTTATTTAGGTAAGTTGACATGAAGACGCAGTGAGCTCTGTATGAAAAAATGATTAGAGTGATCTCACCGGACCCCATGGTCTTAGTTACTGTCCATACGTGGGAAATACTATATATTTGGTCC
This sequence comes from Homo sapiens, assembly GCF_000001405.40. Lineage (NCBI taxonomy): Eukaryota > Metazoa > Chordata > Mammalia > Primates > Hominidae > Homo > Homo sapiens. Next base: position 95,795,511 of record NC_000010.11, on the reverse strand, counting down.
AGACATATGTATTATTGAACTTTCAGCTGCCTCCTTCACCTTTTAACTTGGATATCTCACAGGCACCTTAAACCTATTGTGCCCAAACAGAATTCATGCTCTCCTTTCCTCTGCAAAACTGTTTCTCCTGTAGCTTTCTATAACTCAATATTCACAGCTCAGTGAACATCACCACTCATCCAGTTACTGACACCAAGAACAGCAGCATCATCCTGTATTCCTTCCCCACCCTCACCCTTTATATCCAAGCAACTCACTAACTCAGCAAATGTCCCTGAGGCCTTGTACCAAGTCTTGGAATCTCCCAAAAATTCAATGCCATGTAACCCTCTCCATCACTCTAATGTCTTCTTAGTCCCATCATCATGCCCTCCCACAGAAGACTCCTAACTGATTCCTCTGCATCCACTCTTACCTATCATCAATCTGCTTTCCAACTACGGCCAGAGTAATCTTCTCAAAGGGTCTATATAATCACATCATCCACTAGTTACTTAGAATACTCCACAGCTTCCCATTACTTACAAGAAAGAACACAATCCTTTATCTAGCCCGTATGTCCTGTATGTTCTGGCCCCTCCCTGGGTCTCCACTTCTCTAATCACAGTATTTCCTTCACTGTTTGCCCCCTTTCAGCCCCCATTTCACTATGCTGTCCTCGCCCAGAGCCCTAGCACAATTTATGTACTCTGCCTAGAACATTCCCTTCCCATCCTCTTTGCTTAGCTATTTCCTATTTACCCTTCAGATCCCAACAGAAAGTCACTTCCTCAAGGATGCCTCAGAAAACCCTACCCTGAACCCCACACTAACTGGTACCCTTCACAACACTCTGAGCTTTTTCTTCATAGCACTTAAGGCTATTATAATGAATTGTTTACATATGTAAGTCTTTCACCAGAGCAGTCCTCAATTCCGGATATATACATTAGGTTCACTGGAGACCTTTGTAAAAATGCCAACTCTGGGGTCCCATCTCAAAGCAATTAAATCAGAATCCCTCGGGGGCTGGGGTCCTGGCACTGACATTTTTTAATGGCTCCCTGGTGCCAAGTGCAGCCAGGGTTGGGAATCACTGGGTAGGAGGGCAAGGACCATGTCTGCTGCTTATCCATGACTTCATCCCCCGTGCTGAGCACTCAGCAGTGTCTGCACAGAGTAGGCACTCGATAAATGGCAACTGTACTTATGATTGTTGTTTTTGTTATGGTTGATAGGGTTATGATTACAAAGATCATTAAGCCATATGACTTTTTTTTTCACATTTTTGGCCTCTGTGATTCTTTGCTACAGAACTCTAAAAAATAATAATAATAAAACTGTAGTAGCCAAATCATCTTTTTAAAATTCAATGAGTTTCTATTTTCCTGTCAACATAGAGCTTCAATTAAGGATTGACTAGAACCTATTGGACATGTTTTTACTAAAAGCTATGTCTCCAAAATGAAACAAAATACTGTATACTTAAAAATCCAATTCATATCATACAATGCCCTTTTATGCAGATATATATTAGAAATTAGTCATTAGTGACTTTCTAATTTTGTAATGATATGAATTAATTGGATTGACCACTGTGACATCATTCTGATCCTATTTGATTTCACAATTCTCTGTTCATTTTTCTTTCCTGTCACATTAACTGTCTTGTCACATAAATGTCAAACCACCACCCACCGTGGCTCAGTGGTTAGTTCTGGTTTCTTCTGCTTGCTGCTTTCCTGTTCAGCCCCATGTCAGAGGGTAGGCCCTGGACTTCTCCTTTAAAGAACCTTCTAAAAACATAGTTTCTCTAATCCAATTCTTAACCATAAACCTGCATCAGAATCACCTGGAAGGCTTATTACAACTGCTTGACCCCATCCTCAGAGTTTCTGATTCAGTAAGTCTGAGGTGAGGCCAGGGCATATGCATTTCTAACAAGTTGCTAGGTGATGCTCTGCTGCAGGTCCAGGGACTACACTTTGAGAACCACTGCTTTAATTCATAACACACATAAGTAACCTCCTAATTAATGGCGGATGAGAAGGGGAGAAAGAGACTGAAGAGCAATTGTGAGGCCTTTTAGGGATACAGTGGGTGAAGACTACCCAAGTTATTCTCTATACTTAAAGCCCAACCAGGGGCCTTTTCCCCATAATTTTAGGGGGATTTTCCCTTCATTATTTTTTATAAACAACTCAACATATCCCATCCATACTTCTCTCTTTATAAGGAAGAGATTATGTAGGGGCAGCATGCCTCCCGTCTATTCCTTATTAGGCAATTCCCTCAGTTACTATCAGCCTGCTTTTTAGAAGCAGTCCTAGTTCACCATCCTTGAAGTCAGCCAGTTTAATGAAATTCTTTGGCACTGTTTCACACAATGGTGGGAGGGGAACTGAAATAGCAGTGAGGAAATTGCTAAGAAGCTATTCAAAGAAACAAGCTTCAAAATCACTTCAGGAGGTTTCAGCTGGTGTTGGGAGGAAGCAATGACGTAAGGAATCCCAAGGCACCCCAAAGAAAGCATAGTAAGCCCAAGACCAGCACCCTGGCAAGATGCTGGACACACAAGTATGGTACTATGAGTGGAATACGTGGCCAGAGTGAACATGACATTTCAGCTTTTGCAGTTACGCACACCAAAGCCATGAATTCAGATGAATGCAGAGCACATCTTTACTCTGCAGGAAGAGTGACTAGGATAACAAATGCTTTCCCGTGCTGCCTTCATTTATGGGTGTTCAACAAAAATTATAGGAGGCCACTGTTTTGGACTAAACCCCTGCACTAGGCCCCAACAGACCAGCCTAAAAACCAAAATAGAGTCCCTTATCTAAGGTTCTGCTTCTCCAAACCTTGAGTTTGTTATCTGGTCTTCCATGAAATCAGGAGAGAGAGGCAACAGCCTAATTTCCCAACAGGCCAGTTTCAGTCTTCAACTGGCAATCATGCAGTTCCCTCTGTTTTAATTCTTACAACAGAGTAACCCGATGTTAACCAATCAGTTATCTTTCCATCTTTCTATCTCCCTATGCCCACAATGAAAGTAACTTTGAAATGTCCAATCTACTTTTTGTTCTTTGTTTCTGCTTTCTTCAGCCCTTTCTCTGTCTAGAAAGCCTGCTGCCTCTGGTCAACTCATTGGAACACTTACTCTGTTTTATGGAATGAAGTGTTGCCTAATTCTAAAATTGCAATAAAGCCTATTGAGATCTTTAAACTAAATTTGTTGTAATTTTGTCTTTTGACAGGGTCTTATGGGGCACTCGGGTGACCAACCATCCCAGTTTGCCTGGGATTGTCCTGGTTTTAACACTGAAAGTGCTGTATCCCAAGAAACCTCTCAGTCCCAGGCAAAGCAGGGTGGGTTGTCTGATGGACACTCCCATCTTCTTCAGCCACGCTCTCTTCTCCTAATACCATTCCCACTCTCACTTCTTTTGATGTTTTTTTTTAACTATGCAAGGCACCCTCTCCTCTAAGCTTCTCTGTCTCCTGGTAAACTCTGGCACTTTTAGTCTCTCTTAAGCAATTCTCTTTACTCCCCTGAGTTCAGTTTTGTGCCTGACTTCACTGTCATCTTCAGGTTTTCCACCATGCTGACTTCTAAAATACCCCCCATGAACATGATTTCTCTTTTTCAAACCAAAAAAAAATCTCAAAGTTGAAAGGATCCTTAGAGTTCACACACTCCAGAGTTCCCTGGGGACTTTCTGTAGTCTCACCTGGGACAATTACATCAGAATTTCTAGCATGGGGCCCAGGCACTGTTCACTTTTAACACCTCTACCCCCAGCCGGGTGATTCTAATGTACAGCCAAAGTTCTCCCTTGTGAACCTCTAACTTAGTCCAACTCCTTCCAAGTGGTAATCCTGTTTAAAAGATGGGTATTTACCCTCTGCAGTAAAATTCTCCACTGATGGGACAGAAGTGCATATCCAGGTAGTCTAAGCCATTGCCAGACATGTCTAACTGTTAGCAATCTATCTTGACCTAAGTTCTGTTTCATTCTAACTTCCACTCTCTGATCCCAGCTCGAAGCTACAAAGCAAATTAGAATTTGTTTACTTCATTAAAAATTTGTTTTTCAAGTCCTCATGGGTTGCCAGTATATAAACCCCATCCTCAAGTCCCCTATTCTCCAGGCTAAATAGCTCCAGTTCCATTTACCATTCTTTACATATCACGATTTTCAGATTTTATGTCACCCTAATTACCCTCCACTAGATGCCCTTCAGTTTGTAATGTCCTTCTCAAAATACATTGCTCTGAACTGAATATAGCAGATACAGTGAAGTTATTATAGCCCTTCACCTGGAAACTAAACATTAACACTGTTTAAATATGACTCATCATTTTAGATACTCATACTGAGGGCTACGGGTCTAGTAAAACCTACAGATCTTCCCATGAACTACCTCCAAGTCAGGAATCTCACCTTGTGTGTATCAATTAAATGTCAACCTATGGTTTCAGCTCATTTTTCCAGCCTGATGATACTTGATCCTTTTATGTAATACATTGCAGTCTCACTAAAAGCTACGTATTGTTAGCAAATCTGCTAAGCATGCTTTCTAAATTTTTGGCCATATCATTGATAAATCGTGCCACATAAGACAACAACAAGGACAGAATCTTGTAGTATATTTCCCTACCACCTTTCTTCAAGGTAGATTTCAAACTATTTATCAACATGATTTGGCCATGGTTTATGTTAGTACCAATCCTTTTAGTTCATTCTTATCCAATCTCTATTTCTCCAACTCATCTTTGGGCATATCATGAAAGACTCTGCTATACATTTTTTTCATACTGAAGTACTTACAAGTAAAATGATATAATATTTGAGATTTGCTTAAAATATTCCAAAAACAGCAAAAAGGTATGGTTGGGAGGAAAGTGATAGATGAAACAAAAAAAACTCAGAATATTGATAGTTTGTAATGATGGGTAATAAGTATACAGTGGTTTATTATATTACTCTCTTCATCTTGTATTTGTTTGAAATTTTCTACAACTAAAAAACATTTTAAACTCTTGATGAAATAAACTTCAGTTAGCCCTTGAACAACATGGAAGTTGGGGGTACTGACCTCCACGGAGTTGAAAATCTGCATGTAACTTTTGACTCCCCAAAAACTTAACTAATAGTCTGTTGACCAATAACACACATAGTCAATTTACACATATTTTCTATTTTACATGTATTATATGGTGTATTCTTACAATAAAGTAAGCTACATAAAAGAAAATGTTATTAAGAAAATCAAAAAGAAGTGAAAATACATTTATAACCCTGTACTGTATTTATCGATATGGTAAGTTTGCAAGATCCCCATCTATGAGATGAATCATCTATCTGAAGTGGTGGGCAACCACCGCTGCAGACATCAACCTACAGTTCATATGAAGCAATTCAACTTTTTCTTGTAATGTCATGAGTCATGACTTTTCTCTGCTTCTTGAGAGCACTTCCAATATCACTCGTGGTACTTTGAATGGGTCCCATGTTGTTATTCAAAGTTTACAGTGTTGTACTAAACACAATGAAAAATACTCAAAATACTTGAGAACCATTAGAGATCACTTTTTACTGCAATATGCAATTTATGGCATTCTAGGCAGATACATGCAACACCTGAGCTCACTGTAATAGCAAGAGGAGGTGGCTACAAAATTATTACAGTAGTATAGTATGTAATGCAGTTAATTTTATGCAGTTATGACTTAATACTGCATCTTTATATTTGTTTAAATTTCTATCAACTGTAAGTGGTGTCATGCATGGTCTGTAATTGTGTAAGCTTTGATAAATGTTAACTTTTTATAATAGATTTGTGTATATTTCATGGTAGTAATGATAGATTAATATCTACATATATTTTATGCATTCATGACATACCTTTTACCTAATTTTTTTCAGTATTTCTAGGCTATATGGTTCATCTTTGAGTTTTTCCAATTGTTGCAAAGTGGACCCATATAATTCAAACCTGTGTTGTGCAAGGGTCAAATGTACACTGTTTCTATGAATTTGAGAGACTGCCAAAATTTTTTAACCCTAGAGCCCTTCTAAATATTTTACAAATAAGAGTAATTTGATATAAGTTGATTCAATAAATGCATGCCAGTTTCAAGTGACTGGAGCTTTCTTTTTTAGGTGTTAACAAATCTTCCATATTTAAGACTTTGCCACGTATCAACTCATACTGAGTTTCCTGGATCCATTCTCTTTCATCTTTTACTATTTAGATTACCAATTCCAATAATTTAAAGAGCATATCTCTCTAAAATTCTTTAAACTCATTTAGAAAAGTCAAGGGCTCTCAATAAATTCTCATCCATTTCAATTACTTCTTAATTGTGTATGTTTTACTTTGTACTGATTGAACTCCATTTTTCTAGATGGAAGCAAAATAGAAGTTCAGAGGTTCCAATTCCTTTGCATCATCCATGATCACTATGCATTCCTCTTCCTGTTCATGTTCTTCCACTGAACTGTAACCAAAATAACTTTTGTTATCTTTAGCATTTTTTCCTCCATGCCTCATCGCCAACAGATATTTAGTCCAAGTGATGCTACTTTTAAAAGAATTCTCCTAGCTTCTAACCATTCTTCTCAATTACTTGCATCCATTTCTCTATTGTACAAATCCTCGGGGGAAAACTGTTTATTTTATAAAAGCCATAGTTACCATAGAGATTTTTAGAAAATAGAGAAAATAATATATAAGAAAATTAAACTCACCCATACTTTCTCGCCTCCTCGTAAAGTTCCTCAGATCAAATAAGTGTTTTAACTGCTTTTCGCTTTTCTCATCCATTATGATTATTTATTATTGTATAATCAGGTTTCTCATTTAGTTATTTCTTTTTTAGACTCGCTTTTTTCTTTTTTTTCTTTTTTTTTGGACAGAGTCTCACTTTGTCGCCCAGGCTGCAGTGCAGTGGTGCAATCTCAGCTCACTGCAACCTCCACCTCCCATGTTCAAGTGATTCTCCTGCCTCAGCCTCCAACGTATCTGGGATTACAGGCACCCACCACCACGCCCAGCTAATGTTTGTATTTTTAGTAGAGATGGGGTTTCACCATGTTGGCCAGGCTGGTCTCGAACTCCTGACCTCAAATGATTCCCCAACTCAGCCTCCCAAAGTGCTGGGATTACAGGCGTGAGCCACTATGCCTGGCCTAGACTCATCTTTTAAAGCCATATTCTTTTTAGTAAATTTGATCATGAGAATTCGTCTACCATTTTTTCTGGTTTTGTTTTAAAATTTTATTTATGCATGTATTTATTTTTAAATCTGCCTTCTTAAAAAATTGAGGCCATGTGTCTGGTTGCCTTACAGTTCCCTCTTTTAGGACTATTAATGCCTAGATGAACTAGTCAGTCATTTCTCCTACCTTCTCAATCATATCTTTCTTTTGAATTAAAATTAAACCAAGGAAGACAGGCACTAATATCTTCCTCTAACTTGCAAAGGTATCTCCAAGGAAAAATCAAGAATTCTTCACATGTTCTACTTTTCGAAAAGTAGATATCCAATAAATATATAGGTAAAGTTACAGTGTTTCAGAATTTTCATAACTGAAAGGAATTTGGGGGTGGGGGTTGATGGAGGAAAGTGTTGCCATATCCACTGCAGCCTTCTTTATGACAAGCACTGTAGTAGGCACTTCACATACTTTTTTTTGTTAATACTCTCAAAGATTACATATGGTAAGAACTGTACTGTTTTAGTCCCATTTTGCAAATAAGAAAAATGCAAATAATATAGGTTAAGCAACTTCCCCAAGATGGAAGAATATCTTTAAACAATAATAATTTACATATCCAGTGTGCAAACTCCCCTCGAGATACTGCATCAACAGTCTACATTGCTTCTGTCCCAGCTCTGTCATTTGTAATAGAAATACTTCATCCAGAGCCTGCACTTAACTGGGGTGGTTTATCTTATATTCATACAACAATGTCTTTCTCATTTTCTCTCCTTTGTATTCTCTCACCCAAAGCCCTCTACAGAGCTGCCAGTCTCATACTTCTATATTTTCATACAGCCAAATACTATCTTTAACATCCCCTCTCCTTCCTAAAACACCTATATCTTTAAATAAAAAATAGACTTTGTTGCTCTGTACCAATTAGTAGGCCCATCCTTCCAAGCCCTCTTGTAATATGTGGAGCTTCATGTTTACACAGAGTAAAAGAAGCATGTCTATTTTAACAGATTAAACTTTGGTTTGAAAATGATCAAAATAAAGCTTGGAATACTACGCTGATCAAATTTCCCTAAAAGTTGTATCAATAAATCATATTCCCCCTTTTTTCTCCCTCAACTCTTTTCCTGGAAATTAATATATCTTATTATGCTTTATTGGAAGATGCAAAGACCATGGCCCAGCACCTTTCTATGCATCATTCTAATGTTGGTAGCTCATTACCTAAATTGAAAACAAAACCAAAGAGCAAAACAAAACCTCGAGGTTACTAGCTCTGGGATCTTGAGTAAGTCACCTTTTCTACCTTGTTTCCTCAGCTGTAAAATGAGGATTAATGGTAATACCTACTTGACAGAGTTAAGAGGATTAAAGTAAATTGAATAATGTATAAGAAACTGCCATATGAACCATAAATTCAATGATTATAATGATGATTGTGATGGTTTGCAAGGCCACAACTCCATTTGTAATCAACATACAAAATCAAATATCTAAATGTGCAACACTCAAGTAACCAGAGGCTTTTTATATTTATAAATGGTGTTGAAAATTTTAAGTTTCCCAGATTTCCAGGTTTCATCTTTTTCCCATGGCAGAAAAGTCTAGGTTGGATAAGGTGGTTTCTGTCATTTTAAGATATGCTGAAACTTTTTCTCACTAGATTTGGTGCTTTCTCTGCTGACAGTGGGCACAGGGAGCCAGAATCTAGGACTGCACTTGGCTTGGTGGGAACCAGTCCTGAGCTGCCTTCCTCCTTGGGGAACAACATTAGTCTCAGATTCTAACACCAGGGTTCGCTTTCTCAGGCAAAGGACGGTAGTGCAATACGGAAGCTAGGGATATGCATTCCTTCTCCCTCCCCTACTGAACCTGCGTCTCCTTCAACCTTGTCTTTCAGGCTCCTTTTCAGGGCAATATGGAAGTCTCTGTGCTCAAAGTACCCTCCATCCTCCATTGCTTATTGCTCCACTAATTTCCAATTTGGTGGAGTTAAAAAGAAATACCTCTGGTGGCCTTAAAGTCAAAGGAAGCTGTGTGGTCCTTCTCACCAAAACCTGGCTGTGGCAAAGCTGAACAGAATGAACAGAAGTTTTGAGTCATTATGGGAAGGGGAGGGGCAAACCATCCCTAGGGAGTTTGGAACAAAGTGCTTTAAGCAGCACCCAAGCACTGGGTAGCAGGGTGGGAGGACATAAGGGGTCAGGAGGTAGAAGTGAGGCTCAGATATGAGGCCCTCAGATAAACACCTCTCTTTCACCTGCATCCAGTTTTACCAAGTGCCCACTCTTGTCTCCTTCCTGCCTCCTTAGATAACAAGAGCAGCACCACTGGATGCTAGGCCAAGAAAAACGCTTGCCATCCTCACAATCATCCTCTTCCCCATTTGTTATGTTCTTACTGGGTAGCAGGCACTGTGCTAAGCACTTTATACTCATTGTTCATCAAATTATCACAACACCATAGATATCATTAGCCTATTTTGCACTTGAGAAAACTGGGGTCCAAAAGTTTGATAACATATTCGTGGTCACACAAATGGTAAGCACAGAGCTGGAATTTGAGGACAAGCCTGTCTGACTCCAGGGATTCTAAGCTCTTAATTATTAGGAGACATTGACACTCATTTAACTCTTCTCTTTTCTTTTATTTCCCCCACCTATCCACCTCCCAACTTCCTTCAGCCAAATGAGGCCAGTTTACATAGCCACCTTCTGAGAAAAGTTACCACAGATGGTTTCTGCTTCATAAGTTGCTGGGTTGGTTTTGTGGCCAACCTTGTGTCCTGAGACCTTATGATCTTGGCCACAACAGATTGTTCCAACAACTGCTGCTTAAGCCAAAGTCAACTATAGGCTGGACTTGCATTATCTCATTTAATCCTCATAACAAAGCTTTAAATTAAGTACTAATACCAACTGCATTTTACAAGCGGGAAAACTGACATTCAGATAAGTTAACTTACCTGCCTAAGGTGGGACAGCTAGTAAGAAGCAGAACTATGATTGGAAGGTAGGTTTATCTGAATGCTTGAACACTGTTCTACCTCCCATTTTTTCAGAGATCAATAGAGTTGGCCTGGAACAAGAGATGCCCTTGAATGCAAGTTGTAACAACTGAGAGAAATTGCCCAGACACTGCAACGGGAGTTGCCAACAAAGTAACAGAGTCAGAGAAGAGCTGAGTCTTGGGAATGAAAAAGTGATGAGGGGATGACTTCCACAGTGGGTATCCGGTCATTTGGGCTGCTGCTCTGCCCTCATCAAAGTGATTTCCACTCTGTGAGTCTCTGATATGCAGCTATAGAACCTGTTGCCTGTTTCCTAATTTATCCATGTGGGCCTGTCACCCTCATCACCTCAGGTAACAAAGTCCAGTCCTTATTACTTTGTGCCTCACACATACACTCCCTTAGGCCTAAACTCCCTGCAACGCCACTCCTGCCAAACCCCCATGATTGTCCTGGCCTGATGGAGTGAAGTAATGAGAGACTTGAAGCTTTGTAGACCTGAATGCTCATATCTTGCCACTACCCCAGCCTCCAGCTTTACTTCCTCCTCCAATGGGTAGCTCTCTCTCCTCCTTCCTCATTGTCTGCCAGCCTGAGGGAAAAGAGTACTGAGGCCGATAGGTGTTTTCCAAAAGGCTCTGGGTGCACTGGATGTACACCAGATGTTTCCTGCGACAACAGCAAGACAAAGGCAGTGGGCATGCAGAAAGCCATATAGCAATTGGTCTCTGGAACTGCTACTTCCTGGGTCCACAAGGTCTTGGGGTGACTAGGAAACACAGCCTGAGTTTTTCTCCCCAGGCCTTCACACTCTACAGTTAGCCCCATTCTCTACACAAGACAATGGAGCTCATAGGAGTCCCCATGTCTCTGAGCTTGGCTAGGGCAAACAGTTAGAGAGTGGCTGCTGGTGAGAGACAGTGCTGAAAATGCTGGCAGCAAGCCATATAAGACATTTTTAGTGGCCCCATAATGTCTATATACTCTAAGGAACTTGTATTTGTGAGCAGCTGGTGCTACATCATTAGATGTCATATGTGACAGGCTGTTCCAAGAAAGATCCAGGATACAAGAAGCTGGATTTCCTGACTTCAGTGTCCCTGGGTTTTTAATGCCTACCCTATCTTATGGGTAATTTGGCAAATGGTCAAATTGCTACACTGATCTTTTCTACAATCAAAAAAAAAAAAAAAAGAACAAGCAAAGCACCTGATTATACAAAGCATCTTACTACATTCCTCCTGCAGGAAGGCAGGATATAGTAATCGAAAGAGACAAAAGAAAAAAAATGACTAGGAACCTATATTTTTGCATAGATTTTCTACCCGCTTTCACCCCCACCTCTTCCCAGGCCACCTGCTATTCTAGTTCTTGGTCACCAATTTTGCCTCATCTTAAAATTTGTTCCTCTTTCCCATAATCAGTAGTAACTAGAAGCTGAGTTCCCCAGGCAACCATAAATACTTGTTATTCTTTTTGCCACGTGACTTGCCCTAAAAATAAATTCAAATATTTTTCCTACCATCAAAATGCCAGGAAGAATTGGATACTGTCTTGAAGAAGTGGACACTGTTTTTTTTTTTTTTATGCCTACCTGTGAAATAGAGCAGGCCTAATGCTACTTAGCCAAAATTTTTAGGAATCCTAAGAAAGTCCTAACACAGAAGGTAATATAAAAACCTGGGTGTTATCCTATCTTGAAAATGGGACAAGCAAAGAAGGGGTTGGGAAAAGAGAATTAGAACAAGCTGATACACACATGCTCACACAACCCAGACCAGTATAATTTGTTTTTCTTTTTAGAAAGAGAGTAGCAAAGAAAAGAGTGCGTGTTTGCTCTGAAGTTTAGTCAAGATTTTGCCACTTTCTTTGAAATGCCCCCTTGATGTGCCAGCCAAGGACCCTTAGAGACCTCCATTTGAAGCTGAAAGTACTTGAAGCCAATTAATGAAAAAGATTTGCTTTCCAGTCTCATGTGACTCTGGGGTGGATGACCTTTTGGAAATCATGGACAAAGTCTCCATTTAGAGCTCCTACAGAGTGATGACCCCACTATACAAATCACTGTGAATTAGGGAGCTTCCAAATTAAACAAGATTCAGCAAATAGAACAGCGACAATGGTAACAATGCTACTCATAAAACTACATTTAGATGCTCTCAAAAACAGTTTACAAAATTCATTTTTGTCCACTCTCTTTTTTGATCCTCAAAGAAACTCCCTAGGAGACAACGGATACATACACTACACACACACACACAAACACACACACACACCGCTTCCATTTTATAGGTGTGCAAAAGCTGAAGCTAAAGAGCAAAGCAACTTGCCCAACCTGTATGTTGCTGAGTGTAAAATTCAACCAAGCCTTCTACTTCTAGCTCAGTATCTTTTTAACCCAGACATTCTCCTCCCATGCCTCCATCCCATTATCCCCAAGAATCCTGAAACCAGTAGTTATCCAGATGACCAGGAGCTGAAAACGCAGCCTTAGAACTTTTAGAGAATCAATTCAAAAATAGATAAAAGAATAGAAAAACTGTTGGGGTTGGGGGAACAACAGGAAGAGCTGAGATGAACTAATGCAGGATGAAATCAATAAGGCAAGGGGGAAAATTCTCTCTTCCTTTTTCCTTCACATCTTCCCTGTTCATCACCACCTAGCCTAGGCGCCAGGACTTCCTCAAATTGCCCTAACTCTTTTGCCCAATACTGGGTTGTTTTTACCAGGTTCACGTGATAGGCTCTGAAAATATTTTAGCTAAACCTTCTGATTAGCCAGGAGCATGTTTCCAATTTTTTCTTGGAACTACTAGCCCCAGTCATATTCATTTTTACTACCTCCTTTGACACATGTTCCTTATATGACATAGTCTCTGCATCCTTCCTCATTCTGGACATACCTACCCAGTTTGACAATGTCTCACTTCAGATGTGATACAAAAAAGGAAATATACTACCCATAAAGTGATTTTCAGTTCTTCACTCAATAAATCAACCAAAAAGTAAATAAATATATACTGAATCACAGGAAACATTTTAGAATGATAGAATGCTCTATATCTTAATAGGGCAATTTAAAAATTGTTGTTGTAGGGGTAAACAAGGTGGTGAAAGTCAAGCACTTAACACAGAGCCTGGCACATTAGTCCTTTATAGATCACTGCAAACCAATGCCTTCATGGCACTCTATCTGCATGCAGTATTATCTTCAGCTCAGAGCAGTGTATTTTGGAAGTGGCATTAACAAACTGGAGGCAGAAATTCTAAAGAAGAGAAAGGAGTTTCTACTCACAGAACTCTCATCAATAATTTGTCCCTTTCTGTTCACCCTTATCCAGCTCTGCCCTGCCTTGGTGAAGGCATAACAGGCTTGTTTCCTGAGGCTCTGTCTCACCTAATTCCTGGAATATATTATGGACATTTTTGCTTTAGTGGGAGAGCACCTGAAAACCCACCATCAATCCCATGCCTGGGGTCAAGTGTCCTGGAAGGAATTTAACATCACCTATGGGAGAATCTGGGCAAACCTCCTTGGCTAAATCCATTTCAGAGTATATAACACAGTCGTGAACTTTGGTCTGGCTACCAAGGTCCTGGCCCTCTTTTCGTTTCCACCCTTAAGACTACAACCTGACATAAACTGTTGACCAAATTAGTAGGAGACTGGCTCCCTATGCTGATTTTATTTTTATTTTTTTATTTTTAATTTTTATGGGTACACAGTAGGTATCTATATTTATGGGGTACTTGAGATATTTTGTTACAGGCATGCAATGCGTAATAATCACATCAGGATAAATGAGGTATCCATCACCTCAAGCATTTATCTTTTGTGTTACAATCCAATTATACTCTTTTAGTTATTTTTAAATGTTCAATTAAATTATTATTGTCTATAGTCACCCTATTGCAAACCAAGGCAATAGGTTTGATAGCACCCTGTTGCGCTATCAAATACTAGGTCTTATTCATTCTTTCTAACTATTTTTTGTACTCACTACCCATCCCTTTTTCCATTCTACCCAGCCCCCACTACCCTTCCCAGCCTCTAGTAACCATCCTTCTACTCTCTCTCAGTTCAATTATTTTAATTTTTAGCTCCCACAAATCAGTGAGAACAAGTGAAGTTTGTCTTTCTGTGCCTGACTTATTTCACTTAACATAATGACTTCCAGTTCTATCCATGTTATTGCAAATAACAGGATTTTATTATGTTTATGGCTGAATAGCAGTCCATTGTGTATATGTACCACATTTTATCCATTCATCTGTCGATGGACACTTAGGTTGCTTCCAAATCTTAGCTATTGTGAATAATGCTGCAACGAACATGGGAGGGCAGATATCTCTTCTATATACAGATTTTCTTTCTTTTGGGTGTATACCTAGCCATGGAATTGCTGGATCATATGCATGCACTGGTTTTAGTCCACTCCTGTCACATAAGGTCTGAATTCAGTTTCCCCTGTCTCCATGGTGCTAAGACAGACTTCCCTGACCAAGGACTTGGACACAGACCAAGAATGTACTTCCCTGATGCCCCTACAGCTGGACCCCACACCTAGGATCAAAGCCCTTGAATACAGTCATGACCTGGATCAAACATGAGTTTGTTCCTCTCTTGGACACAATGATCTGAATTGCCTGGGGCAACTTCCTTTTAGTCTTCCATTTGCAAAGAACTTCAGGCACATTTCATGTCCATAGATATTCTATTTACAATGACAGGGAGAAGGGAAAAAAATTACAAAAAGCAGACACATAGACTCATAAAGCAAAACAGTTTATAAAAGATTTAGTGTAGTGGCAAATAGTTCTAAAAACTTTAATAGACCTTGAGGTCATTGCTGTTTTATAACTTCATTGATTCATTCATGTACTCATTCAATACGCATGTGTGCAGTGATTTGAATCATAGTTGCCTACAATATGCTTGGCACTGTCTATACAAATATACATAAGATTCATATTTATAGGGCCACATATTTATTCTTACTTAAAGGGCCACAAAAATTAATGTTTGACGGACACTTAGGTTGCTTCCAAATCTTAGCTATTGTGAATAGTGCTACAATGAACATGGGAGGACAGATGTTCAATATCATCACCTCAACCTATCAAATAAAAGTTTTTATGTTTGGTATGTTCTGTTAAAGATGAGAAGTATGCAATACACCTCAGCAGATTATATAATTCCTTCCAACAACATCAGCTATAATTGGCATAAAATACAATATGTGAGCTTCATTTCTGTGGGTAACAGCAGTATTAGTCTTGAGTCTGGTATGTTTAGGTCTGCAATACACCTCTGGCCCTCCTAGTTGTATCGAACTAGCCACACCTCCTCACATCTAAATTGAGAATAACAGCAGTTCTCACCTCATAATGCTGTTATAAAAGCCAAATGAAATAATATATACCAAGTGCTTAACATGGTGCCTGAAAAGCCCCCATTTACATTGTATTTTACTTCTCAAATATGCACGATAGTGTTTGTTTGTGCAATTTAAATTAAGATATTTCCATTTTTCAAATCACCTTAGCACCTCCACTTGGGCTTAATAGCTAAGGTTAAGTGAAAATGGCCTTGAAAAAAAGACCCTAGGAGGTAAAAGCAGTAACCAGTAAGGACAACACACACACACAACCCTAACTAAAAAGGAGTAAGTAGAAGTAGGCAGCTCAGAGTCCTAGAAATTATAATTTGTGAGAAACATCAAAAGTATTACTTTCTAGGAAAAGAAGTTGCAGCACATGAAATTCCTCAAATTGAAACTAAGCCAACTCCAGCATACATTAATAAAATGACAGTATCCCATTTGAGGTTAAGTCTTTCAGAGCATATCTGGACCCTATGTTAAGTTATAGACACACCCTTAAAGTGAGACTTTGAGAGAACATGGTCCAAAGCGTTCCAAAAATGTTAGCCAAGCAGAATTTCACAAAGGTGCAGAATAAAGTAGGCAGAACCAGGCCTCTTCAGGCTGGGGAATGGCAGATGTGGAGGAATCATGACAGTATCATTTCAAATATTTGAGGGACTATCTCCTATGGAAGGAGATGTAGAAATGGGAGAGGATCTCTATGGTCTACAGGGCAGAACTAGTTCTAATGACAGTGGAAAGGTAAAGGGAAGGAGAAAGACTTTAATTCAACTTGGAAAAAATTCTAACAAAGTTGTCTAATATAATGAGACAAGTGTTGGGGTTAGGGAGGTGGTGAGGAGAGATTTTAAGGATTCAACAGAGAATCCAGCTAGATTAAGAAGCTGGACTGTGGATTTGGCTGGTCTGTGACCAGTACTTTTGGTCTATGACCAACAATTTTTTCAGCTGCCCATGGTAAGAGAAATAAAACAATGATACACTCTCTAAGACTCATTAACTATAAAACAAGGATAATAATATTAACCTGATAGAACTGAGTGAAGATTAAGTAAGATAATATGTGAAAAGGTCTTCAACATGAAAGACATAAATGAAAAGTTAAAAACACAGTTAAAAAAACAGAGGAAACAAAGAAGAAAACATTAATTACTATCATCAGAGAGAGGAGAAAATATTGCATCCATGATACCAAAAAAGTGTACAATTTTATTTAAATAAACTATCAGAAAATAAAAACAAGATTTTAGAAATTTAAACAGTAATAACCAAAATAAGAAATTTTAACAAAAAGGTTAAAAGATAAGGTTGAGGACATATCCTAAAAAGTAGAGCAAAATGTCAAATTTTATCCATTGCATTCTAGCCAACAGTTAGGGAATATTAGTTTCCCCACATTTTCAACAACACTGGATATTAAGAAAAAAATCTTTTAGGTATGTGAAAAATAGTACCTCACTGTTTTAGTTTACTTTGTTTGCCTACCAGTGAAGTTGGATATTTTCTCATATCTTTTAGCCATTGACACTTCCTCAACTACAAACCACCTGTTGAGCTCTAACAAGAGTCAAGTCAACTGCCTGGGTCTTGTCAGTTTTCTTTTCCCTGTCTGTCATTAGAAACATCTTGGTTCCAAGATGGCTGAATGGGAACAGCTCCAGTCTGCAGCTCCCAGCATGACTGACAAAGAAGACAGGTGATTTTTGCATTTCCAACTGAGGTACCTGGTTCATCTCATTGGGACTGGTTGGACAGTGGGTGCAGCCCATGGAGGACGAGCTGAAGCAGGGCGGGACATCACCTCACCTGGAAAGCGCAAGGGATCAGGGGATTTCCCTTTCCTAGCCAAGGGAAGCCATGACAGATGGTACCTGGAAAAACAGGACACTCCTGCCCTAATACTGTGCTTTTCCAACAGTTTCAGCAAATGGCACACCAGGAGATTATATCCCACACATGGTTCAGCGGATCCCATGCCCACAAAGCCTTGCTCACTTCTAGTGCAGCAGTCTGAGATCAACCTGCGAGGCAGGCGGAGGGGCATCCGCCATTGCCGAGGTTTGAGTAGGTAAACAAAGTGTCCTGGAAGATCGAACTGGGCAGAGCCCACCGCAGCTCAGCAAGGCCTACTGCCTCTGTAGTCTCCACCTCTGGGGGCAGGGCATAGCTGAACAAAAGGCAGCAGACAACTTCTGCAGATGTAAACGTCCCTGTCTAACAGCTCTGAAGAGAGCAGTGGTTCTCCCAGCATGGTGTTTGAGCTCAGAGAACAGACAGACTGCCTACTCAAGTGGGTCTCTGACCCCCATGTAGCCTAACTGGGAGACACCTCCCAGTAGGGGCCAGCTGACTCTTCATACAGGCGGGCACCCCTCTAGGACGAAGCTTCCAGAGGAAGGATCAGGCAGCAATATTTGCTGTTCTGCAATATTTGCTGTTCTGCAGCCTCTGCTGGTGATACCCAGAAAAACAGGGTCTGGAGTGGACCTCCAGCAAACTCCAACAGACCTGCAGTTAAGGGACCTGACTGTTAGAAGGAAAACTAACAAACAGAAAGGAATAGCATCAACATCAACAAAAAGGACATCCACACTAAAACCCCATCTGTAGGTCACCAACATCAAAGACCAAAGGTAGATTAAAACCACAAAGATGGGGAGAAACCAGAGCAGAAAAGCAGAAAATTCTAAAAACCAGAGGGCCTCTTTTCCTCCAAAGGATCACAGCTCCTCGCCAGCAAAGAAACAAAGCTGGATGGAGAATGACTTTGACGAGCTGACAGAAGTAGGCTTCAGAAGGTTGGTAATGACAAATTCCTCCAAGCTAAAGGAGGATGTTCGAACCCATCGCAAGGAAGCTAAAAACCTTGAAAAACGATTAGATAAATGGCTAACTAGAATAAACAGTGTAGAGAACACCTTAAATGACCAAGCTGAAAACCATGGCATGAGAACTATGTGACCCATGCACAAGCTTCATTAGCCAATTCGATCAAATGGAAGAAAGGGTATCAGTGATGGAAGATCAAATGAATGAAATGAAGTGAGAAGAGAAATTTAGAGAAAAAAGAGTAAAAAGAAATGAACAAAGCCTCCAAGAAATATGGGACTATGTGAAAAGACCAAATCTACATTTGATTGGTGTACCTAAAAGTGATGGGGAGAATAGGACCAAGTTGGAAAACACTCTTCAGGATGTTATCCACGAGAACTTCCTCAACCTAGCAAGGCAGGCCAATATTCAAATTCCGGAAACACAGAGAACACCATAAAGATACTCCTTGAGAAGAGCAACCCCAAGACACATAATTGTCAGATTCACCAAGGTGAAGGAAAAAATGTTAAGGGCAACCAGAGAGAAAGGTCGGGTTACCCACAAAGGGAAGCCCATCAGACTCACAGTGGATCTCTCGGCAGAAACTCTACAAGCCAGAAGAGAGTGGGGGCCAATATTCAACATTCTTAAAGAAAAGAATTTTCAACCCATAATTTCATATCCAGCCAAACTAAGCTTCATAAGTGAAGGAGAAATAAAATCCTTTACAGACAAGCAAATGCTGAGAGATTTTGTCACCACCAGGCCTGCCTTACAAGAGCTCCTGAAGGAAGCACTAAACATGGAAAGGAACAACCGGTAGCAACCACTGCAAAAACATGCCAAATCGTAAAGACTGTCGATGCTAGGAAGAAACTGCATAAACTAATGGGTAAAATAACCAGCTAACATCATAATGACAGGATCAAATTCACACATAACAATATGAACCTTAAATGTAAATGGGCTAAATGCTCCAATTAAAAGACACAGACTGGCAAATTGGATATAGTCAAGACCCATCAGTCTGCTGTATTCAGGAGACCCATCTCATGTGCAAGGAACGCACATAGGCTCAAAATAAATGGATGGAGGAAGATCTAACAAGCAAATGGAAAGCAAAAAAAAGTAGGGGTTGCAATCCTAGTCTCTGATAAAACAGACTTTAAACCAACAAAGATCAAAAGAGACAAAGAAGGCCATTACATAATGGTAAAGGGATCAATTCAACAAGAAGAGCTAACTATCCTAAATATATATGCACCCAATACAGGAGCACCCAGATTCATAAAGCGAGTCCTTAGAGACCTACAAAGAGACTTAGACTCCCACACAATAATAATGGGAGATTTTAACACCCCACTGTCAATATTAGACAGATCAATGAGACAGAAGGTTAACAAGGATATCCAGTACTTGAACTCAGCTCTGCACCAAGCAAACCTAATAGACATCTACAGAACTCTCCACCCAAATCAACAGAATATACCAAAGACAAAAACCACATGATTATCTCAATAGAGGCAGAAAAGGTCTTTGACAAAATTCAACAGCCCTTCATGCTAAAAATTCTCAATAAACTAGGTATTGATGGAACATATCTCAAAATAATAAGAGCTATTTATGACAAACCCACAGCCAATATCATACTGAATGGGCAAAAACTGGAAGCATTCCCTTTGAAAACTGGCACAAGACAGAGATGCCCTCTCTCTCACCACTCCTATTCAACATAGTGTTGGAAGTTCTGGCCAGGGCAATCAGGCAAGAGAAAGAAATAAAGGGTATTCAATTAGGAAAAGAGGAAGTCAAATTGTCCCTGTTTGCAGATGACCTGATTGTATATTTAGAAAACCCCATTGTCTCAGCCCAAAATCTCCTTAAGCTGATAAGCAACTTCAGCAAAGTCTCAGGATACAAAATTAATATGCGAAAATCACAAGCATTCTTATACACCAATAACAAACAGAAAGCCAAATGATGAGTGAACTCCCATTCAGAATTGCTTCAAAGAGAATAAAATACCTAGGAATCCAACTCACAAGGGATGTAAAGGACCCCTTAAAGGAGAACTACAAACCACTGCTCAACGAAATAAAAAAGGACACAAACAAATGGAAGAACATTCCATGCTCATGGATAGGAAGAATCAATATCATGAAAATGGCCATACTGCCCAAGGTAATTTGTAGATTCAATGCCATCTCCATCAAGCTACCAATGACTTTCTTCACAGAATTGGAAAAAACTACTTTAAAGTTCCTATGGAACCAAAAAAGAGCCCACATTGCCAAGACAATCCTAAGCAAAAAGAACAAAGCTGGAAGCATCACACTACCTGACTTCAAACTATACTACAAGGCTACAGTAACCAAAACAGCATGGTACTGGTACCAAAACAGAGAGATAGACCAGTGGAACACAACAGAGGCCTCAGAAATAACACCACACATCTACAACCATCTGATCTTTGACAAACCTGATAAAAACAAGAAATGGGGAAATGATTCCCTATTTAATAAATGGTCCTGGGAAAACTGGCTAGGCATATGTAGAAAGCTGAAACTGGATCCCTTCCTTACACCTTATACAAAAATTAATTCAAGAAGGATTAAAGACTTAAATGTTAGACCTAAAACCAGGAAAACCCTAGAAGAAAACCTAGGCAATGCCATTCAGGACATAGGTATGGGCAAAGACTTCATGACTAAAACACCAAAAGCAATGGCAACAAAAGCCAAAATAGACAAATGGGATCTAATTAAACTAAAGAGCTTCTGCACAGCTAAAGAAACTACCATCAGAGTGAACAGACAACCTACAGAATGGGAGAAAATTTTTGCAATCTACCTATTTGACAAAGGGCTAATATCCAGAATCTACAAAGAACTTAAACAAATTTACAAGAAAAAAACAACTCCATCGAAAAGTGGGCAAAGGATATGAACAGACACTTCTCAAAAGAAGACATCTATGCAGCCAACAGACACATTAAAAAATGCTCATCATCACTGGTCATCAGAGAAATGCAAATCAAAACCACAATGAGATACCATCTCACACCAGTTAGAATGGCAATCATTAAAAAGTCAGGAAACAACAGACGCTGGAGAGGATGTGGAGAAATAGGAACGCTTTTACACTGTTGGTGGGAGTGTAAACTAGTTCAACCATTGTGGAAGACAGTGTGGCAACTCCTCAAGGACCTAGAACTAGAAATACCATTTGACCCAGCAATCCCATTACTGGGTATCTACCCAAAGGATTATAAATCATGCTACTGTAAAGACACATGCACATGTATGTTTATTGCAGCACTATTCACAATAGCAAAGACTTGGAACCAACCCAAATGTTCATCAGTGATAGACCGGATTAAGAAAATGTGGCACATATACACCACGGAATACTATGCAGCCATAAAAAAGGATGGCTTCAAAGCTTCAAAGGACAGGATGACTCTCTTGTTAAAGGATAATGAAGCTAGTGACTTTAAGTTTAAGCCATTATTAATTGACCATTCTGAAAATCCTAGGGCCTTTAAGAATTATGTTAAATCTGCTCTGCCTGTGCTCTATAAATGGAACAAAAAAGGCTGGATGACCATAAATCTGTTTACAGTAAGGTTTACTGAATATTTTAAGCCCACTGTTGATGTCTGCTTCTCAGAAAAAAAAAATTCCTTCCAAAATATTACTGTCCATTGACAATGCACCTAGTCATCCAAGAGCTCTGATGAAGATATACAAGAAGATAAATGTTTTCATGCCTGCTAATACAACATCCATTCTGCAGTCTATGGATCAAGGAGTGCTACGGTTTGGATATTTGTCTCCTCCAAGCCTCATACTGAAATTTTATCCCCAGTGTTAGAGGTGGGGCCAAATGGGAGGTGTTTGGTCATGGGGGCAGATCCCTCATGCATAGATCAATGACCTTCTTTGGGGGTGAGTGAACTCTTACTCTATTCGTTCCCATGAGAGCGGTTGTTAAAAAGAGGCTAGCACCGGCCTCTCTATACTTTGCTTCCTCTCCCACCATGTGATCTCTGCACACTCTGGCTCCCCTTCACCTTCCTCCAAGAGTGGAAGCAGCCTGAAACCCTCGCCAGATGCCCAATCTTGAGCTTTCAAGCCATCAGAATTGTGAGCCAAATAAACTTTCTTTCTTTATAAATTTCCCTGTCTCTGGTATTCCTTTATAGCAACACAAAACAAAGTAATTTTGACTTTCAAGTCTCATTTAAGAAATACATTTAATAAGGCTATAGCTATCATACATAATGATTTTTCTGTTGGACCTGGGCAAAGTAAATTGAAAGCCTTCTGGACAAAAATTACCATTCTAGGTGCCATTAAGAACATTCATGATTCATGGGAGGAGGTCAAAATACCAATATTAACAGGAGTTTGGAAGAAGTTGACTCCAACCCTCATGAATGACTTGGAGGGGCTCAAGACTTCAGTGGAGAAAGTGACTACAGAAGTGATGGAAACAGCAGGAGAACTAGAATTAGTAGTGGAGCCTGAAGATGTGAATGAATGGCTGCAATCTCATGATGAAACTTGAACAGCTGTGGAGTTGCTTCTTATGGATGAACAGAGAAAGTGGTTTCTTGAGATGGAATCTACTCTTGGGGAAGATACTGTGAACATTGTTGAAATGACAGCAAAGGATTTAGAATATTATGTAAACTTGCTCAATGAAACAGCAGGAGTGCTGGAGGAGGATTGACTCCAATTTTGAAAGAAGTTCTACTGTTAGTAAAATGTTATCAAACAGCACCACATGCTACAGAGAAATCTGTCACGAAAGGAAGAGTCATTCAATGTGGTAAACATCATTGTTGTCTTCTTTTAATAAATTGCCACAGCCACTCCAACCTTCAGCAACCAACTCCTGATAAGTCAGCAACATAAACATCAAGGCAAGACTCTCCACCAACAAAAAGAGTACCACTCACTGAAGGTTCAGATGACTGTTAGCATTTTTTTAGCAATAAAGTATTTTTAATTAAGGTGCATTTTTTTAAACATAATGCTATTGTACACTTAATAGATACAGTATAGTGTAAACATAACTTTTATATGCACTGGGAAACCAAAAATTCATACTACTCTTTTAATCACGTTACTTCCTTTGTAGCGGTCTGGAACAAAACTTGCAATAACTTTAAAGTATGTCTGTACTACAGTGAGTAAGATTTTAGAGAGAAAATATATGATCAGTAAAGCTAAAAAGAAGTCAGGAAAACTCCAGGAAGCCTTCGGATACATGAAGGAATATCTAATGGGTGGCAGTTCTTGACTAATGGGAAAACATTTGTACCCCTAAAGAGAAAATGTATCTGAGAAGTGTACATCTTCTCTCATGAAAAAGGACATCTCTAATTGTTCAGAGTTCATGCCCAGAGATACACTGGGGGACTAGTTTGGGATAAGTGGGAGCCAAGAGTTTTCAGGAAAAGGTTAAATGTCATCAAGGTCCAAGGAGTCATACGGGACATCACTAAAAGGAGGCTGAAATGCTATAGAAAGCATGGTAGGAAGAAAAGGAGAGGGGCTCTTTCAAAAAGGCAAGGGAACTGGGCACACTCAGCCACCAACCAGTTGTGCAACATGAGCACATTCCTTCCCACCTCAGGACTTCAATGTTTCTATCACTCATACACTGCTGAAATTTGGAAAGAAATTTGGAAATTCTACTTTTAGGAATTGATCCTAAAGAAACTGTCAAAGATGTGAAATGAGATTAATCCACAGAAGTTATAATATAATTATATATTTGGAAAATAACTTGCAAATGTTTTTGAAAAATAATTTGGAAAGTAACTGGAAGTTTCTCAAATGTTTCCCAAAAGGAAATGGTTAAATAGACATATGGTACATGTTCAAATGATGGAATATTATATGCAGCCATTAAAAGATCATATGGTAAAAGCCATTCAATTGTCACGACAAACTGTAAAGTAAAATTGAGGATTACAATTGGTATGCATAACATGGATCCAAATTTGTAGAAAATAAATACTAAAAAACAATAAAAAGTAAGCCAAAGAGAGGGAACAAGAGAAAGACTAAAAAGTCATATGACAGAGTTATGAGTAGTAAACTTACACAAATTTTTATTTTCTTATTTATTCTTTATATATTTTAAATTTTGTTATAAACTTGTATTATTTTTGTAATTAAAACAGCAAATGCAATTGATTTCATTTTAATTAAGAGATTTGAGGATATTTAAGTCTCTTCTAGCACTAAAATCCACTGAGTCTTTTTAAAATGCCAAATGCATAGATACCTACACCACATTTGAAATGTGATCTTCTACTCCTCCCCAGCCCTAATCCTCCATTAGTTTTGCAAACAGATCTGCTCTCTGAAGCCATAAGGCAGTTCTGGGAAGAGTAACAGTAGGTAGGGGCCTGGAGTTTGGGCTGTCTTCACAATGTGAATCTTAGAGCAAGCTTTTTGAGAAAAACACAATTGAAAAAGACCATACTTCCTGGCCCTGAAAGGCCTCTGGCTTTTCTTTCACAGAAAATGTCTGCAGTCTGGATGGACATCAGCACCAGGAAGTTACACACCTCTCTGTAAATATTTCCATCCCTAAAAGACTTCCTCTACCTGTGAAATCTTTACTAACAACTTTCAACATTCACTGTGCCAAATGCCAGGGTCAATTCTCAGTTTCATCTTATTTTACCCATGAGCAGCATTAGACCCAGTTAGACCCAGTTGAAACACTTTTCTCCGATGGCTCCCAGGACACCATACTCACCTACCTAGTTTATCCTCCTTCCCCCACTCCAACACACACACACACACACACACACACACTCACTCACTCACTCTCTCTCTCTCTCTCAATCTTCTTGGACGGTTTCTCTTCCTATCCCCAACCTTTAAAGTTGGAGCATCCGGCTCAGTCCTTAGAGCATTGTCGTTTTTTTTTTTTTCTAGTTACACTCACTTACCCAGTCTCATTGGATTTAAATCCTGTCTCACTCAGTTTAAACACCATCTGATGACCTAAATTTGTATCTCAAGTCCAGTCTTCTTCCCCAAACTCCAAATTTGTATATCCATCTGCTCTATTTGAAAGACCCATGTCAAATAGGCATCGGAACATTAACACACCCAAAACCGAGATCCTGATCTTCCCACTCAAAACTATTCCTCCTACAGTCTTCTCATCTCAAGGCAACTCCATCCTTCTAGTTTCTTGGAAGGCCCAAAACCTTGGAGTCAAGTTTCCTCCTCTCTTGTTTCCCATCTAAATCCAACTAGGAGATTTTATTGGCTCTATTAGATCCCAAATCCAATCACTTTTCACCGTGTCCACTGCTACTACCTGGAAATGGACACCATCATCTTTTACCTGTATTACTGCAGTAGTCTCCCGACTAGTCTCTCTGCTTATATCCCTTTATGTCTGTTCTCTACAATGCAGCCAGAGTGATCCTATTAAAACGTGAATTGGATAAAGTCACTCCTGTGCTCAACACTCACAGTGGTTTCCCATTGCTCTATAAGTAAAAGCCAAAGGCTATACAGTGGCCTGCAGGATGCTAGACATTCTATTTAGGCCAAACCTACCTCTCAGCTCTCACCTCCTTGCTTTCTCCACTCCAACCACACTGGATTCTTTGTTGTTTCTTAAACACTTAATTTCTCCTCAGGACTTTGTACATGTTGGTTCCTCTGCGTGGAATGTTCTTCACAGAAACAGCCACACTAGCAGCCATATGCTACCACAAGTCTAAAGAGATCTTAGAAATGATATCCAAAAAAAGGCTGAGGAAAACTGCTAAGCAGTGGAACAGGAGCTCACTCCCTAATTCAACAGAGGTTTGCTCTCAGTGGGGAAGGAGCAAAGGCTCCTTCCTGAATGCCTTTATGCCTCTGGACAACCATATTGACAGAACTCTGACAGCCCTAGTCACTCTATCTTCTGGAACATGACTACTGTACATGGCGAGACTTTTGCCTTCTTTCCTGGGTCTGAGTGAACTTTTCTGCCTGGAGGATTTAGATGTCTTCTCATACTTAGATGGGGATCTAGCATTTGGTGATTGCATTTTTCCAAGACCTGAACAGAACCTAAGGGAGCCATGGGCAGACTATGCATTCCATCCATATCAACGTTAGACTGGGATAAATCTCCCCTAATACATCCTTAAATACTTTTTAGGATAAGGTGAAAAACACATTCATCCATACATACATACAAAAGGAATCTCTTTTCTTTCAAGGATAAGGCCTTAGATTAAATAAATTTTGCAAGAAAATAGAAAGAACAATGAAGGAAAAGCTTGCCTCTAAAATAGATATGAAGCAGGAATAGATGGAAATCGTTTGTTTTTTTGAACTCTGTACAAGAGGATGTTGCCATAAACAAGCTAAAATAAAAGATTTCATGGAAGCCAAAAACACTGTAACTGAATGAAAGTTTATATGGGAGATAGTTAAGGAAAATTGAATCAGTGATATAGAGGAAATTCTTAGGAAAATAGTCTCAGAATGCAATGAAAAATAAATGAAGAAAATGAAAGGAATAAAGAAGGAAGGAGAAAGAAAGAGAGAGAGAAAGAAAGAAAAAAGAAAAGAAAGAAAGAAGAAAGAGAGGGAAAGAGAAAGAAAGAGGGAAGGAGGCAGGCAGGCAGGCCACAGGCAGGCAATTTAGAGATAAGAGATCCAAATAGGTCCCTGAAGAAGAAAAAAACAAACAAACAAAACAGCAGCATTAATCAAAGTTGTGACAGAAGAAATCTTTCTTGCTCCTAAATAAGTCCTAAATTTGGAAATCAAGAGGGTTTACCATATCCCAGGCAAAAATTTTTGAAAGGAAGTCTATACCCAGTTATCTTATTGTGAAAGTTGTAAATTTCAGAAATGGGGAACAAAAACCATTCAGGCTAAAAAACAGTTGTCCTCAACTTCTGAGTCTGTTTTGTGCTGCTACAACAGACTGAGTCATTTATAAACAACAGAAGTTTATTTGGCTCACAGTTCTGGAGGCTGGGAAGTTCCAGATCAAGGGGCCAGCATCTGGCAAGGGCCTTCTTGCTGTGTCATCCCATGGCAGAAAGCAAAGGGCAAGAGAGCATAAGAGCAAGAGAACAAACTCACAGCTTCAAGTCCTTTTATTATTGGCATTGATCCATTCATCAGGGTGGAGCCCTCATGACCCAAGCACCTCCAGTAGGTCTTGCCTCCCAACATTGTTATACTGGGGATTAAGTTTTGAACATATGCTTTTGGGGGGACATATTCAAACTATAGCAACTTCTTTACAGCATCAAACTTCTCAAGACAATGGAGGAATATTTCCAATGACTTGAGGGGGAAAGATTGCTATATTTAAGAGAAGTTGTCTCTCTTTTATAACACTGATCCCCTTTCTAAAAATTAATATGCTTACTAGATCATTATGAAAGGAATCAAGATTAGGGTCCCAAGAATGGGGAAAGGCATAGTGAGATAAGAACTATATTAAAATTCATTAAATTCATGGATGGATGAATTTGATTATTAATATCCAAATAAAGAGAAAAAATCCTGTGAAATAAGTGACTAACATAATTTTTACTATTTGAATTTATAATATTATCAAATTAAATATTTAAAATAAGAAAAAGGAGGACACAGGGACACAAAAACTCTTAATCCTTCTCTCATAATGGGGTCAAAAATTACTAATTTCACTTTGATATTAAGATAAATTTAAGCTCAGGAATGTTTTGCTTTCCTTTTTTCTTTCTTTTTTTTTTTTTTTTTTTGAGATGGAGTCTCGCTCTGTCTCCCAGGCTGGAGTGCAGTGGTATGATCTCGGCTCACTGAAGCTCTGCCTCCCAGGTTCACACCATTCTCCTGCCTCAGCCTCCCGAGTAGCTGGGACTATAGGCGCCCACCACCACGCCCGGCTAATTTTTTTTGTATTTTTAGTAGAGATGGGGTTTCACCATGTTAGCCAGGATGGAATGCTTTTCTTTTATTTCCACAGCCTGGGCAACATAACAAGACCCTGTTTCTACAAAAAATAAAAAATCAGCTGGGTATGGTGGTGCACGCCTGTAGCCCTAGCTACTCAGAAGGCTGAGGCAGGAGGATCACCTGAGCCCAGGAGTTCAAGGTTACATTGAGCTATGATTATGCTACTGCACTCCAGCCTAGGTGACAGAGCAAGACCCTGCCTCAAAAAAAAAAAAAAGATTGCTACAAGTACAATTAAAAGTAAGATGTCCGTTATTCACAGCTTTGTGGAAATATAAAAACAAATAACAAAGTCCAGAGTCTGTATAGCAAAAAGCATAACAGAAAAAAACATTAAACACTAAAGAGAATAAAATGAGAAAAGGCAGATAAAATAAATGTGAACTGTTTACATTCCTTTATTAAAACAGAGAATCAAATTGGATTTAGAAAGATTAAAAATAAAGATGGACAAAATATATCAGCCAAATGAGAAGGGGGAACAGAATTTAGGACTAAAAAAGTAGATAAAAAGAGTTATTTCAATATTTTATCAAAATATGAACTGCAAAAACATACAAAATATGAGTAGAGGTAAATAGACAACAGACAATTGTATTGAATTAAATGAATCTTAATTGCATTAAGAGCATGAAGTCATTATTATTTGAAGCACTGTTAGAGAATCTAAGAACTTATGAGGAATATAGTATTGAGCGTAATTGAGGTTAAAAGTAAATCTATGATAACAATTGTTTGACCAATTAACAAAATTTGATTATGGACTACAATTGAAAGTATTCTATCAGTGTTAGATTTCCTGAGTTTGACTACTGTACTGTGGTTATATAAGAGAAAATCTTTGTTCTTAGGAAATACATACTGAAATATTTAGGGGTAAAGGAACATAATATATACAACTTATTCTCAAATGGTTCAGGAACAATACTATATGTGACTGTTGTGTGTGGGAGAGATATAAAAGGGAAGAGAGAATGATAAATGTGGCAGAATTTTTTAAATTGGTGAATACTTGTGAAATGCTCTTTGAATTGTTCTTGTAACTTTTCTGTAATTTTGAAGTCATTTTAAAATAAAAAAATTAATACAACAACAAAAAAAGTAAATCTATGATAACAAACCAAAAATGAAATTTTAAAACAATTATATTTATAATAGCATCAAAAAGAAAATCATACTTAGGAACAAATTTAACAAAAGAAATACAAAAGTTACACTCTGAAAACTACAAAATATTACTTAAGGAAATTAAGTAAGACCTACATACACAGAAAGACATCATATGTTCATGGATTAGAAGATTTAATATTTTTAAGATGGCAATATTCTCTAAATAGATTTACAGTTGATGCAATCTTATCAAAATCTCAGCTGGCTTCCTTGCAGAAGTTGACAACCTGATCTTAAAATTCATATGGAAGTTAATGGGACCCATAATACCCCAAACAATATTTAAAAAATAAAATGAAATTGGAGGACTCACACTGCCTGATTTCAAAACTTACTACCAAGCTGTAGTATCAAGAAATGTGGAATTGACATAGGGCTAGATATATAAAGAAATGGAATATAACTGAGAGTCTAGAAAAAAACGCTCACACTTATGGGAAATTGATTTTCAACAGGGTGCCAAAACAATTCACTGGAGAAAATAATAATCTTTTCAACAAATGGTGCTGGAACAACTAGATATTCACACACAAAAACATGAAGTTTGGCCCCTACCTCATAACATATACAAAAACTAACTCAAAGTGGATTAAAAACCTAAATGCAAGGGCTAAAACTATGTAGCTCTTTGAAGAAAATATAGATGTATATCTTCATGACTTTGGATTAGGCAATAGTTTCTTAGATAGGACAACAAAACCATAAGAACCAAAGAAACTATAGATTGAATATCATCAAAATTTAAAACTTTTAAATTTTGTGCTGCAAACAACACTATCAAGAAAGTGAAAAGACAACCCACAGAATGGGAGAAAATTTTTGGAAATCATATATCTGAAAAGGGAATATATAAGGAATCATTGCAACTCAATCATAAAAAGGTAAACCCATTTAAAAAATGGGCAAAGAGGCCAGGCGTGGTGGCTCACGCCTGTAATCCCAGCACTTTGGGAGGCCGAGGCAGGTGGATCACCTGAGGTCAGGAGTTCGAGACCAGCCTGGCCAACATGGTGAAAGCCCGTCTCTACTAAAAATACAAAATTAGCCGGGTGTGGTGGCACATGCCTGTAATCCCAGCTACTCCGGAGGCTGAGGCAGGAGAACTGCTTGAACTCAGGAGGTGGAGGTTGCAGTGAGCCAAAATCACGCCATCACACTCCAGCCTGGGCAACAAGAGCAAAACTCCACCTCAAAAAAAAAAAAAAAAAAAAATGGGCAAAGGATCTGAACAGGCATTTTTCCAAAAAAGATCCACAAATGCCCACTAAACACATGAATAGATTTTCAAAACCATCAGCCATCAGGGAAATACAAATCAAAACCTCAATGAGATACTACTTCACACTCATTAGGAAGGCTATAATAAAAGATAGGGAATAAAAAGTGTTGGCAAGGATGTGGAGAAATTGGAATCACCATATATTGCTGGTGGAAATGTAAATGGTCCAGCTACTTTGGAAAACAGTCTGGCAGTTCATCAAATGGTTAAACATAGACATACAAGTGACCCAGCAATTTTGCTCCTAGGTATATAACCAAAAGAAATTAAAAACAAGTCCACACCAACACTTGTCCATGAATGCTCACAGCAGCATTATTCATAATGTCAAAAAGTAAAAACAATCCAAATATTCATCAACTGATGAATAAAATGTGGTATATACATTCAATGGGATATATGCTATGAAATGAATGTCCAGAATTGGCAAAACTGTGGGGACAGAAAGTAGATTGGTGTTTTCCTAGGACTCAGAACGGTGGGGGCCATGTAGGGAGGAAATGGGGAGTGCCCATTAATAGGTATGAGGTTTCTTTTCAGGGTGATAAAATGTTCCAAAATTGATTGTGGTGGTGGTACACAAT
Organism: Homo sapiens; assembly: GCF_000001405.40. Classification (NCBI taxonomy): domain Eukaryota; kingdom Metazoa; phylum Chordata; class Mammalia; order Primates; family Hominidae; genus Homo; species Homo sapiens. Next base: position 95,764,067 of record NC_000010.11, on the reverse strand, counting down.
CCTGTGAATATACTAAAACCACTGAATTGTCGACTTTAAGTTGGTGAATCGTATGATATGTGAATTGTGTCTCCAGATAATAAGATCAACAACTATGGATTTGAATCTCAACTTCAACACTTACCAACTGAGAGACTTTAACAATTGAGTTATTTAACAGTAAATAATACCAACCTCCTTGGATGGTTGGAGAACTGAATTAACATCTGTAAGGTGATTAGAATAGTGTGCGAACCAATGTCCACTATAAGCCTGTGTGTTAACTAACTAAAGCCACCAGCACTTCCTTTCATTAAACACTTACCGTATTCGTTTTCTTTGCCTGCTATAACAAATTACCATAAAAAAACTCAGTGGTTTAAAACAAGACACATTTATTCTCTTACAGTTCTGGAAGTCTGAAGGCTGAAATCAGTTTCACTGGACTGAAATCAAGGTGTTGGTAGGACTAAGCTCCTCTCTACCCATCAGAGAATATTATGGTTGGAGATAAATTACCATATAATTGAAAAGACTGGATTGATTAATAAATATCCAATTTTATATCCTAAAAACATACAGCTTCTTCACAAGTGTTCATAGATTTACACAAACCCATCATATGCTTAGTTACAAGGAAACCTCAGAAATTATAAAGCCATATTCTCTAACCATCATGGAAAAAATGAAAAATTAATTATAATGGCAAACAAAAATAAAAATCATTTACAATCTTTTAGAAGTAATATTCTGGGCTACAGAGAATAAAAATGTGATGTCAAACTATTTAGAAAACGATGACACCACATATAAAAATGTGTTGGATCTATTCACAGTAAGAACAGATTCAGAAAAACTATCAGAGGCCGGGTGTGGTGGCTCACACCTGTAATCCCAGCATTTTGGGAGGCCTAGGCAGGCAGATCACTTGAGTCCAGGAGTTTGAGACCAGCCTGGGCAACATGGTGAAACCCCGTCATAACAAAAATAAATAAATAAATAAATAAATACAGAAAAACTATTATAAGTATGGCAGGAAAACTTGAATACTTTTATATGATAAAGCATGCACATAAGTTGATTAAAAACATCAAATCCAAATAAGTATTATAATAAACAGGAAAAGGATGTAAAAAGTATACAAAAGAAGTATATCGTGAAAAATGTCAAATTTACTGTAATTAAGAAATACAAACTAAAACAATCTAAAAATTGATAAAATTATTTAAAAACAAAAACACCAAAGCTGTCAGGGATGCCACAAAACAGGAACTGCTTTTGAGAGCATGAAGGGCCCAACCTTTGGGAATGCAACCTGGCAACAGTAATCAAGAACTTTAAAAAACATTAACAAGTTTCAATCTAGTAAGTCTATTTCTGGGATCCTGTCCTCAGAGTGCAATCCTACATATGGAAAAAACTTCCTGCACAAAGACATTTATTGGAAATGGAAACATCCTCAATATTCAATAACAGGAGAACTGTTAAATAAACTATGTGACTATAAAAATTACGCTAACAAAGACCACGCTATAAAATGGAAAATACATGTGCTTCACTGCTACAGTAAAACCAGGCTTTAAAACTGCATATATAGCCTAATGATCATGGTGCCATCTCATAACTTTTCAAGGTCCTATTCAAGTGAATGCCAAATGAGAGAAACAACCCAGGCATAGTAAAAAAAAAAAAAAAAAACTGCCAGGAAATGGCACCAAAATATTACAAGTGATTGTTTTTCTTCCCTACTGTAATCTATAGTATCATGTTTTCTTTAATGGGCATGTGCTATGTTACTTGTATCCTCACGGACATAAAGCAATGCTTTACATCCTTCCTATGAATCAAAAGGAAACACTTCTTTTTTTTTTTTTTTTTTGCTTCTTTTTAAATTTTTTTAAACCAAGCAGTGGTTATGGAAGGAAACACCTCTTTGTGTAACAGGGCATGTACTGCCACTGTCGGTCTCTAAAGTCACTTTGATGATCTAACAAAAACAGCATGTTTCATACATGTTAGACAACCTCTACTCTGGATTTTTTTCTCCAACAACTTATTTTCTCTTCACAACCCCCTCAAGTTTTCAAGCCTAAAGAAATTCCATCGGTTCTCTCTGCACCCACTTTCCTTGCTTTGCTCCTAGAATTATTCCCACCTTTCTTCTGCAGAGCGTAGACAATGCCTCAGGCACACTGTTGCCAGTCTCAGAGCCCTGAGTCCCTGCTACCTCTAGCTCCCTGGGACTCCAACACCCAGCACAAGATTCTGCAGGCAGCCACACATTCTGCTCCAGTACTTCTCAAGTTGAAGGCAGAGAATAAGGGAAGTTTAGGGAAGCTTGGAGCCATGGAGAAAAGGTGGAGACATGCAGGAAATCTAACACAAGGCCTTTTTGTGTAACAGTAGTTTTTGTGTGCTGAAGATTCCAGTTTCTAGGATTTGGCAAATTGGGAGCCTCAATTTCCTGTTCTAGGGCATATATTTGCTGAATGAATAAATGAATTAGGCTTCCCATCATCCTGCAATGACACCTGACCAGTGACTAGAAGTGGCAGCTTGGTGAGGGAGTAGAGGGTGGGAAGAGCTTGGTCATTTAGTACCAAAATAAGCCCTGAGACTAAGGCATGCGATGACCCTGCCACATTGCCAGTCAAAGTGTGGTCTGTGGAGGGGCAGCATTATCATCGCCTGGGAACTTGTTAGAAATGTAGACCTACTTCAGAGCTATTGGATCAGAATCTGCATTTTTAACAAGTTCTCTAATGATACATACTCATGCTAAAGTTTGAGAAGCACTGCTTCAGAACATATGCACACACACACCAAAATCACCAAGACAAACAAGTGACTCCACTCTTGCACACTTCACCAAACCATCAAGACATTTAGTGATTCTTCACCACAGGGGCTGCCCTTGATTTTGGCCTTCCTCCGAAGTACTTAAAAGAATAGACTCTATGGCTGGGCGCGGTGGCTCACGCCTGTAATCCCAGCACTCTGGGAGGCCGAGACGGGCGGATCATGAGGTCAGGAGATCGAGACCATCCTGGCTAACACAGTGAAACCCCGTCTCTACTAAAAATTACAAAAAATTAGCCGGGTGTAGTGGCAGGCGCCTGTAGTCCCAGCTACTCGGGAGGCTGAGGCAGGAGAATGGCGTGAACCTGGGAGGCGGAGCTTGCAGTGAGCTGAGATCGCGCCACTGCACTCCAGCCTGGGCGACAAAGCGAGACTCCGTCTCAAAAAAAAAAAAAAAAAAAAAAAAAAAAAAAAAGAATAAACTCTATGTAATTTACTCCAGGCCTCACCTTCACTCTACACAGATGGAGCCCATCACCTCTGGACAGTAGTTGGTGCGATTAAACACTAGTGCCCTTCAGCACCATTACCAGTTATAAAGAGCGGAGAAACAACCAAAAAGACAACACAAGAGGGAAAGCACTCTCAAAATGCAATTTGACCAAGTAAAGGCAATACCAATCACAATGATTTATAAAAACTGTTTACCAGATGTATGTTATTACCCCGCAGTGCAATCATGATTAAGGAAATCATTTAATGTGCAGCTGATTGCTTTGTAAAGGCTTATTTGATTACACGACCCATAGTGAAGGATAAACTCTGTACTTCTGCCTTCAAATCTCCAAGATGGACATGTAAGTAGGTTGACTGCTCAGAGCTTGGGAAAAAAGGGGGCTTTTTACTCTTAAATCTACACTATAGTTAAGGTAAAAGAGAGAAAAGATCTTCAAGCACTGCTGGGAGGGTGAAGGGGCTTGCCATGGGCACCAGATTCTACTCATCTTTCTAGATCCAACTGAAGTGTCCTATCCTTTGAGAAGTTTCTCCAGAAGCCATCGCTCCCTATTCTGCTTCTCATGGCACTTTCTCTTGTATTATTATTTTTTATTTTTATTTTGTTAGAGACAAAGTCTCATCATGTTGCCCAGGCTGGAGTGCAGTGGTTATTCACAGGTGCAAATATAGCACATTACAGCCTCAAACTCCTGGGCCCAAGCTATCCTCCTGCCTCAACCTCCTGAGTAGCTGGAACTACAAGCGTGCACCACTGTGTCATGGCACTTTGTTTAGACTTACATTACAGCTCTTGAGGAGGTAGAACGTATCCATTAGGATCCCAGACTTTGCAGCCTAACCACATCAGTCAAAATTTCCCCTCTGCCTATTATTAGCTGTGTGGCCTTAACCAAATGACCTCCTTCCACAGCTGGAAGATGCAGAAACCAATATCATGGAATTTTTGTAAAGATTACATGAGACAACACACATTACAATGTTTGGCACATAATAAATGATCAATGTTAGCTATTATTATTAGCACTTCCCAGCTATTATTATTAGGCTTCCCCACTAGACCGTGAGCAAACTGTTTATCCAAGGATCTGTGTGGCATGGGAACTTACAAATGGTAGACACACAATAATATTTGTCAAAATGGTTTGAAGGTATGCCAGGAAGAGGAAAGGGAGGGTGCTGGAAAAAACCATAGCGTACTTTATGATTTTTCCCAGGGCCAACTTCTGTAGTGTTTGTTTTTATTTCATTACCAGAGTACATTATCTCAGACAGCAAGGTTGCTATAAAGTAGGGCTAGAAAGACACTATTTATGGAACCAGATGTTCTGTTCAGAGAAAGCAAAGTTGGCTATGAGGCATCTGAAATCTCCAGTTTGGCCCTTGGCTGAGCAGGGAGTAGGGGCTGAAGTTCAGCCAGAGCTTCACTTGCCCAACAGGGTGCCCTGGCATGGGGTTACATTAGCTCTGAAAATCATCCACCCAGAGGGATGCATTTTGTTTTTCAGTGTATCCACATAGAGGGACGTCTTTACAGATTGTGCCAAAGATCTATATGTACCAGTGGGGAACCCTACTGCAAACTCAAAGGTCCCCTTTTAAACAAGCCTCTTGAAGGTCTCAAATGAGCATCAGCTAAAATAATAATACTTCACTTACTAAATATTTATTGAGTTCCCATTAGGGAACTCAAGGTGCTAATGGCTGACAAGGACCTTTTGGACTTGCACAAGAGCCTGGTGTGTACCACCTTCTAAGGAAAGCTTGGGATGTTCTCTGAGAGGAACACCAAATTCAAGAACCTGTCCCAGGGGCTGATGAATGTGGCTGCCAAGCTGACCCACAATAAGTACGTCAGAGGACCTCACAGACCTCATGGAGAAGGTCATTGAAACCTGACACCTTAACCATTGGTTGCTGAATGACATGTGCTCTTCCTGAATCAGTACTCAGCATATGTCCACTTCCTGCGTGGCTTCTGGCCCTCTATGACTGCTATATGGTCATCCTCTGTGGCTACCTCCTGTACCCCTATCATGACTGAGGCCCCTCTCCCACCACTCTGCCCACACTGATGAGAAAGTTGCCACAAGTTTAGAGACTAAAAATAAAATTGCACTAGACACTGCAGATCTAAAGGTGAATACAGAAAATATAATTGGAAGGGAGAGAAGGTGATGCAGAGGGCAGGAGCATGGACAAGTATGATGAGTGCCACCTTAGGCATAACTGATGAGGTACTATAGAAGCATCCAAGATGGGGGCTAATCTAGACTTGAAGGATTAGAGAAGGCTTAAAGGGGAATAACACCCAATATGAGGCTTCAAGCAGTGATAGCAAATGTTAATATTTATTTAGCAATACTATATATCAGGCCCTGTTCTAAAAACTTTGCATGAATCCCTCATTCAGTCCTTACCACAACCCTGTAAGATAGATGTTACTGTTATTCTCTTCATGTTACAGATGATGAAACTAAGGCACACAGTAAATGGTGGAGCTGAAATTCAAACCCAGGCAGCTCGGCTCCAGACTAAAGGGGAAGCAGAGTACCAGATAGGCCCTTAAAACAGAAGAAAGTGCCTAGCTTCAGTCTGAGGAAAGATGCAGTTCCTTTGGGGAACTGAAAGCAACTCAATGAGGCGCAGCTTGGGGTGGGGACAGACGTTCAGAGATGACTGGGTCTGCTCTGTAGGTTGGAAGAAAAACCAGAAGCAGAGGGTTTCAGATCCAGTCCAAATCTTTTTTTTTTTTTTTTTTTTTTTTTTTTGAGACAGTGTCTCACTCTCGCCCAGGCTGGAGTGCAGTGGTGCAACCTCAGCTCACTGCAACCTCTGCCTCCCGGGTTCAGGTGATTCTCCTACCTCAGCCTTCCAAGTGGCTGGGACTACAGGCGCACACCACCACACCCAGCTAATTTTTGTATTTTTAGTAGAGACAGGGTTTCATCATGTTGGCCAGGCCGGTCTCGAACTCCTGACCTCAGGTGATCCGCCCACCTCGGCCTCCCAAAGTGCTGGGATTACAGGTGCGAGCCACCACATCCAGCCCCCCAGTCCAGACTTTTGACAACTAGCTGTGACTGGTGTCACCAAACTAACCCCTTCTGACCTCAGTTTCTCCTTTTTGCAAAAGACCATAATAACAATACCTGCTTCTCATAGAGAATGGCCATGAGCACCAAATGAGGAAAATGTATGTGAACTTGAGTGCAAAGTACAAATTCCTTCACAGACTTAAGATTTTACCAGTATCACTTCCCCAGTAGCTTCAAGGATTTGCAAACCTGAAATCCACAATGTCAGGGCACCAGAAAAAGCAGAGAAACAGTATTGGGGAGTGGAAAAGCCCACCAGCCCTGCCTCAGACCACCTCCATCCACACTCAGCCCTTACTAACTATGAGATCTCAAGGCAAGTTATCCTCTCAGTACCTCAATTATGCCATCTGGAAAATGGGAATGTCAATGATAGCACTTGTAAGGTTCATGTGACAAGTAAGTAGCACATGTAATATGCTAGGTATAGCTCCCAACACAGAATAAAGACTTAGTCAACATTAACAGCTATCATTATTGTAAGTATTAAGAAATATGTTGGCTACTCATGCTATTCTTCCATGTTCTATACGGTATAAGCATGTGGGAATGTTAGAAGTTAGAGATGATAAAGAAGGAGGAGAAGGAGGTTTACAACCCTATACTCCCTCACTGCTGCAGAGATTCTTCCTGGCTCTCACACGCTGGCAAGCAGCTGGCTCTCCGTCTTGGCAGAAAATGCCCAAAAGAGGTAAAAGATAGAGACTGCACACCATCTGTGCAAACCAGGCTGCTCTTGTAGTTTTTAGACAAAATCTAAATGTAGTCAGATGTGACCTGCCCTTTTAAGATAGAATTATTCTATTTCCTCCCTCTACCCGTCCCCGTCCCCCACTCTGTCCCCCACATAAAACTCCCCCACATATCTCAAGAAACTTTCAGCATTTTGAAAGACATACTCTGGGGTCCTGTTGTGACAGCCTTGTGCCACATTAACTTCTCTGTCTTGTTCCCAGCAAAGAAGCCTTTGCTAATTTCACAACAGGAAAGCATGCAAGAAATTCGAGAACAAAACAAATCTACACGCAGAGCCCAGCATCTTCAAGCAAACACCCTGAGGTACAGACCCGAGGCTAGATGAGTCCGGACTGCAGATGAGGCAGCTGCCTCTTAAACTGCAAGGGGACTGAAAAAGTCATTTGCCTCTAAAAAAACCAACTCTGAATACAAATTGATAATGAATATTCATGAGCCCCTCCAGCTTGCTCTAGAGCCACCCTTGACTGCAACCCTGGACTCTGCTTCCTAAAAAGTTTCCCAAAGCTCTTTCTCTGCCTCCTCTCAGAAGGAAGAGGGTGGGAAAGTTCATTCAGGGCTTTTTGCCTCCAGCTTTCAAGTACTTGCTTTTTGGTCTGGGCTTTTATTTTTCCTTCTATTTTTTTTTTCTTAAGGATTCAGATCAAATCAATTTTGGTCTTACCCTTTGTATCTTCCATAAGTAGCAGCTTTTGTTTTCCTCCTCTTTCCTCGTCTTTCCCCCCCCCAGCCTCTGCTTGCTGTGGTCCGTCTCCGTGAGAGAGGTCCTCAAGGAAACAGAGATATAACAGACCCTTGGGCTCGTGGGAGGGGCTAAATTAGCCGGCCCCGTTTCGGAAGGAACCTCAAACCCTGTCTTTTTCATTGACTAGAAAGGACAGATTGACTGAGGAGTCCAGCAGCTCATTTTCCTAAAGTTACTCGAAGCCTTTTCCAGGTTGTAATTTTTTGCATCCTTGAAGCAATGTATATTCAAATCTCTCTCTCTTTCTCCCTTCTTCCCTCTCTCCCTTACTCCCTCCCTCTTCATCTCTCTCTCCCTCTCTTCGTTATAGAAATCCCTTTTTCTCCCTTGAAAAAGTCATCTCAGCTGCAAGCAAAAAAAGCTATTCCTTACTGCAATTATGAAGCTAGATAATAAGAAAGTTGTTACCTTGAAACCCGCTCGAAAAACTGAAAGTCAAGAACAGTTCTTCCCTCCCCATAAAGCCTCTGGTCCCATGACCAGCAATCCTTTCTCAAGGCTCATTAGAGCAAAGAGCAACAGGTGACCCAAGCGATGAGTTTCCTGCAGGAGACGCTGCGTTATTGGTTGGAAGGCTGGGTGGAACCACAGAGGAGCTGCTCAATGGGAACCGCTGCCTGGCTATGAATTGATGAAAGTCATCCACCATTTCCCAACTTTGACTTCCTACCTTTGAAGTCTAATGAGCATGAATTACCACATCCAGACCGTCAAGATTACCCCAATGTAGATGAGAGCCTGACCAAATTATTTTTAAACTGTGTAACAAAATTATTTTGAAATCAAAACAAGGGCTAATCCTTTGAAAGGAAGGTAAGTCCTCAAGTCCCAAGGCGACTTGGCAGCTTCTCCCTCCACAAGGCTGTTGCAAACCTTAGCATTTCAGGTCTGAAAGATACCTCAGACATTGAGTCTAAAAGAGGTTAGAGATGTGGAGAGGTTAAGCCACCTGCTCATGCTCACATACATGGTCTCTCTTATTTGCTACCATGTTCCCCAGCACCTAATACAGTTTCTCTCACAGCATGGGCTCTCAATAAATATTTGATGAATGGTTGAAAAAAATGAATGAATTGCAGCAAAGCAGAAATGTAGATCTGTTTTCCTGTTTCCTAGTTCTTGATTTTTCTACATTGCTTGTCTGGCATGTAAATTTGTATCTAAAGCCAGTTATACCATATAAATCATTAAATTTGTGAGCCCGAAGGACTGTTTTGACTCTATGTAGAAACTATATTCTCCAGCGAGCTTTCAGTCATACTTTAATAAGGACAAAGGATAACCTTTTAGTTTAGGCATCTCTGTTACTTTGCACGGTGCCACATGGTATATACTCAATACATTTTTTATACTTTAATAAATTTGGAGCTGTTTAACAATACTTTATTTCTGAAATGCTTTATAGTTATAGGATTTTGCATGTATGATAACAACTAATTACACTGAATGAAAGACTCAATGGATGTCTTCTCCCGAGTCAGTTTAGACTACATCTCTAATAATGAATATTGGTCTGATATTCATCCTGTTATGATAAAACTGGTTTTTGGTGATATGATGGGATTTTTTGTAAAAACCAACAATTGGTTTATGACTGCCTTTGTACTATTGTTTTGGAGAGAAATTTGAAAAGAGCATGTCCACAAAATAGTGTGCGAATTACAGAATGGAAACCAAAACATCAAAGCTAGAAAGAGAAAAGAATGATCAAAGGGAAGATCCAGAGTGGCTGAGGGGTAGGCAGGAGAAACAGACAAACAAGTACCTGAGCTTGTCAATGAGAGACACACTTTGGTGGGTGCTGTGGCAACGGTTCTCTACTTTATTACATTAGGATATTAGGTTCTTTTTTTTTTTTTTTTTTTGAGACAAGAGTTTTACTCTTGTCTCCCAGGCTGGAGTGCAATGGAGCCATCTCAGCTTACTGCACCCTCTGCCTCCCGGGTTCAAGTGATTCTCCTGCCTCTGCCTCCAAGTAGCTGGGATTACAGGCGCCCGCCACCTTGCCCAGCTAATTTGTGTATTTTTAGTAGAGATGGGGTTTCACCATGTTGGTCAGGCTGGTCTCGAACTCCTGACCTCAGGTGATCCGCCCGCCTCAGCCTCCCAAAGTGCTGGGATTACAGGCGTGAGCCACCATGCCTGGCCTATTTTACTACGTTCTTACATTCTTTTTTTTGAGACAGAGCCTCACTCTGTCATCCAGGCTGGAGTGCAGTGGCGTGATCTTGGCTCACTGCAACCTCTGCCTCCCAGGTTCAAGTGATTCTTGTGCCTCAGCCTCCCGCGTAACTGGGATTATAGATGCGCACCACTAAGCCTGGCTAATTTTTGTATTTTTAGTAGAGATTGGGTTTCACCATGTTGTCCAGGCTGGTCTCAAACTCCTGGCCTCAAGTGATCCGCTTGCCTTGGCCTCCCAAAGTGCTAGGATTACAGGTGTGAGCCACAGTGCCTAGCCACAGTTCTCTATTTTAAACAAAATTAAAATTCAAGGTCACTTCAGTCATGTTGTATCAGACGTTGTCGACAAAAGGTTACTTTGACAATTGTCTCATTCTCTTTACATTTCATCAGGGAGAGAAAGAGTTAGTAAAAAGTAAATTGTTCTAGTACCCAACTTCTGGTTTAACCAGGAGAGGTAAAATCTCATTATAGTAACTAGCACTTCATAAATATTTGAAGTTCATCCAAACTGAATATGGAGTAATAGAAACATAGTTTTAACCCCTAATTCATATTACATGAGCCTTTTGACAACATTTAATGCTTTTTATGGTAATATGCTCTGTGCTACAATTTAATCACGTTGTCCAGGTTCGCACCCTCCTCAGCATCATGAAAATACTATGGTTAAGTATATATTATCACCAATTCATACAAGAATAATTATAAAAGAGATGGGAGTTTGTGTGTATCTTTCTAAAGGCCTCAGAATTTATCTTAAAAAATAAATCGTCTTTCTCAACAAAAAATTATCATCAATTTTATTGTTTTTTTTTGTAATAGAAAGTAGAAAATTAAAACTGCACTCAGAAAGATGGAAGGAGTTGTCAGAAAGGGGTAAAGATATTTGTCTGTCTTTTAATGATGAAATGGTCTTATAAAGTTCTTAGAATGGTAGAATTTTCATTTTTCCTACACCTTCATCCTCTTTCACTGTACCGGTTCATCCCCCTATGCATATAAAATATTTAAGTGATTCTCATTCTTAAAAACAAATTCTGTTGTTTAATGGTATGAATTATTAGTGTTGCAAGATGAATAAATTCTTGAGATTGGCAGCACAACAATGTGAATGTACTTAAAAATACTTAAGTATACTGTTAAAAATGATTAATATGGGCCAGGTGCATTGGCTCACCGTGTAACCCCAGCATTTTGGGAGGCTGAAGCAGTAGGTTGTCTGGAGGCCTGGAGTTTGAGACCAGCCTAGGCAACATAACAAGACCCCATCTCTACAAAAATAAAAATAAATTTTAAATGATTAATATGGTAACTTTTTTTTTGAGACAGAGTTTCGCTCTTATTGCCCAGGCTGGAGTGCAATGTCGCGATCTCAGCATCTCGGCTCACCGCAACCCCTGCCTCCTGGGTGCAAGTGATTCTCCTGCCTCAGCCTCCCGAGTAGCTGGGATTACAGGCATGCACCACCACACCCAGCTAATTTTGTGTTTTTAGTAGAGACAGGGTTTCTCCATGTTGGTCAGGCGGCTGGTCTCGAACTCCTGACCTCAGGTGATCTGCCCACCTCGGCCTCCCAAAGTGCTGGGATTACAGGCGTGAGACACTGGGCCCAGCAATATAGTAACTTTTATGTCTATTTTATCACAATTTTTAAAAAATTAATTAAAACAAAAACAGCTCCTTCACAAACAAGCTACTTGAGACCATGGTCTACCTTTGCCTTCCTTCATCACCTCCATTCTCTCCTCATTCATTTACTCCTCCTTCCATTGCATTCCCGTTTCTCACCGCACCATGCCAATGAAACTGCCCTAAGATTGCCAATGGCCTGTAAAGCAAAGACCAATTTTTGTGTTTTATCTTCTTGGATCTATGTAGCATGGGCCATTGTTGGCCTTCCTTCTTTCTTGAAAATTGATCTCTCCTTATTTTCCAGAACCCCCCTCATGTCTGATTTTCCTCCTCCATCTGTGTATGATGGCTCCTTTTCAGTCAACTTTTGTGTCTTGTAAATGTTGGTATTCCCTAGACCTTCACCCTTTGCCTTCTCTCCCTACTTCACTTATTCTACCTAGGTCATAACTTCTTATGCCTTTACATTTCTGCCAAGTCCACTCCCATGAGCACCAGATCCATATTTCCATCCACCTACTGGGTGTCAAGAGAATATCCCACAAGCAGCTCAAACTTAGCATCCAAACTGTACTCTGTATCTTTACTTCCAAATCTGCTCCCATCCAGTACCAGTATTCCCTACTTTTTTTTTTTTTTTTGAGACGATGTCTCACTCTGTCGCCCAGGCTGGAGTGCAGTGGCACGATCTTGACTCACTGCAACCTCTGCCTCCCAGGTTCAAGCGATTCTTGTGCCTCCACCTCCTGAGTAGCTGGGATTGCAGGTGCACACCACCATGCCTGGCTAATTTTGTGTTAGGAGAGACAGGGTTTTGCCATGTGGTCCAGCCTGGTCTCGAACTCCTGACCTCAGGTGATAGGCTGCCTCGGCCTCCCAAAGTCCTGGGATTACAGGCGTGAGCCACTGCGCCCAACCCCTACATTAGATAATGGCACTACCATCCACCTAGTCACACAACCCAGCAACCTCAGGGTCCTCCTAGACCCCTCCCCACATCCCACATCTTATTGTTTACCAAATCCAATTGTTTCTATACCTTAAGATCTCTCAAATTCATCTCCTCTCTCCATTCTCGTCACTTCTGCCATAGTGCATACTCTCTCATCTTTCTGAAATCGATATCTGATAATGTCATTGGCAGACTTTAAAAATTCTAGTCTCCTTATCATGCATAAAATAAAATTTAAATTCCTGTCATCGAATATGTAAGGACTCTCTCTACCTCTCTAAACTCATTTCCTGTTATAGGCTTCCTGCACTCCAAAAACTGAATCTAATTCCAGGACCCATAATCCTTATAAAACTCTGAATTTTTGTTTTGTTTTGTTCTGAGATGGAGTCTCGCTCTGTCACCCAGGCTGGAGTCCAGTGGTGCTATCTTGGCTCGCTGCAACCTCCGCCTCCCAGGTTCAAGCAATTCTCCTGCCTCAGCCTCCCAAGTAGCTGGGACTAGAGGTGCGTGCCACCATGGCCGGCTAATTTTTGTATTTTTAGTGGAGATGGGGTTTCACCATATTGGCCAGGCTGGTCTCGAACTCCTGACCTCGTGATCTGCCCACCTTGGCCTCCCAAAGTGCTGGGATTACAGGCGTGAGCCACCGCGCCTGGCCACAACTCTGAATGTATACAAGCTATTACCCTGCTCAGAATGCTGTTTCCCCTCTTATCCACCTGGTCCTCCTATATATCTTTCATGACTCAAATATCTGGTCCCCTGTGTTAGGCCATTTTTGCATTGCAATAAAGAAATACCTGAGACTGGGTAATTTATAAAGAGGTAATTGGCTCATGGCTCTGCAGTCTGTGCAAGAAGCATGGCACCAGCATCTGCTTCTGGTGAGGACCTCAAGAAACTTACAATCATGGCAGAAGGTGAAGGGGGAGCTGGTACATCACATAGCAAGAGAGGGAGCACGAGAGAGAAAGGGGAGGTGCCAGACTCTTAAACAACCAGATTTCAAATGAACTCATTTTCACCAAGTCATTCATGAGGGATCTGCCCCCAGGACCCAAACACCTCCCACCAGGTCCCACCTCCAACATTGGGGATCACATTTCAACATGAAATTTGGAAGTGACAAATATCCAAACCACATCATCCCCCGTGAAGTTTTGCCTGACCCATCCCCGCTCCTTTCCCACAGACACAAACACTGTGCTGACCCACAAAAGAGATGCCACTCGTGTTATCATGTTTTATAATTTCATTAACATCTCAGGCCTTAAACCTTGGAGTCACATTTGAATCCTCTTTCCTTACAATCCAAGTCTAATCCTTTAGCAAATTCAGCGGTTCCTATCTTCCAGATACATCCAGGACCTGACCTCTTCTTATTACTTCTACTGCTACCACACTGATCCAAGCCACATCATCTCTCACCTGTATCCTGTATTATTGTGATAGCCTCCTCACTGGTCTCCTCCCAGATTCTACTCTTCAAACTCTTCAGCCTATTTTCAACCCAGAAACTATAATAATTCAGTTAAAAATTAAACAAAACAAAAGATTATGGAACTCTTTTGCTCAAAATTTATAAAAGGCTCCATCTCACCCCAAGAAAAGCCAAAGTCCTTCCAACTTCCCACCAGGAAGTTGGTCACCTCTATTTCTTTCCTACTACTGTCCTCTTCTTGCTCCCTCAGCTCTAGCCTCCAAGTCTTTGCATATGCTGTTCTTTCTGCCTGGAATGCTGTCCTCCCGAATATCCACATGGCTCATTCCCTCCTTCCCTATAGGTTTTTACTAAATCATTACCTTCTATCCCAGCACCAAGATGGCTATTTGTAAATGCTATTTTCTACTAAAATGGCCTAAGGCCCTTTGGAAAAATAGCTAACCAAGTCTGGGGCAGGAGGTATACCAGAAAGCAAGGACACTATCTAAAATTACTAGGGTTGTGTCAAAAGGATTCAGGAGCTAACTTTAAGTGGCTCCTACTGGCCAAAGTATAAGAAAAGAAGACATTTGAGCAGCAATAAAAAGAATAACTGCAATGGATTGAAATGTATCAGATATATTGAGATCCACATAGTCATAATGACCCTATGAAGAAATCACTGTTCACCTTTAGAACGAATTCATTATTGTGAAAACACACAAGGGGGATAATAGCAACACTCAACCTCCCTTTGCTGCACAAAATGTACCCCAGGACAACAAAATCATTGATGGGGAAAAGTGTCTTTAAAGTATTCCA